>NC_000016.10:51229166-51532197 GCF_000001405.40 Homo sapiens
TATTCTTCTCCCTTCTCACCCTGGCATCCTCTGGTCCACACTTGGTGACTCAGTCTCTCAGCAGTGATTCTAAGTTTCCAGGAGGCAGATGCTAATTGGACCATCTCAGGTCAGGAGTCAACCTCTGATCCAACAACTCTGGCCAGAATGTCAGGGTTGCAAAGCACCAAGTTGACATCTAGGCAACCCCTGAGGGTGGGAAGGCAGCTCTGGGTGGGGAGCGTGTTGGGAGATGCTCAGGCACCCCAGAAAGTGTCCACTCCTGGTGGCTTCTGGAAGTCCCCTCATAACTTAGAGCTAAGTTTCCTTCTGTAAAATGGGGCTACCAAACCCAAGGATTGTCTTGAGTGGAAAATGAGAAAATGAATAGGAGCAGCTGCCGTTGTGGAGTGGTGAGATCATTTCAGCTGCTCTCTTGTTCGGCAGGCCCTCCAATAGCATCATTCCATTCAGCGTAATTTCATTATAACTTTGATGAAAAAAGAAGATTCCTTCAGGGGCCCCTGTTTGTGTGGAGTCTGCACATGCTCCCCATGTCTGCCTGGGTTTTCTGCAGGTACTGCAGTTTCCTCCCACATCCTAAAGCTGTGCATCTGAGTTTCATTGGCATGTCTACACAGTCCTAGTGTGAGCAAGTATGGGTGTAGGTGTGAGTGCTCTCTGCAATGGGATGACATCCTGGCCAGCGTGGATGCTCACCACCCACAACCCTGAACCAGAATAAATAAGCAGGGCTGGATGGTACTGGTATCAAAGCAGACATATAGACCAACGGAACAGAATAGAGACCTCAGAAACAAGACCACACATCTACAACCATCTAATCTTCAACAAACCTGACAAAAACAAGCAATGGGGAAAGGATTCCCTATTTAATAAATGGTGCTGAGCAAACTGGCTAGCCATATGCAGAAAACTGAAACTGGACCCCTTCTTTATATCTTATTCAAAAGTTAAGTCAAGATGGATTAAAGACTTAAATGTAAAATCCAAAACCATAAAAACTCTAGAAGAAAACTTAGGCAATACCATTCAGGACATAGGCATGGGCAAAGGTTTTATGATGAAATCGCCAAAAGCAATTGCAGCAGAAGCTAAAGTTGACAAATGGGATCTAATTAAACTAAAGAGCTTCTGCACAGCTAAAGAAACTATCATCAAAGCAAACAGGCAACCTACAGAATGGGAGAAAATTTTTGCAAGCTGCCCATCTGACAAAGGTCTAATACCTAGAATTTATAAGGAACTTAAACAAATTTACAAGAAACAAACAAACAAACCCATCAAAGAGTGGGCAAAGGATATGAAGAGACACTTCTCAAAAGAAGACATTTATGCAGCCAACAAACATATGAAAAAAAGCTCAACATCACTGATCATTACAGAAATGCAAAACAAAACCACAATGAGATACCATTTCATACCAGTCAGAATGGTGATTATTAAAAAGTCAAGAAACAACAGATCACGGCGAGGCTGTGGAGAAATAGGAATACTTTTACATTGTTGGTGGGAATGTAAATTAGTTCAACCATTGTGGAAGACAGTGTGGTGATTCCTCAAGGATCTAGAACCAGAAATACCATTTGGCCCAGCAATTCCATTACTGGGTATATGCTAATCATTCTATTATAAAGATACATGCACATGTATGTTGATTGCAGCACTATTCACAATAGCAAAGACATGGAACCAACCCAAATGCCCATCAATGATAGACTGGATAAAGAAAATGTGGTACATACATACCATGGAATACTATGCAGCCATAAAAAGAAATGAGATCATGTCCTTTACAGGGACATGGGTGAATCTGGAAGCCATCATCCTCAGGAAATTAATACAGGAACAGAAAACCAAACACCACATGTTCTCACTCATAAGTGGGAGTTGAACAGTGAGAAGACATGGACACAGGGAGGGGAACATTACACATCAGGGGCTGCTTGGGGACGGGAAAAGGGGAAGGAGAGCATTAGGACAAATAGCTAATGCATGTGGGGCTTAAAACCTAGGTGACGGGTTATAGGTGCAGCAAACCACCATGGCACGTGTATACGTATGTTACAAACCTGCACGTTCTGCACATGTATCCCAGAATTTAAAGTAAAAAAAGAAAAAAGAAAAAGAAAAGAAAAAGTGAAAGAAAAGAAAGGGAAGTGAATGAAGACAAATTATTGTAAAATAAAAATTCGTAAAGTCTACAATAATCCTACAAATGCACACAGTAAAAGCTGTGGACGGAAGTGCCCAGCAAGCCCTCTGTATCCGTGCTTGATTTTTTAAGTGCCTGGTGGCAGGAGGCAATCCTTACAATTTTTGTTTTGCGAACTTTTTTTTTTTTTAATTTAACCCACCACCACTACAACTGCCATCACTCACAGATGCACCAAAAATTGGGTAAATAATTTTCTTACTTGTCTTTTTCAATCTCTCTTAAAAGAATGTGGAGTTCACATTTATTAAAATGACTAATGTTAGAAGCATTTATTTAGAAGTTTGGCAATGTTTGTGTGAACAGGAATATGCTGTAGGAACTTAACTTTTGTTTGTATCAATTGGCCTGTGGTAAAATTTGTTTCATTATGTGTCGGTTTGCCTAAAATCTCAGTTTCTGAGAAGCTACCCATGACATTAAGGAAGGACTCACTATATTCTCAGCAGTGCTGAGCATAGCAGAGAGGTTCAATAAATGCGTCACTTGTGATTATGCAGCTGCACGCCAGCTTCACGCTGGGAAACTTGCATTAGCATTATTATGAACAACTCACATTTTGATGGTGCAATTTGGTGTATAGCACTCTCACACCCACAAAGGTAATTGACACTCAGGCCATCTCATGAGCCAGGGTCACTACTCCCATTTTACAGAAGAAACTGTAAATGGCTTATTTTAAGCCAATGTGATTTTTTTGTTTGTTTCATTTTTCTTGAGGTAGGGTGTTGCTTTGTCATCCAGGCTGGAATTCTGTGGCACAATCACAGCCCACTGCAGCCTTCAATTCTTGGGCTCAAGCAATCCTCCTGCCTTAGCCTCCTGAGTAGCTGGAACAACAGGAGCAGGCCACCATGCTCAGCTGATTTTTTCATTGTTGTTTTGCCACAGGGTCTTGCTTTGTCACCCAGGTTGGAGTACAGGGGCGTGATCTCTGTTCACTGCAAACTCTGCCTCCTCAGTTCAATTGATTCTCATGCCTCAGTCACCCCAGTAGCTGAGATTACAGGCACGCACCTCCACATCTTGCTAATTTTTGTATTTTTTTTAGTAGAGATGGCATTTTGCCATGTTGGCCAGTCTGGTCTTGGACTCCTGGACTCATGTGATCCACCCGCCTTGGCCTCTTAAAGTACTGAGATTACAGACATGAGCCACCACACCCAGCCCCAGTTGATTTTTAAATTTTTTTTTGTAAAGATGAGGTCTTGCTATGTTGCCCAGGCTGGGCTTTAACTCCTGGACTCAAGTGACCCTCCTACCTTAGCATCCAGAGTACCTGGGACTACAGATATGCTCCACCATGCCCAGAGACTAAAAATAAATAAATAAATGTAGTAGAGACAAGATCTTGCTATGTTCCTCAGGCTGGTCTCAAACTCCTGGCCTCAAGCAATCATCCCACCTCAGTTTCCCAAAGTGTTGGGATTGCAGGCATGAGCCACTGCATCTAGACATCAGTGGTTCTTAAAGTGTGAGCATCACCTGAGAACTTGCTAGAAGGAAAACAGAAACTTCTAAATCAGAAACTCTAAGGTGGGGTCCTGTCATCTGATTTTCACAGGACTTTCAGGTGATTCTGATGCCCACCCTAGGTGCTGTGTCTAATAAGTGAATCCATCCCTCCCAACTCTTTCAGCACTAGTTCCACATGGCAGTTTTGCAGTCTCAAAAGGCAGGGTGATTCGTGATCTCTGCATGTCTGTGGCTCCTAGTCTGTGCCAGTCAGTATCCAGGCTCTAGTGGATACCGAAGTGAGTTTTAGCCAAAGGTGTTGATTTTTATTTACCAACAACACCTTCGTTCCTTGAAACTGGTTTGGCTTCCTCTTTCTCCAGTGGGCTTTCTCAGGGAAGGGCTCAGGCTGCATTTGGCAAACTTCTGTGCCCTCACACAGCTTTGTGTTTGATTCTAGTGGAGTAAACCTACCGCTGCCAAGAATATCTTGCTTTTCCTCTTTTCCTCTCATTTCTTGCTCTTCTCCAGGGAGTTTCCTCACTTCCTCTCATTTCTTGCTCTTCCCTAGGGAGTTCAGGTGGCACCCTAGAGTGGTGAGTGCTGGGCAAAGCAGACATTTCAAGATCTTTGTCACAGCCTTGGCTGCATATGGATCTGCAGACATCTCAGTAAGGGGTTGGGGGGTACACCCGTTAACGCCAACTGCAAAGCCACTCGGGCTTAGTCATGGTGGAAGAGGCTTCTTTATAAGGTCAGTAATTTAACAGAATCAAAACTCAAAACCTTCCAGAACTTGGAGGAAGATTTCTGCCTTGCCTTACTGTATCGGGAAGCTTCTTAGCTGCAAGGAACAGAAAAAGATACTGGCTGCCTTACACAGGAAAGAAATGAATTCAAGAGTATGGGTGGCTGACTGCATTGTGAGGAGGGCTGGAGAGCCAGGCTCAGAGGCCACGCAGCCAGGGGGATGCCCCAGTCATCTCACAGGAAGGTCTGGTGAGGGCACTGTTGACATCATTCCTATGTGTTGGGTGCGTGTCCTCTCTCCTAGCCCTGCCATGGATGTCCCGGGGATTTGGTCTTGCTGCAATGGCTACTGCTGCTCCATGAATGCTACCCAATCCCCAACTTTTTATACCACAGAGATCCAATGAATAACCTGGGTTGGATGCTTCTGATTGGTGGAAGACAGTCACATGCCTCTGCTTCAGGTGCAAGGGATCCTGGGGAGATGGGTATCCCCCATTTTTATCGTCTGCTGAGGGAGGTGGACTCAGCTCCTCCCAAGACTCAGAAAGTGGAAAATTTCTTCCAAATAAGCAGGAAGTTAACAAGCTGTGTAACCAAAAGAATAACTATCCCAAACTATCTATTATAAAATCATAATCATAAAAGCTAACAATTCTATGCTCTTGTTATATGCTCTGTGCTGTTATGACTCATATATATTACCTTATCTAATCTTCACAGAAGTTCTATAAAGTCATTCTAAGTTGTTACCACTACCATATGAACAGATAAGGAAACTGAGGCCCAGAGAGCTGAGCTATTCATTCAAGATCCTGTAGCTCTAAAGTGGCAGAGCCAGGCTTTGAACACAGGGCATGAGCTGCCTCTCAAACCCTAAGGCTGAAGTGACAGCAGAACCCAGATTTCTGACCTGAGCACCTCTCAGTTCCATAAGCCAGTAAATCCCTTACTTTTATTTAAAAGACAGTGACTGGTGTGATGGACGGGGGTGGGGGGGTGCAGTCTGAAAAATAATGATAATAATATTAATAACAGGTGATATTGATTGAGTGCCTATACTTTTTACAGTTGAGTTAAGGTTATTCCTTTTAATCATCCCATCTGTCCTATGATTTAAGATACAACTATTATCCTCATTTTATGGATGAGGAAATGAGGCTGAAAAGGGTTAAGAAATGTGACAAACTTGATACAACTTGTAGAAGACAAACAGGGTTCGAATCCAGGGCTGTTACTAGTATGGGCTGTTAACTTTTGGCCAAAGTCCCTGTTTTTCCGCCCTCAACTGGTGGCTGATTTTACCTGGGCCTTTATATGCAATTCTATTAGAGTTGTCCTCCCTACACCATGGAAAAATGCCTAATCTATAATGACAGCAGACATCTCTAGTTGACCAGCCTGCACTCTCCTACTTAATGTAAGCATGGCCTCAGATTCCTTCTTAACACAAATGTTTTCAGCAGCATCTTCCAACTGATCAGATTTGGCATGTGGGAGGCAAATGGTATCTCCTCCGTTATCTAAAGGGTTTGCGTGGATTCCAAGTGACTTGAGCCAGAGATTCCTTTATAGAGAATCAAAGAAGCAGGCACTTGGCTTTTTTCCCCCTGAACATCCATAATAAATGGTTACAAAAGAGTGTGATCACAGTAGCTATTCTCTTACGGTTTAGTTTTGTTAGAATTTATTCCTAATTGAACATAATTTAAGGTTGCTTATAATAAAAAGCACACAACCTTTAACTGGACATTTAAAAAAATCATATTAAACTGAGAACTGGGAGAAGAGAGATGATTTTGCCGAGAATTTTATGCAGTATTGTTACAATGCCTTAAAATTAAAATTATCCCCGAGTTCTCTGGCACCCAGATAATAAAGGGCAAGAAGATGTATGACTTCTGTGAGTTCTCCTTGCTTGGTAAGATGGAGGTATATATAATAGCTTGTGGGTGAATCTGGCCACAAATATGCTTTGTTTAACTGTACATGATTTGAAATAAGGATAGTCCACTTGAAAATCCAGCCTTGCTTTAAAGATGATAAGACATGGCCACTCCATGCTCATCTCTCTCAAGCTCAACCATCAGCAGGAGCTGAGCAGTGCCTGCCCCTTTAGACCAGCAGGCCGACTTCAGCTCCCTCTTCCCTTTCTCACCTGCCTACGCTAACTCAACTCATAGATCAGATCCCCACCCCCTTATCTGTGCCTCTCAGAGCTCATCTTGGACTTTGTTCCCTTTCGCTCACTGTTCCTGCCTCTTCAGATCTTTTTTTTTTTTTTTTTTTTTTTTTTTTCCGGACAGGGTCTCCCTCTGTCGCCCAGGCTGGAGTGCAGTGGCTCAGTCCTTGCTCACTGTAACCTCTGCCTGCGGGGTTCAAACAATTCTCCTGCCTCAGCCACCTGAGTAGCTGGGATTACAGGTGTGTGCCACCACATCTGGCTAATTTTTGTATTTTTAGTAGAGACGGGGTTTTGCCATGTTGGCCAGGCCAGTCTTGAATTCCTAAGCTCAAGTGATCTGCCGTGCTCGGCCTCCCAAAGTGCTGGGGTTACAGGCGTGAGCCACTGCGCCCAGCCTCTTAGGAGCTTTCTCTGCTTCTAATCCACCAAGCATGTTCCTGCCTCCAGGCCTTTGCACTTGCTGTGCCCTCTGTCTGGAACAGCGTGGCCCCTGCACAGCTGCCTGCTCAGGTCTTTGCTCAATTGTCACGTTATCAGTGAGACCTTCCCTGCCCACCCCACAGAAAACAGCAGCACCCCCCACCACTCTCTACCCTCTAAACCTGCTCCATTTTTTCCATGGCATTCATTACTATCTAATCTATTTCTATTAGTACGTATTTGTTGAGTTTTTTCTCTTACATCCGGCAATGTAATTCTCTGGGGAATGAAAGTGGGGACTGGGGCCGGGGTTCTCATTTGTTCCCTGCTCTATACCCAGCACTAGAGCAGTGGCTGGCACATCGGAGACATTGAATGTAGGAAATGAATGCATAAAAATCTATGTCCAGTCAACGTTAATCTGTGAGACATACATATCTAATCTTTCCAATTAAAGATATCTTTATATAAATATAAAGATTAGAGGCATAAAGATGCATTGTTTTATCTTGGGCTGTAAAGATACAATGCTATAAAGACAGCTATATTTATATCTATAGTGCTTGCAGATTAAAGGCCAAACAATGACCAGTAGTCACAGAAGGCAAAGACAATGGCAATGCTGTTTACGGTTTCCTTGCATACTGTTTCTGTGAGCTCCTTTTCTTTATAAGTGCTATTAACCCTTTGTGGGATTGTCGGATTCTTTCTTGAAATAGCCCCAGTTGGCCAACTCTTCTGACAGGTTAGAATCCAAACATGGATGTTTGGATTTACAAACCTCCCTTACAAATAGAGAGGTGAACTTGGGTTCAAGCAGCGTCTCTCCTTTCCCTAGCTGCATCTCTGTTTGGGTGGCTGGGCGGGGATAATCCAGCCTGTACATGCCTGGCCTTCTTTACTCCATCAAAATTCCCCATAGACATGCTCTGCGTCTACCCCGTGTGTCTCCATGGCCCTAAGCCCACGCCATGCATTTCCTCTCCAGCTCACCCTAACCGGAGTCCTCTTGGATCCAGCAAAATCTTATTTCAACACCCGTCAACCCAGAAATGTGTCCTTCTCCAAGGCAGGGCTGGCACTGCTCACAGCTCTGGAAAGTCCACTGTGGTCAGGACACCCACTCTGATCTGAGCTCACTTTCTGTGCCTGGAGAAGCCTTTTCATTCAATGCATCCCAGCACAGGCATAGTGCAGGCACTTCAGCTCCTGGTTGTAGATGAAATGAGTGGAGAGAGGGAATCTTGCTGGATCCTGGACAGTGGTGCTGAATGAGCTGTCAGCAGGTACGGGACCACTGTGTCAGTCTTGCTACCCCCAGAAGCTCATCTCCCTTTCCCCAAGCTCCTTGTCTCCTTCCACCTGCAGCAAGGTGCCTCCCAGGGGGGTCCCACTCACCTCCCACCTCCCAGGCCCTCACTCCCTCACTGGTGAAGGCCAGAAGAGGATGGAGGTGGGGTTCTCCTGTTTAGAGGCCACCCTCCAGTGCCAAGAAGTTTGGGGTATCCTTGGGCAGTGGGGTCATTTTATTCCCAAACCCTTCAAGATCCTCCTGCCAGGGAAAGGTTTCTTTTCCTGCCTTAGGAAGCCACTTCCGGAGGCAAGCTTCAGGAGAAAAGGAAAAGCAGATGTCAGCCTGTGACACAGAATAATCGATTTGCTCAGTGCTTGTATTTTCCTACCAATTTTGTATTTTTCAAAAAGGACAATCAAACAATTGTACTCTCGGCTAATTAATGACAAGCTGGTAAAAGCATCTCCTCATTGTTCCATTTATTTCTCCATTTCTCCCAGTTAACAGCCCTGTCTCTGAAATGAATCAATGTCGTTTACACAATGCTGTCACCCCATTGTTCCTTTATCATCCTCCATTTTCATAAATCGGGGTGTTAATCCCTTAATGGCTTTTCTCAGTGCTTAAAAAAAATGAAAGGAAAAAAAAAAAGGAAAGAAAAAAAGCCCAGCTCCTGCTCACTCTTAATCCGCCTGTAGACAATGGGTGTTTACACAGGCGGCCCTGTGAGGTGTTTACTCAAACAAGCAGGTCCAGTTGGGGATTTAGCCCTTTCTGTTTGTTGGCTAAACAGGAGGCCAACTGGGGATACACCCCTTCCTCAGGTAGGGTCTGCCCCAGCCCCCGCCCAGGCCTTTCTGCTGGACTCTTTGATGAGGTCTCCCACATTTGCCCTGATGGTCCAGGAAAGCCTTGATGCCAGGTGGGGGTACAGGATGGGAGAAGATGGGATAGGGACTTCCTGGTCTTCCCAATTCACAATTCCTGTGCCTTCTCACTCATCTCGCATGAGAGCAGTGGTGGTCCAGAGGGGTCTTCTGATGCACTCAGAAATTTCAGAACAACTATACTAAGGGGTTTCATTTTAAGGTTAAAAAGTAAATATCTAGAATTAAAGCTCATTTCACTTAACAAATACTGGCTGACTTTTGGTCTTTGTTTGGCAGACTGAAATTTTAGCATTGAGTGAACTGGTGCCTGCTGCCATGAAGTTCAGTCTACTGAGCAGGCTACCCCCAGCTGGACCCCTGCCCTGACCACCTCTTCACTTCTCAGGCCCTGCACAATGACTGGCACAATAATAATAGTAACAATAATAGTATTATTATTGCCCAAGACTGGGGCATCAGAAACTGCCTTCTAAACAGCTCAGTGCTTGTGTGGGGGCACAGAAAGAGGGGCATGCCCACACCAGCGTGGGAGATGAGGATCAAAGGCATCCAGAAATACTGAGGCAGTAGGGGTGTGGAGGGGGCCAAGAACTCTGTCTCAGCCTGCTTTGCAGGAATCTAGGTTTTCCAGAATCTCATGTGCCCTCACTCAGTGAACACATCCTGGCTGAGCTTTTTCTCTGTGTCAGCCCATGTGCAAGCTGCTCGGAGGCTTTGAGGTAAATCAGAAGGTCCCTGCCCTCAAGCAGCTCACAATCTAGTGAGAGCACAGAAAATTTGCACAAACAACTTGCAAAGACCCCTGGAGAATGTTGCAATAGCCCTTCTGAAATGTCACAAAGAAGGCACGATCACCCCAGTGCAGGTGGTTGTGCTGGTGATGGAGATGGTGGTAGATATGGTGGTGCTCGTGGTAGTGGTGAAGATGGAGTTGGTGGTGATGGAGATGGTGATGGTGGTGGAGGTGATGGTGATGGTGATGGTGGTGGTGGTGATGGTGGTGATGGTGGTGCTGGTGGTAGAGGTGGTGATGATGGTGGAGATGGTGGTGGTGGTAAAGATGGTGATAGAGATAGTTGGTAGTGATGGTGGCAGTAGTGGTAGTGGTATTGGAGGTGGTGGTGATGGTGATGATAGTGGTGGGTGAGGTGAAGATGATGGTGGAGATGGTGGTAGAGATGGTGATGATAGTGGTGGATGTGGTGGTGATGGTGGTGGTGATGTGGTGGAGATGGTAATGAAGATGGTGGTGGTGGTAGTGGTGGTGGAGGTGAAGATGGTGGTAGAGATGGTGATGAAGATGATGGTGGTGGTGAATGTTGTGAGGTGAAGATTGTGGTGGAGATGGTGGTGATGGTGGAGGTGGTGGGATGGTGGTGGAGGTGATGGTGATGGTGGTGGAAATGGTGGTGATGGTGGAGGTGGTGGGATGGTGGTGGAGGTGGAGGTGGTGGTGATGGCAGTGCTGGTGTTGGAGGTGGTAATGATTGTGGTGGAGGTGGTGGTGATGGTGGTGGAGATGATAATGGAGATGGTGGTGGCAGCGGTGGTGGTGGTGTTGGAAGTGAAAATGGTTGTGGAGATGAGGTGGTGGTGATGGTGGTGAAGGTGGTAATGGAGATGCTGGCAGTAGTGGTGGTGGAGGCAAAGACGGTGGTAAAGATGGTGGTGGTGATGCGGGTAGTGGTGGAAGTGGTAGAGGTGAAGACAGTCATGGAAATGGTGGTGGTGGTTGAGGTGGTGGTGGTGGCAGTGGAAATGGTGATGGAGGTGGTGGAGGTAAAGATGGTGGTGGAGATGTTGATGAAAATTGTGGTGGTGGAGGTGGAGTTGGTAGAAGTAGAGATGGTGGTGGAGGTGATGGGGGTGATGGTGGTGATGGTGATGAACAAGGAGGAGGTGGTGATTTGCTGGCAGCTTAACAGAGAAGATCCTCTCTTTGAACCTTTCAGTCTGAGACAAAGTTCCCCAGGTGGACTTGAGCTAAAGGAGAACATTCAGGGCAGAATAATAATATTGGTAGTGGGATCATGGGTAATTTTTCTTTTTTTTCCTTTTGGCTGGGTGGCAATAGAGCAGAGACAGAGAAAGACAGACCCGCATTCGAATCCTGGTTTTCCTGCTTCAAAGTTGAGGACTTGGGCTGAGCATTTTGGCCCCTCTCCACTTCAGAGTCAGCAGCTGTAAAATAGGTTTCCTCATGCCTTCCTAACATTCGCTGATTGGCATAGAGTGATAGATGTTATTACAATTATTGCTTCTATTGGCTAGCTTAGGATGAACAGGTATCATTTCTATGAGAACCTAAGCCATCTACCCCACATGGCTTACTTTTATAATAACATGATTTTACTAATCCTGTTTTTATTAGCATAACTTTACTATTCCAGCAATATTCTTGCCCTGTCAATTAACTTTATGGTTCATTACCAGAATATCCCGAAAAAAAAATCAATTCTCCAATATAAATCATTCAATGCTTTACCCTCTAAGACTTTTTGAAGTAGCCCCCTCAAAACCCTCACTTTGCTGTTTCTGCCAATCCTAACCTATCATAGCATGGTACTTACCTGATTCTAACCAACTCCTCCTCCCTTTGAAAATACTCTTTAAGCCAGACTTGAGAATCTCAGTAAAAATAACCTTGCCCTTCCCCATTTAAGATGCTGCCTGTCTTAGTCTGTTTGCATTGCTGTAAAGAAATACCTGAGGCTGGGTAATTTACAAAGGAAAGAGATTTATCTGGCTCACACTTCTGTAGGCTGTACAGGAAGCACAGTGCCAGCATCTTCTTCTGGTGGGGACCTCAGGCTGTTTCTGCTCATGGTGGAAGGCAGATGGGAGCTGGCATGTGCAGAGATCACATGGTGAGAGAGGAAGCAAGAGAAATAGGGAGGAGGAGGGGAGATGCCAGGCTCTTTTTAACAACCAGTTCTTGCAGGAACTAATACAGTGAGAACTCATTCTTGTTGCAACAAGCGAACCAAGCCATTTATGAGGGATCCACCCCATGACCCAAACACTTCCCATTAGTCCACACCTCCCACAGTGAGGATCATATTTTGCCATGAGGTTTGGAGGCATCAAACATCCAAACTATAGCACTGCCAAAGCTCTTTTGAGGTGGTGTTCTCCCTCATTGTGGTGACCAATCAATTCAGCTTTGCTTTATCAACAGGCTGTTAGTGGTATTTGGGGAGCCAGCATTCAACACCTGTGATTAAAATGTTATAGAACGGCCAGGCATGGTGGCTCATGCCTGTAATCCCAGCACTTTGGGAGGCCGAGGCAGGTGGATCATGAGGTCAGGAGATTGAGACCATCCTGGCTAACACGATGAAACCCCGTCTCTACGAAAAAACAAAAAATTAGCCGGGTGTAGTGGCGGGCGCCTGTAGTCCCAGCTACTCAGGAGGCTGAGGCAGGAGAATGGCATGAACCCAGGAGGCAGAGCTTGCAGTGAGCCGAGATCACACCACTGCACTCCAGCCTGGGGCAACAGCAAGACTCTGTCTCAAAAAAAAAATGTTATAGAACAACATAACTACCTCTTCCATAATCTTATTGAGAGGGCACGTGGAGGCTTTTACTACTATAGGAAACTTCACCTTGTTGATTTAGGAAATAGAAGCAGCTGAGGTGAGTTGGAAATACACTTGCTGTGGGTCTTGAGAAAATTTTAAAATCTTCCCTATGACTTTAAATTATCTATTTGCTTGTGATCATTTGTTTAATGTCTTTCTCCTGCCAAAACTATAACTCCATGTAGGATAGTACTGTGTCTTCATCACCCTTTGTCTCCAGCTTCCAGTAAAGTGCCTGGCACATGGTAGGTTCAGTTGTTGAATGAATGACTGGGTGGATGTATGGAGGAAGGGATCTGGGTTACAGTCCTGGATCTGCTACTGATTTGCTATGTGCCTTTGGCCAAGTCCATTCTCTTTCTAGGCCTCAGTTTCCCCACAGGCTCAATGCTGGGTGAAATCACTCCTGGAATTCCACATTTATGTTTTAGGTCGTTATGATTCCTAGGACAGCAGCCACATCTCAGGCTTCAAAGGAGGTTAGGTAAGACAGCTGAAGACCATGCTGTTGGAAACCTGAGACTGACAGTTCCAGGATTCATGGCAATTAATTTGAAATTCTCAGATCTGGTTCTTTTCCCAACCCCTGAGACTTAGTAGGATAGGCGGAGGCCAGGATGTTTCCTATTTGTTAGCCACTGCATTTATGTGAAGTGCTGCCTTCTCCTGCTTCCCTCCCTTTCCCTTTAGGGTGTGTGTGGGTATCTGGGTGCACATTCTGGGAGTGGTTCTCTGTGGCATGTGGTACATGCCCCTTTCCTTGTTTTCCTCCTGATCATGTTAGCTGTCCTCCTCAAACCCTGGCACAGCCTGCTCTTGGCAAGGCAACACTGTCAGTCATTTACACCTCCCTGGAGACTGACATTTCTCCTCTCCCTTCCAGAGATATTTATAATTAGCATGTCCCATGATGAAGCACAAGGGTTGGCTGGTTCTAACCTTATAGGTGGTTCCTGACTTACCAGTCGTGTGATGTTGGGCAAGTTATGTAGCCCCTTTATGGTTTAATTTCCTAATCTGCAAAATGGATATAATGCTAGTAATCACCCCATTAGGTTGTCGAGAGGTTAAATGAGTTAGTACAGTAAAACACTAGGACAGATGGTGGTGCACACAGCACACACATCACAGCCATTAGCCACTGTCCTCATCCTGTAAGTACCTGGTGATGCCTGACTTGAGGTCTGGGCTCTGTGATGGAATACTGCTCAGCAACAAAGAGGACTGAACTGTAGATACAGACAAGGGCTTGGATGGATCTCAAAGGCACTATGCTGAGAGAAAGAATCCAGTCTCAAAAGGTGACAAACTGTATAAACCTATTTATATGACACTCCCAAAAAACAGAGTTATTGGGGTGGAGAACAGATTAGTGGGGATTAGAGGTTAGGGACCAAGGGAAGGTTTGACTTTTTTTTTGAGAGTGGACAGGGTCTCTCTGTCACCCAGGTTGGAGTGCAGTGGTGTGATCATCATTCACTGAAGCCTCAAAGTCCTGAGCTCAAGCCATCCTCCCACCTCAGCCTCTTGAGTAGTTGGAATTACAGGTGTGCACCACCGTGGCTGGCTAAATTTTTTATTTTTGTAGACATGGGGGTCTTGCTTTGTTGCCCATACTGGTCTCAAACTCCTGGGCTCAAGCAATCCACCCACCTCAGCCTCCCAAAATGTTGGGATTACAGGCATGAACTACCACGCCTGGCTGGGGGTTTACTTTTTAATGGGAGATTTGGAGGTGATGGAATTGTTCTGTATCCTGATTGTGATGGTGGTTACATGATTCTATGTATGTGTTAAAATTCATAAAGCTGTGATCCCCCAAAAGTTAATTTTTTGTATGAATATTAAAAAAATTATAACTGGGTAAATGTTCTTGGCCTTTATTCAGCAGAACATTGTTACCTCCTTTCTCCTGGCAAGATAAAAAAAGAACACATCCTTAGATGTGTCAGAAAACAGAAAGCTCTCAACGTAAAGTGCCTCCCAGTAGAGAAACAAACCTCCACGTTTGAAACCTGCTCCAAACCACTCCCGGGCTCTGTAAAAAGGCCCAGGCAAATGAGAACTCCAGATCAGAACCTGGGTGTGGGGGAGCTATGTAGAACTCCGGCAAGCTATTTAAAGAGATTTAAACGCGCCGTTTCCTAGTTATTCTGAGGTGCAGCTATAATTGCTGTTCTTTCCAAATAAATCCTTCAGATTAAATGGATATCGAGTGTGTAAGTTCAATGATTGCTCACGGCACGCGAACCTTGTCAAAGTTCAGAGTGAGTCAGTCTAGATTAACAGGAGGAAGTTGGCAAACATTGTTTTAGTCTTAACACTATCATTTGGTGCTGGTGTTGAATGTTTACATTTTGGGGAGAGAAAACTCAGGCCAGATAAGGCAGCCTGGGGCCACACTTGGGAGTCAGGAATCTTGGCTTGGCAACAAGGTTTTGTAATTTAGGGGGAGTCCCTGCTCTCCTCTGAACCTCAATTTTGCCACCTGCTTTTTGGGAGTAGTGTGGTTGAACTCGATCTTTTCCAAGGATATTTTCTATCTGGTTTATGACTGAGAAGGTCTCCCTTCTTTCTACTTTTGGGGACATAGTTGCCCTTCTTCTTCTGCTAGCACCTGCCAGTGTGTGGCCTCTGTTTTAGGGACACCCCACCACGTCACCAAGACAATGCTAACTAGGTCTGTTTTGAATTTGACGAGCCTTCACCCATCTGCCTACCCAAAAGCACTTCTCTGAGCAAACTTGTGTACAAATGTCAACAGGCACCACAGAGCATCCGAGAAACATGCCCAGAGGTGCCGTTAGGAGGTTGGAATTATGAGGTGAGCAGTAAGAAGCCAAAAAATAAGGGAGCCACTTGAGCAGAGAGTATAAACATAAATATCCCCAAGCAGGCCCCAGCACTGGGTTTTTTATGTTGATGTTCTAATGTGTTATCCACTAAGGGCTTATTTACGCCGTTTTGGTATTCCCTGCAATTCATTTATCTGCATAAGGAAGAGGCGCTAACAGGACAGTTCCTCATGAACAACATCCCTATGTGATCCTTCATGCCCAGATCTATAATTCATGAGCTGATGGCCTGGTGGCAGTTTCCATAAAGGCCACGCCGGGCACCCAGTCGTTAACGTCCTCACTGTCATGCATGGAATCGAAATAAGCCCACTCTCCTTCTATTCATCACGACGTCCCCGACGTGTGGGCAATGATATTATCCAAATATTATTAAAACTTTGAACCCTGTCCCCATAAATTATGACCGAATGGCTCCATGGCCATTAGGAGAGGGGAATGTATGGGCTTCAGTTGCTGCCGAGTAATTATGTGCTTAAAAGGAAGCGTGGCTGAGCATCTCCCTAGTAAAAAAGAGAGAAGCTAGGATCATTTGTTACTGCTGCAGCGCTCGAAGCTGGACCGTTCAGGCAGGTCAAGTCAACCTTACAGAAGGACAATTATCTGCCTAGAGAGACCAAACATCTGTTATTAAGTATGTACAGGCATCAAGGCAACACGCTAGAAACCTTGTCCACTTCAAACACTTGGCGTATTCCACACAACACCCCCTTCGCGTTTTGTTACTGCAGCAGTCAGCTTTGAAATATGCCCTATCTTCCCTCCCCCGGCCCCTGGCTTTCATGTACCCTGCAGCTGCTAACGATGGTGTTGTAACTTTAGAAGAACCTTGCTATCTTTCTCTGGCTCTTTAAGTAATAATAATAATTTTTTGTAACTTTTTTTTCCTCCCAAACTTTCTTTTGCATTTATTAGCTATTCAAGGGGTTTTGCTGTGGCAGAGATAATATAGCATTTGGAAGCGCAAGGGAAGCCTGTGTTCACATGAGCAGCCGAATGGCTCTTTGATGCATGTATCGGCAGCAATTTGTAGGCTGGTATGCTGCATGGCAGAGAGACTGCTCTGTGTTGGGATTATAAAATGGGAAATAGAGTTTTTTCAGGCTATTGTTGTTCTCTAGACTGTGTGTATGTTAGAATGCTAGAAGAATGGGGAAAGGGACCCTAGAAATCAGGTAGGAGGAGGCAGGGGGCAGGTCAGAAAACAAGGCTACAGGCAAAGTGGGTTGAAACAGCAGGATGAGGACAATGGGGATGCCCAGGGAGATAACACTGCAATCACTCCGGCTGAGCACTTCCAGACAAGAATAAAGAAAGTGCAGTTTTCCACTCATAAAGACTCAAAGTATAATATCAGGTAAGGAGATTTGGGCCATGTTTATGGAGGAGGAAAGGCAAGACTCTCCTCTGCTAAGTGACGTAAAATAACAGGCCAGATTCCTTTCTTCTCGAGGAGAATGGAATCTCTAGCTCTTGTAGGGCCTTGCAATCTGAGCATCTTAAAGATATATGATGTCTGGATTTGCTTCAAAGTAATTCATGGTGGAGTGGGGATGGGCGGGGCTATAGATGAAATAAAATTGGCCCTGAGTTAATCATTGTTGAAGCTGAGGAACAGACACAGATTATTTTCAACACTTTTGATTATATCTGAAAATTTCCCATAATTAAAAATAAAATCCCAAGGAACAGAACTCTTTTCTGATGTGAATGATCAAGAGAGTCAGGAAAGAACCCATCTTCCCAGGACTGAAGTCTATAAACACAAACCAGGGAAAAGGAGCCGAGACTGGCTTGTTGGCATAGTACATGCTCAATGCTCTAATCCATCCCGTAAACATTTTTCCCAGAAAAACCTTCTTAAAACGCGATTTTTAGGTGTTTAAAATGCTGAGAAAGGCATCCCAAGTTTCCTTTGGAGAGCCAGCCCTTTTCCACCACAGGTTGCTAGATGGCGAGTGAGATTAATCTCCATCCCCATCTCCCCATTTCATTACAGGGGCAAACATGGGACCCAGGCCTGGCCCACTGGACCATCCCTTGGCCACGATGATTGGCTTAGGGGAGGTCATGTGATCCAACTTAAGCCAGTGAAACTCAGCTCTGGAGCTTCTGTTGAAACTATAGCTGAAAGACCAGCTTGTCAGTCCTGGTAGCCGTTTTTGCCATATTTGCTATCCTGAGAGGGGAATTTGCATGAGAATGAAGTTGTTCCAGAAGAAAGCATACATGAGAGATGGAGAAGTTGAGAAATCTGCCCCTGCATAATTCAGTTAAGTAAGTTATTTCTCCTTTTTCGCATGTTCAGGTAGAGCTGGATTTCTGTCACTTGCAATCAGAAGAGTCCTGACTGAGATAGTAGCAGAACAGTCTGAAGGTTACAAGGAGAAAACACTCAGCCCAGCTTGGGCAGAGGACTGTGAGCATCAGCCATGGGCTTGAGTGAAATGCTATGCCAGTGGCCGATAACCTGTTTCCTACACCCATGAGGAAATCACCGATGGACAAGGGTGTCTTTCCTGGTTAGCCCAGATGTGACCCCAAGTTCTTTTCCATTCAGTATTGCAGGCAGCCACTACGGATCAGTTGCATTTGGCACAAGGACAGACCTTGGGCACTGGAGAGAAGCCGGGGAGGGACCCTTTCTAGGGGGCCCCAGGGTGGCCAGTGCCACCACAGACCCAAGGACACTTCACAGATCTGGGTAGAAGAATTGAGGCCTCTAGGCTTAGGGGGCGCCTGACAAAGTCCTGGGGGCTGGGTGGGGAGGCCCTTAAACTGGGCTTCTTGAATCAAGGCAGAGGCTGAGTACTGCACCCGGGCTCTGAATACCATCTCAGCAGCTTCCCACCTGAGCTAACGGCTGTAGATGGGTGTGACTGGTACCAGGCTCCTTGAGGCTTCAGGCGACGTTTTAGCCTCCTTAATAGAGAAGGAATGTGGATTCTCAGAGCCACAATGCCTGGGTTCAAAGCCTGGGTTCAAAAACTGTCTTGGCTACTTTTTAGCTATGTGACTTGTCCAAGGTACTAAACCTGTCTGTTTAGGTTTCTTATCTGTAAAATGGGGATAATAATAACACCTCCTTGGATTATAGTGAATATTAAACTGGCGTTTTTTAGGTGAAGCACTGAGAATAATGCCTGGCACAAATTAAGTGCCATGTATTTGTTAAACAAGTACATAAATAAATAAAATCTCCTTTATTCTCAGGGGTTCAACTGGGGATTTTGCTGAGAGGTAAGAGAGTCAGTCCCGAATCACTTCTGCTATTTACCCCATTCATTCTCTTGCTTACTTTCCCATTGGTTCAGCACTGACCTTGGGCCAAACATAGGAATAGTTTTATCTCCAGACAACCTCTTCAGATTCATTTTACTTAGATGGTGCAAATCTCAATAGGGATTCTAGAAATCCACCTAAGGACATTGGTGCATACCCTCAGGTGGCTTCAAAACAGTGCCCTGGGCTTTCTTTCCCTGTGAGCCACACTGCCCCACTTCCCTTGCCTTGTGGATCTTCAGAGAAATGAGGGCTGTACTTCTTAGATCTAGGAAACGGAATTTCCGGGGAACAATATAACTTGTTCAAAGACCATCAAGTGGGACGTGGAAGTCTGGGGTTGCATTCTGGGTCTTTCTGACCTTTCCCTTTCCTTTTCCCTTTCCCTTTCCCTTTCCCTTTCCCTTTCCCTTTCCCTCCCTCCCTCCCTCCCTCCCTTCCTTCCTTCCTTCTTTCCTTTCCTCTTTCTTTTCTTTTTTATGAAGCAGAGTCTCACTCTGTCACCCAGATGCAGTGCAGGTTGGGATCTCGGCTCACTGCAACCTCTGCCTCTTGGGCTCAAGTGATCCTCCTACCTCAGCCTCCTGAGTAACTGGGACTACAGACATGTACCAGGCCTGGCAAATTTGTGTTTTTGTAGAGACAGGGTTTCGCCATGTTGCCCAGGCTGATCTCAAACTCCTGGGTTCAAGCGATCTGCCTGCCTTGGCCTCCTAAAGTTCTGGGACTACAAGCGTGAGCTACCGCGCCTGCTCTATCTGACTTATTTTATTTATTTATTTATTTTTTGTTATCTGTGATATTTTCTTTTCTTTTTTTTTTATTATACTTTAAGTTTTAGGGTACATGTGCACAACATGCAGGTTTGTTACATATATATACATGTGCCATGTTGGTGTGCTGCACCCATTAACTCGTCATTTAATATTAGGTATATCTCCTAATGCTATCCCTCCCTCCTCCCCCAACCCCATAACAGGCCCTGGTGTGTGATGTTCCCCTTCCTGTGTCCATGTGTTCTCATTGTTCAATTCCCACCTATGAGTGAGAACACGCAGTGTTTGGTTTTTTGTCCTTGTGATAGCTTGCTGAGAATGATGGTTTCCAGCTTCATCCATGTCCCTACAAAGGACATTGAACTCATCCTTTTTTATGGCTGCATAGTATTCCATGGTGTATATGTGCCACATTTTCTTAATCCAGTCTATCATTGTTAGACATTTGGGTTGGTTCCAAGTCTTTGCTATTGTGAATAGTGCCACAGTAAACGTACGTGTGCATGTGTCTTTATAGCAGCATGATTTATAATCCTTTGGATATATACCCAGTAATGAGATGGCTGGGTCAAATGGTATTTCTTGTTCTAGATCCCTGAGGAATCGTCACATCGACTTCCACAATGGTTGAACTAGTTTACAGTCCCACCAACAGTGTAAAATTGTTACTATTTCTCCACATCCTCTCCAGCACCTGTTGTTTCCTGACTTTTTAATGATTGCCATTCTAACTGGTGTGAGATGGTATCTCATTGTGGTTTTGATTTGCATTTCTCAGACGGCCAGTGATGATGAGCATTTTTTCTTGTGTCTGTTGGGTGCATAAATGTCTTCTTTTGAGAAGTGTCTGTTCATATACTTCGCCCAGCTTTTGATGGGGTTGTTTGTTTTTTTCTCATAAATTTGTTTGGGTTCATTGTAGATTCTGGATATTAGCCCTTTGTCAGATGAGTAGATTGCAAAAATTTTCTCCCATTCTGTAGGTTGCCTGTTCACTCTGATGGTGGTTTCTTTTGCTGTGCAGAAGCTCTTTAGTTTAATGAGATCCCATTTGTCAATTTTGGCTTTTGTTGCCATTGCTTTTGGTGTTTTAGACATGAAGTCCTTGCCCATGCCTATGTCCTGAATGGTATTGCCTAGGTTTTCTTCTAGGGTTTCTATGGTTTTCGGTCTAACATGTAAGTCTTTAATCCATCTTGAATTAATTTTTGTATAAGATGTAAGGAAGGGATCCAGTTTCAGCTTTCTACATATGACTAGCCAGTTTTCCCAGCACCATTTATTAAATAGGGAATCCTTTCCCCATTGCTTGTTTTTGTCAGGTTTGTCAAAGATCAGATAGTTGTAGATATGTGGCATTATTTCTAAGGGTTCTGTTCTGTTCCATTGGTCTATATCTCTGTTTTGGTACCAGTACCATGCTGTTTTGGTTACTGTAGCCTTGTAGTATAGTGTGAAGTCAGGTAGCATGATGCCTCCAGCTTTGTTCTTTTGGCTTAGGATTGACTTGGCAATGTGGGCTCTTTTTTGGTTCCATATGAACTTTAAAGTAGTGTTTTCCAATTCTGTGAAGAAAGTCATTGTTAGCTTTATGGGGATGGCATTGAATCTATAAATTACCTTGGTCAGTATGTCCATTTTCACGATATTGATTCTTCCTACCCATAAGCGTGGAATGTTCTTCCATTTGTTTGTATCCTCTTTTATTTCATTGTGCAGTGGTTTGTAGTTCTCCTTGAAGAGGTCCTTCACATCCCTTGTAAGTTGGATTCCTAGGTATTTTATTCTCTTTGAAGCAATTGTGAATGGGAGTTCACCATGATTTGGCTCTCTGTTTGTCTGTTAGTGGTGTATAAGAATGCTTGTGATTTTTGCACATTGATTTTGTATCCTGAGACTTTGCTGAAGTTGTTTATCAGGTTAAGGAGATTTTAGGCTGAGATGATGGGGTTTTCTAGATACACAGTGATGTCATCTGCAAACAGGGACAATTTGACTTCCTCTTTTCCTAATTGAATACCCTTTATTTCTTTCTCCTGCCTGATTGCCCTGGCCAGAACTTCCAACACTATGTTGAATAGGAGTGGTGAGAGAGGGCATCCCTGTCTTGTGCCAGTTTTCAAAGGGAATGCTTCCAGTTTTTGTCCATTCGGTATGATATTGGCTGTGGGTGTGTCATAGATAGCTCTTATTATTTTGAGATACGTCCCAACAATACCTAATTTATTGAGAGTTTTTAGCATGAAGGGCTGTTGAATTTTGTCAAAGGCTTTTTCTGCATCTATTGAGATAATCATGTGGTTTTTGTCATTGGTTCTGTTTATAGTCTGGATTACATTTATTGATTTGGGTATGTTGAACCAACCTTGGATCCCAGGGATGAAGCCCACTTGATCGTGGTGGATAAGCTTTTTGATGTGCTGCTGGATTCGGTTTGCCAGTATTTTATTGAGGATTTTTGCATCGATGTTCATCAAGGATATTGGTCTAAAATACTTTTTTTTGTTGTGTCTCTGCCAGGCTTTGGTATCAGGATGATGCTGGCCACATAAAATGAGTTAGGGAGGATTCCTTCTTTTTCTATTGATTGGAATAGTTTCAGAAGGAATGGTACCAGCTCCTCCTTGTACTTCTGGTGGAATTCAGCTGTGAATCCATCTGGTCCTGGACTTTTTTTGGTTGGTAAGCTATTAATTATTGCCTCAATTTCAGAGCCTGTTATTGGTCTATTCAGAGATTCAACTTCTTCCTGGTTTAGTCTTGGGAGAGTGTATGTGTCGAGGAATTTATCCATTTCTTCTAGATTTTCTACTTTATTTGCATAGAGGTGTTTATAGTATTCTCTGATGGTAGTTTGTATTTCTGTGGGATCGGTGATGATATCCCCTTTATCATTTTTTATTGCGTCTGTGTGATTCTGCTCTCTTTTCTTATTAATCTTGCTAGTGGTCTATCAATTTTGTTGATCTTTTCAAAAAACCAGCTCCTGGATTCATCGATCTTTTGAAGGGTGTTTTGTGTCTCTATTTCCTTCAGTTCTGCTCTGATCTTAGTTATTTCTTGCCTTCTGCTAGTTTTTGAATGTGTTTGCTCTTGCTTCTCTAGTTCTTTTAATTGTGATGTTAGGGTGTCAATCTTGGATCTTTCCTGCTTTCTCTTGTGGGCGTTTAGTGCTATACATTTGCCTCCACACACTGCTTTGAATGTGTTCCAGAAATTCTGGTATGTTGTGTCTCTGTTCTTATTGATTTCAAAGAACATCTTTATTTCTGCCTTTATATCGTTATGTACCCAGTAGTCATTCAGGAGCAGGTTGTTCAGTTTCCATGTTTTTGAGTGGTTTTGAGTGTGTGTCTTAATCTTGAGTTCTAGTTTGATTGCACTGTGGTCTGAGAGACAGTTTGTTATAATTTCTGTTCTTTTACATTTGCTGAGGAGTGCTTTACTTCCAACTGTGTGGTCAATTTTGGAATAGGTGTGGTGTGGTGCTGAAAAGAATGTATATTCTGTTGATTTGGGGAGGAGAGTTCTGTAGATGTCTATTAGGTCCACTTGGTGCAGAGCTGAGTTCAATTCCTGTATATCCTTGTTAACTTTCTGTCTCGTTGATCTGTCTAATGTTGACAGTGGGGTGTTAAAGTCTCCAATTATTATTGTGTGGGAGTCTAAGTCTCTGTAGGTCTCTAAGGACTTGCTTTATGAATCTGGGTGCTCCTGTATTGGGTGCATATATATTTAGGATAGTTAGCTCTTCTTGTTGAATTGATCCCTTTACCATTATGTAATGGCCGTCTTTGTCTCTTTTGATCTTTGTTGGTTTAGAGTCTGTTTTATCAGAGACTAGGATTGCAACCCCTGCCTTTTTTTGTTTTCCATTTGCTTGGTGGATCTTCCTCCATTCCTTTATTTTGAGCCTATGTGTGTCTCTGCACATGAGATGGGTTTCCTGAATACAGCACAGTGAAGTGTCTTGACTCTTTATCCAATTTGCCAGTCTGTGTCTTTTAATTGGAGCATTTAGCCTATTTACATTTAAGGTTGATATTGCTATGTGTAAATTTGATCCTATCATTATGATGTTAGCTGGTTATTTTGCTCGTTAGTTGATGCAGTTTCTTCCTAACCTCGATGGTCTTTACAATTTGGCATGTTTTTGCAGTGGCTGGTACTGGTTGTTCTTTTCCATATTTAGTGCTTTCTTCAGGAGGTCTTGTAGGGCAGGCCTAGTGGTGACAAAATCTCTCAGCATTTGCTTGTCTATAAAGGATTTTATTTCTCCTTCACTTATGAAGCTTAGTTTGGGTGGATATGAAATTCTGGGTTGAAAATTCTTTTCTTTCCAAATGTTGAATATTGGCCCTCACTCTCTTCTGGCTTGTAGAGTTTCTGCTGAGAGATCAGCTGTTAGTCTGATGGGCTTCCCTTTGTGAGTAACCCGACCTTCTCTCTGGCTGCCCTTAACATTTTTTTCATTCATTTCAACTGTGGTGAATCTCACAGTTATGTGTCTTTGAGTTGCTCTTCTTCAGAAGTATCTTTGTGGCGTTCTCTGTATTTCCTGAATTTGAATGTTGGCCTGCCTTGCTAGATTGGGGAAGTTTTCCTGGATAATATCCTGAAGAGTGTTTTCCAGCTTGGTTCCATTCTCCCCGTCACTTTCAGGTACACCAATCTGACTTAGGTTTGATCTTTTCACATAGTCCCATATTTCTTGGAGGCTTTGTTCATTTCTTTTTACTCTTTTTTCTCTAAACTTCTTTTCTCGCTGCGTTTCATTCATTTGATCTTCCATCGCTGATACCTTTTCTAACAGTTGATTGAATTGGCTACTGAGGCTTGTGCATTCGTCACGTAGGTCTCGTGCCATGGTTTTCAGCTCCATCAGGTCCTTTAAGGACTTCTCTGCATTGGTTATTCTAGTTAGCCATTCGTCTAATCTTTTTTCAAGGTTTTTAACTTCTTTGCCATGGGTTTGAACTTCCCCCTTTAGCTCGGAGTACTTTGATTGTCTGAAGCCTTCTTCTTTCAACTCGTCAAAGTCATTCTCTGTCCAGCTTTTTTCTGTTGCTGGTGAGGAGCTACGTTCCTTTGGAGGAGGAGAGGTGCTCTGATTTTTAGAATTTTCAGTTTTTCTGCTCTGTTTTTTCTCCATCTTTGTGGTTTTATCTACCTTTTGTCTTTGATGATGGTGACGTACAGATGGGTTTTTGGTGTGGATGTCCTTTCTGTTTGTTAGTTTTCCTTCTAACAGTGAGGACCCTCAGCTGCAGGTCTGTTGGAGTTTGCCAGAGGCCCACTCCAGACCCTGTTTGCATGGGTATCAGCAGTGGAGACTGCAGAACAGCGGATATTGGTGAACAGTAAATGTTGCTGCCTGATCACTCCCCTGGAAGTTTTGTCTCAGAGGAGTACCCAGCCGTTGAGGTGTTAGTTTGCCCCTACTGGGGGGTGCCTCCCAGTTAGGCTACTCAGGTGTTGGGGATGCACTTGAGGAGGCAGTCTGTCCATTCTCAGATCTGAAGCTGTGTGCTGGGAGAACCACTACTCTCTTCAAAGCTGTCTGACAGGGACATTTAAGTCTGCAGAAGTTTCTGCTGCCTTTTGTTTGGCTATGCCCTGCCCCCAAGAGGTGGAGTCTACAGAGGCAGGCAGGCCTCCTTGAGCTGCATGGGGCTCCACACAGATCAAGCTTCCTGGCTGCTTTGTTTACCTACCTAAGCCTCAGCAATGTCAGGCGCCCCTCCCCCAGCCTCGCTGCTGCCTTGCAGTTTGATCTTAGACTGCTGTGCTAGCAATGAGCAAGGCTCTGTGGGCGTAGGACCCTCTGAGCCGTGCGCGGGATATAATCTCCTGGTGTGCTGTTTGCTAAGACCATTGGAAAAGCACAGTATTAGGGTGGGAGTGACCCGGTTTTCCAGATGCTGTCTGTCACCCCTTTCCTTGGCTAAGCAAGGGAATTCCCTGACACCTTGTGCTTCCTGGGTGAGAGGATGCCTCACCCTGCTTTGGCTCAGGCTCAGTGCACTGCACCCACTGTCCTGCACCCCCTTTCCGACATTCCCTAGTGAGATGAACCCAGTACCTCAGTTGGAAATGCAGAAAACCTTTGTCTTCTGTGTCATTCATGCTGGGAGCTGTAGACTGGAGCTGTTCCTATTTGGCCATCTTGGCTCCACCCCGACTTATTTTTATGTCATACTGATGTAGATCAATTCATCACCAACTGCCTTGCTTAATATTATGCTTTGTGGTCAATGTGTCTGTCTCTCCCATTACACTGGGTGGCTCTAGAGCCATGTTTCATTCATCTCTGCCTTTCTAGCCTCTACAAAACACTTGACTCAGGGCCCTCAGAACAGCTATAGACTTGTATTGCCAGGGAGTTTATGCAATTGCCCAAAGGTGTAAATCCTGTTATCATCTGGAGAAATGCTAGAAATACATCCTGTCTTTGAAAAGTCCCACTAGAACCTGCACCATGCATTCCTTTTTGGGTTGCAAGAGGATGCCCACTTCCAACTGAGATCTTTGTCCCTTTCTCTGATGTAAAATATCTATGCCTAGGACTGTGCTTCTGGGGACAATTAGAGAATTCAGTGAAGGGCAGCCTCAGAATATACCCTCTGGGCCAGACTCCTCTGACAGTGGTGCAGCAGCCAGCCCAGCCCCAGTGATCAATATCTCCACGAAAGGCTGCTGAATGTCATTGCCCAACCAAATCTCCTTATTTCCTGGAACAGGCCTCTCCTCTCTTGATTTCCTGTTCCCTGACCTCTCTCTAATTTATTGCTTCTGTTTATGATTCAAAGTTAAATGTTTTCAGTTCCATTTTCCTAAAGCTGCAGATTTCATTCCCCTCGTTCCCTGCCCCCAAGTGATTGACTGCTGGTCTCTGAACAGCAGACTCCTGGAAGGGAGAGAAAGTCTAGCCTAATGAGATCTCTCGCTCCTGCAAGTGCCAGGCAGGCCAGTCTCAGTTCAGCCATTTCCAAGTTGCTTCTGAAGAGCTTATACATATCTGGCTTCCAGAAGCCACAGTATACATTTCTTTGATCCATATAGTGTTAACATTTTAGACACACTCCTAAGAGAAGAGGGCATTGACAGTGGGGAGTGAGGGAACACATCTGGGCCAGGCAGGGTGCAAGGGCCTGGAGGAGCAGAACAGCTATGGAGGGAATAGGTGGAGTCTGGAGACAGAGCTCTAGGGACAGGGCTGGCTGCAGGTTGGCACCTGCAGTAAACCCAGGCATCCTCAAAACTCCCTCACCTAGAGTAACCTTTTCCCAAATAACAGATTCTGTTGAGCAATTGGGACCATTTCTGGATCTCAATGTCAAGATCTACCTCTAGTCATTATTTGCCTTCTGGTCAAGAAAAGGCTTTGGCCCAAGACAGGAGGAGTGCTGGGAAAAATACACTTTGGGCAATATCCACAAGAATTTGGCAAATGCTTTTTAAAATAATGACTCTTCAATAGCAAAGACTTGGAATCAATCTAAGTACCCATCAATAATGGATTGGATAAAGAAAATGCAATATATATACACCATGGAATACTATTTAGCCATAAAAATGAACAAAATCATGTTCTTTGCAGCAACATGGATGCAGCTGGAGGCCATTTTTCTAAGCAAATTAATGCAGGAACAGAAAACCAAATAGCGAATATTCTCACTTATAAGTGAGAGCTAGACATTGAGTACACATGGACATAAAGATGGCAGCAACAGACATCAGGGCCTACTAGAAAAGGGAGAGGTGGGTATGTGCTGAAAAACTACTCATTGGGTACTATGTTCACTACGTGGGTTGCAGAATCATTCATACCCCAAACCTCAGTGTCATGCAATATACCTATGTAACAAACCTGTACATGTACCCCCGAAGCCAAAATAAAAGCTGAAAAATAAAATAAAATAATGACTCCTTCTGTCAAGCAAACAATTTACCAAAACCACCTCCTGATGCCATGTTGTTGATGTTTAGAGACTGTTTGCTGAAGGCAGGTCAACACTATCAGTCAGAAGGGCCTTCTTGGCTTTTTTCTCTATCTGGGGTAATGGACACCACCTGCAAACATCCTCTCCCCAGAGCTGATCTGGGGATCTGGGGTTCAGTCAGGCTGAGGTCCAGGCTGCTGTTGTCTTTCCAGTTGTGATGAACTGGGTGGGCTTACAAACCCGGGGACTCCCTCAGCTCCACCCTGTCCTTACCTCTTCTCGTCCTCTCCGGCCTCCATCCTATCTGCGTAAATTCTGAGTCATTCAGTTTGATGGGTGCCAGTGCCTGGCATGATGCCTCTCTATCAATTTGGAATTCCAGAATATTTCATGCATCTCCTGTTTACCCTGTCTCAGGTGATAATTCAAGAAAATCAAATAGAGTTTTAGAGAAGAGTCCACCAGTGACTGATGGCTGCTATTCACTGAACTAATTAATGAGCACAGAGGAGCCCAACTAGGGAGAAGAGAATGCATGCCAACGTTGGGCATGATGATAATATTTTCCAGGGCTCATCTCCTGCACTTGCAGTGATGCTTTAAATTTTCTGTAATTCCTGCTGTAAAGAGAAAATATAGGTGAGGCGCGATGGTTCAGGCCTGTAATCCTAACACTTTGGGAGGCCGAGGTAGGTGGATGACTTGAGGTCGGGAGTTCGAGACCAGCCTGATCAACATGGAGAAATTCTGTCTGTATTAAAAATACAAAATTAGCCAGGCATGGTGGCACATGCCTGTAATACCAGCTACTTGGGAGGCTAAGGCTGGAGAATCACTTGAACCAGGGAGGCGGAGTTTGTGGTGAGCCGAGATCACGCCATTGCCCTCCAGCCTGGGCAACAAGAGCTAAACTCTGTCTCAAAAGGAAAAAAAAAAAAAAGAGAGGCTGGGCGCGGTGGCTCATGCCTGTAATCCCAGCACTTTGGGAGGCCAAGGTGGGTGGATCACGAGGTGAGGAGTTCAAGACAAGCCTGGCCAAGATGGTGAAACCCTGTCTCTACTAAAAATACAAAAATTAGCCAGGCGCTGTGGCAGGCACCTATAATCCCAGCTACTTGGGAGGCTTGGGCAGGAGAATCACTTGAACTCAGGGGGTGGAGATTGCAGTGAGCCGAGATTGCGCCACTGCACTCCAGCCTGGGCGACAGAGTGAGACTCCGTCTCAAAAAAAAAAAAAAAAAAAAAAAAAGAGAAAATATAATATCATGGGTTAATATAAAACATTAGAGTATGTCAAGATTTAGAGTTTCGGGGGAACAGAGAGGAATGAAAGGAGATGTAAATCCAGGTGGAAGATCCCAGTGGGTGAGAGAATGGCATGCAAACTCCCTGCATTTCTCTGCAAGCTGTTTTCCTTCCTGTTACAGGCTGAATTGTGCCCCTCAGTGCACATTTTGAAGCCTTAACCCCAAGTCCTGAAGAATGTGACTGTATTTGTAGATAGGGCCTTTAAAGAAGTAATTGAGATAACACAAGGGTGGGCTCTAATCCAATCTCACTGGTGTCCTTAGAAGGGGAGATTAGGACACAGACACACACAGAGGAAAGACCCTGTGGGGACACAGGGAGCAGATGGCCAGCTATAAGCCAAGGAGAGAGGCCGCAGAAGAAACCGACTTTGCCAACACCTGTTTTTTTTTTTTTTTTGAAACGGAGTCTCACTCTGTCGCCCAGGCTGAGTGCAGTGGCTCGATCTTGGCTCACTGCAACCTCTGTCTCCTGGGTTCAAGCGATTCTCCTGCCTCAGCCTCCTGAGTAGCTGGGATTATAAGCACTTGCCACCAAGCCCGGCAAATTTTTGTATTTTTAGTAGAGATGGGGTTTCCCCATGTTGGCCATGCTGGTCTCGAACTCCTGACCCGACACCTTGATCTTGGACTTCCAGCCTCCAGAACTGTGAGGAAGAAATTCAGTGGTTTAAGCCACCCGATCTGTGGTATTTGTTATGGTAGCTTGAGCTGACTAACACACCTCCCTTGGACCTAGAACATGCAATCTGCCTGGGCATCTTGTGGTCCAGACAAATAAGTGAACATGACTTTGAAAATGAGCCTGGCTGCAGATGGGATGATTTTAGGGAAAGGGAGGGAGGGTGTCTGGGGGCCAGAGTAGAGTGGAGCTGATGTAGATCCTTGGCTTGTGAAACTCTAAAGGGTAATTTCTCTCTGTGTGACCTGATTGCTAACCAATGTTTCCAGGGGCAGGGGGTGGGGTGGGGAGTTAAGTTTTGGGGGCATAATTCTGTTCTCTGCCAGAAAAGCTGACATCTCCATCGCCTCCTGTTCCTACTACAAGATGGAATTCTGTAATTCTATCATTAGAACTTTCTATAGCTTAAGGCCATGTGTACTAAATCTGTAAGACCATCAGAATCAGCTCAGGGTATTTTATAGTGTCTACATCTGGGCTCAGACATTGAAACAGAACATCAGACGTATAGGAAGAGGCTTCCAGATCAGATGGTGATGTGCCCTAGATTTGGAAGGTATTGGGCTTTGGGTGGTAGTGGTGATATGGTGGTGGTGCTGGTGGAGTTAGTCACTCTGTGTTGCTTGTTTCCAAGAGCCAGCAATTAGGAGTGGATGAGCGATGAGGGGATCCCCTAGATGACCAGGGATGGGGCTTAGGGTTAGGTCTTGCTAGCCGCCTGGTGGGAGACCTAACAGCCATGCTCATCCTCATCTCTGAAGATTCATAAAGTCATGAAGAGGCTTTTGGGTTCTCAGGAAAGTCATGTAACACTCCTAGGTGCCTGTTTTAGAAATTTTAATGCTCTCAAAGCCCAGATCTCTGGGCCTTGGCTGGTTAGAGAAGGCTGTACTGGGTGCTGGGTGCTGGATGCTAGGTACTGGGTGTGCCATTTCTGCCCAGAGTGTTTCCGGGATATAAGGAAGCAAAGGGACCCTGCCCACCTCCCCGCCTTTGGAGCGGATGCCTGGGTGAGGTCATTGACAGGTCAATGGTGAGGTAGAGGAGATGGCATGTTTGTGGCAGTTCACTTTAGTGGAGCTCAGTTGGTTACTTACCTCCCCCTGCCCATTTCCTCTGCTGTCACCTGGGCACATGCATAGTTGTTTCCTTGTAAAGACCTTGCCATAAGTCCATAAGAAAATGCAGGTGAAACTCTTAGCAGAGTTTCTGGCTCAGAGTAAGCATTTGACGATGATGATGATGATGACAATGATGGTAGTATTGGCTGGGCTTTTGTTTAAGTGTCCCAGGGGAGACATTCATCATGTTTGCCACTGGCCTGAACACAAGAACCTTCCAAAATATTATACTCTCTTCTTGAGTATTTCCACAGCCTAGGAGTAATGTACTCTGTGCTGCCTGTGATGCAATCCCTGCCCCACCCCACCCCATCATCAGGCCAGTTTTGAGGGAGCTGGTCCATGATCCAGTCTCCTGTCTGATTCTTCCCTAGAGAGTCTGGACTCAGGGGACAGAGAGGAAGAATCAAGGTCCACCCTCCCCACGACTCTGATAATGAATAGAACATCTGGCAAGCGGCAGGTGCCTCCTTGGTCGGTCTTATGCCTACTTGATAATAGATGATCTAATCTGTCTCTCCATAGCACTTCCTTCTCTGTGCAGGTGACAGAGATGGAGTGATCCCAACCTTCACCTGGAGAAAACACGGCTTCCCAGGGAACATGCTCTGTGTTGCAGCAGGCTGGAGGTGGCATCCTGGGAGGTTTACGATGCTTGCTGCTTACAGGCATTGCTGTATGCAGCTGTATCATGGGCTGGACCACCTGCCAAGGGCAGGGCACCTCCAACCAGGCCAGGAGAAATTAGAAGCTTTATCCAGGTTCACAAATAGTCTGGCCACTTCTCAGCCCTGCTATCCCCCAGTAGCATTTCTTGTAGAAAGCAAAACACTTAGTCTTCCTCCTCCTCTTTTAAAATTGCATTATGTTGAAGTATTTTGGGAATACAAAAAAAAACTTACAGAGAATATTTCATAAACGTTAGCACACCCATCGCTCAGCTTAAGAATGAAAACATTGCAAACACAGTTGAAGCCTTTTCACTGTACAATTCCCTTCTTCCTTCTCTCCCTCAGTGGTAACTGCTGTCCTAAATTTTCCCATATATGATTTTAAATTTTATTTCATTTGTATGTGTCCATGTGCTTTTACACTTTTAGAGAATCAGTGTGGTCACACTGTTGGTTGTCTCCGACAGCTATTTCTTTTTTTTCAGTATTGATTTGATAGTTCTCCATGTTGTTGCCAGGAGTTCTGGGGTTCCAGTTTGCTTCAACTTCCAGCCAAACTGTCACAGCATCATGATCTCCCTTTATTTATCCCTTTTCCTGTTAACTGATACGTGGTATCTTTCCAAATCCAACAAGTTTAATTTTGTTAGATTTCATGCACTACAGCAATGAATATTCTTCCATGTGACTCCTTATGTAAATGTGTGAAAATTCCTGTCTATACAGGTGGGTCTGGAAATGCTGGGTCATGGGAGTCACATGGCTTCAGCTTTTCTAGAAATCAGCAAATTGCATTCTTGACTGATTTTTAGCAGTTTATATCTACACCAGAGGGGTAAGAAAGTTCTCACTGCTCCACTACCTCACCAGGATTGACTTGTCAAACTTTTAAAATGCTTGCCAACTGATCTTTTTGGAAATGAGGTACCTCATTATGGTTTACATGGTATTTTAAAGTGATTTCATATTGCACACATGGGCACATGCACACACGCACAGAGAGAAGGATTAAGCCTTCTGCACTTGCATTATTCCATGGAAGGATCCTCTGCCTGAAGGAAATTCAGAGCAATAAGATCTGGAAGCGATGTGGTCTGATTGTGATGGAGGAGGAATGTGCTATTCCATTCAGCTATGACTTGGATTTTATACCCTGCACATATGGTCTTGCCACTTTGAGTAGGTAGCTTTACTGCTCCAAACCTCAACTCAGTTAATCTGCAAAATGGAAATAATAATAAATACCTATCTCAGAGGGTGGCTGGCAGATTAAAAGATGAAGTATGTCTAACATTTAGCACAAATGCCTGGCACACTAAGCACTGGGCAAATGGCAGCTGCAAGTCCTCCCCTTCTTCCCTCTCTCCCTTCTTTCTTTTTTCCTTCCATCCCTCCTTCTCTCCTTCTTTCTTTACCTCCCTCCCTCTCTTTTTGCCTTCCTTCATTCTTGTTCCCTCCCTCTCTTCCTTCCCTTCTTCCTTTCCTCCTTCCCTCCCTCCTTCTCTTCCTTCTCCCCTCACCTCCCCTCTCCTCCCCTCCTCCTTTCCCTACCTCCCTCCTTCCTTCCCCCCTTCCCTCCTTCCCTCCTTCTCCCCCGCTTTCTTCCTTCCTTCCTCCCTGTCTTCTTCCTGCTTTCCTCCTTTCCTTCCCTTTCTCTCCTCCCTTTCTTTCACTCTAATGTACTGGAGAGGCAGTTGTGTTGCCTTTCAACACAGACAGAAACTCTAATAAGGCTACTGCATTATACAGAGGAACATCCTTCAGAGTCCCCTGCTTTAAGAAATGGTAAAGAATGCTTTATAATTAATATATTGTTTGTATGTAAATAGATTCCTCTATGTTGGTATGGACTACCTCTATTTCCTAAATAATTTGACCTGCTTCCTTGATATTTCATGATTTTTGTTCATTTGCTTAGAAAACTTTCCTTTTGGAGGGTTCAGAGTCAACGTTAGCCAGCTAACATCAGAGTTGTGTAATCATGAATTACCAAGAAGGAGAATTCTAGACCCAGAGTTTGCCAGGTAAATGGCTGCTGGCAAACAGCTCACAGGAGAAAAATCTGCCTAGAAATTACTGGCTTGTTTTTGTTTTGTTTTTGAGACAGTGTTGCTCTGTCACTCAGGCTGGAATGAACTGGTGCAATCTCAGGTCACTGCAGCCTTGACCTCCCAGATTCAAGCAATTCTCCTGCCTCAGCCTCCCAAGTAGCTGGGAATACAGGCATATGTCACCACACCTGGCTAATTTTTGTAGTTTTAGCAGAGATAGTGTTCCACCATGTTGGCCAGACTGGTCTCGAACTCCTGACCTCAAGTCATCTGCCCACTTCGGCCTCCCAAAGCACTGGGATTACAGGCATATGTCATCACACCTGGCTAATTTTTGCAGTTTTAGCAGAGATAGTGTTTCACCATGTTGGCCAGACTGGTCTTGAACTCTTGACCTCAAGTCATCTGCCCACCTCGGCCTCCCAAAGCGCTGGGATTACAGGCTACTGGCTTGTATTTCCATAACTCCATTCTGGTCTATGCACAAGACCAATTGTCACCTGAAGGAGTTATGCCTGGTTCCAGACCTGTTCTAAGTGATGTCTGTATTTCATAAATGTGCTTGCATTCTATGCTTTTCATTGCAAACTGGGATGCCACCATTTACTATATCTTCCCCTGTGCTAGCATCTCTGACCAAGGCAGCAGGCCTTCAGCAGACAAATAATTAACTTTCAGAATTAAAGTATACAAAAGCACAATTAATTAATTTGATACTTTTTAAATCTATGTTGTACATTAACTCATCTTAGTCTTTAGCCATAACACAAACACACACGTGCACACAGGGGCACACACAACCACGCACACACACCAACTAATTCAATGAGTTTCCACTGGGTGCCCACTCTGCCAGGCTTCATCAAGTACTGGACAAACAGACCCTTTTCTAGCCTCTCAGAGCTCATGATATAAGAGGGGAGACAGACATTAATCAGATCATCTACAAAGAAAAATACAATCTCAAATTGTGCTAAATGTCAGAAAGTACCGAGAAAGAGGCACTGAGTGAGAAAAACAGCATGGACACACTTTGGAGGGGATGGTAGCGAAAGTCTCTATGGGGAGTGGTTGAGATGGAGAGGGTGAGAAGGGAGCATCCATGGGAGGGATGAGGGAGAAAGCTTCCAGGCAGTGTGAAGGGATGAGCCAAGGCCCTAACTGGGGAACCACAAACTCAATGGGGTCACAGATGGAAGGCCCACGTGACTGGGCCACTGTAAGTGAGAGGAAATGGGGAGATGGGTGGGGTCAGGTCATGAGGGACTGCTGTGATTTGGGGTAATTTCCCAGTGCTCAGTGTTTGTTCCCACTGTTGTTCATCTCTGAATGTTCACATTCTGCCCACTCTGTGTCTTTGCCTGAGCTGTCCCTTCCACCTGAAAATTACGCTCTACAACAGTCTTCCCCCCACGGCTAAGTGTGATGCATCCTTCAAAGGTTCTGCTACCTCCTGGATCCCCTCCACCACCTCTAGGAGAAAGAGTCTCTCCTAAGACCTGTAGCATTTAGCTGTCTCGCATCTGGGCTGCTTGCTCTACCTGTTCTTAGCTTCTTTTCAGCCGTGACTCCTACTTGAAGACAAGCATCCTGAGTGTGAGGACCACGTTGAGGACCATGTCCCATTATCCTCATGTTCACTCTTCCCCTTCCCTGTGTAGTTCCCAGCCCCAGGAGGTCAGTATGTTTTAAATATCTTCTCCAGATAGAGCAGCCTGTGCAAAAGCCTGAAGCAGGAGAGAGAGAGATCATAGAACATTTGAACAACTAGAAGAAACATACAAGGGCAAGGAAGAGAAGATCAGATTGTGGAGGCCTTGGAGACCATGAAAATTATGTAGTTTTTTTCTGAAGCACCAGGAAGACACTGGAAGGTTTTAAATTGCAAACTGCAATGTATTAAGTTATTAACAACTAGAATTGGCTTCTTAGTGATATTTGACTCTAAATTGGTCCATGCTTGAGCTCACCAAAGGAATAAATCTCTAACAGTGGAACTTTTCGTTCTGATAGTGAAGGTATTTCAAAGATGGGTAGTCCAGGAGTACCCTTGGAAACATATCATGAATATGGTTAAGGCCAGCCTTGCCTCAATCCAAGGACAATTATCAAAGGTGCATGGATATAGCTAATTCTTTGATTGCCTTTGTCAAAAATAGTGTTCTTTTTAGTGAATTGGGTGAAATAAATATCCCACTTGGCCTCATTGTTATGGATGTCAACTTTCTGGCTTGAGCACCAGTTTGCTTTACATTGGCATTAACGTTTTCTGCAAACTGTTTTAAGTCAGGAGAAATTAACCCTCAATGATCTGAGCTCATGAAGTTTACAAATAGCACTGCCTGGCAAATTAAGGGGTTTGCAGAGGATATGAGTACAGTCTACAGTGCCCCAAGAAACTGCTTGATGACTCTGACAATAGCCCCTGGAAAGTCAATGGAGGTGTAACAATAAAAATTAAGCAAAAAAGTAACCTTCACTGATCATCAGTGGTGACATGCCAGCGTCTGGTTTATGTGTGTCTTGTCATGCAATCATTCAACAATGTAGTGAGGAGGTTGGTTATTCTTACTTTTCTAATGAAGAAACTGAGGTTCAGAGAGGGTCACACAACTAGGAAGTAGCCACACAGGAGCTAGAACACCACCGGCCAATGGCCAATCTTTCTATGATACTTTCCATGTCTCTTGGGGGCCTCTTCAGCCTTGGAAAGTCCTCTTTGGGTAGAGTGAAGCCACCAACAGGAATCTCCTGATGCGTTAGTTTCCTAAAGCTGCGGTAACAAATTTCTACACACTTAGTTTCTTAAAATAATGAAAATTTATTCTCTTATAGTTCTGGAGGCCAGAGGCCTCGAGTCAGTTTTACTAGACCAAAATTAAGGTATTAGCAGGGCCATAGTCCCTCCAGAGGCTCTAGGGAGAATCTAGTGGCTTCTGGCAAGCCTTGGCTTGTGGCTGCATCACTCTAAGCTCTGTCTTCTTCTTTTGTCTGTGTCAAATCTCCCTCCACCTTTCTCTTATAAGGACAGTTGTGATTGCATTTAAGGCTCACCCAAATAACCGAGCATAAACTCCCTAATGCAGTAAAATCTATGAATACCCTTTTTTCCAAATAAGGTAATATTTACAGGTTACAGGATCAGTACCAGATACTTCTGGGAATCATTATCCAGGTTGTAATGCCTGGTTCTATGCCCAAATTGTCTCCCCTCATCCACGAGCTCCATGAGTAGCCAGAATCTGTAACAGGGAACATTCTCTGTCCCTCAGCTTCCTTCTGGGCCAACCAGAGCATAACTGGGCTGAGGCCTGGGTAAGCATTTCTCCCCAACATGACATAATATTTGTCTGAAGGTAATTCTGCCTCTAAATTATTTGCAAATGCTCCTCACATTCCCCCCCAACTTTTTAGGATTCAGAGCCAATTTGTAATAAGCAAGAGCAGTTTGACCCAGATTAAAAGATACAATTAGTCTGTCTGCTTGGTAAACCTAAAAAAGTACCACTTACAACAAGTTATTGTGTTTTTGACAAAGGGAGATGTCCTGGCAGAACAATAAAGCCCCCACCACTGATAAGAGCCTTGTAATTTACTCAAAACACTCAAGTGGGAAGAGAGAGCAGCCCCTTGGAACCTGGGATCGCAGCCTGTCCTGCTCTTGTGGGAAGTGGCCCCCAGGAGAGGAGGTGGATTCCATTACTGCCCAGAAGAGAAGAGATAGCCAAGTGAGGGCTGGGGAGCCCACTCCTCCACCTTTCCCTTGGAGCTGCTAAAGGTTGCTTTCCTGGAAATGGGAGCTCTGTGGGACCAAGTATGTGAGGCCACCCTGGATTATAGACGAAAGTCCCACTGACTCAGGTGGCCAGCTGTCCTGAGCAGCCGAGGATGGGGCCATCTTGGATCATGAGGGCCAGCTAGTCAGTTGTCAGGTCATGTCTGTCCCACTGGGGACACGGGTAAACTCTAGGGGCTGGGAACTGATGGGACTCTCTCCTTCTTGGCCTCATCTTCCTTTCATTGGCCCTGACATGGGCCTCAGCCCTAGAGGTGCGGAGCCCCAGGAGCCACGCACAGCAGCTGTGTATTGGGTCCTCACTCTGGGCCAGCGTTGATGGGAGTTCCTTATGTGGATCACCCTGTGTAAGTCTTACAACCAGCGTGGGACAGGAACTCTTGTTATACTCATTTTATAGATTAAGAAACGGGACTGTTATGGGTTGAACCATGTCCCCCTCAAATTTATATGTTGACTTTCTAGCCCCCAGTATCTCAGAATGTGACCTTATCTGGAGGCAGGGTCTTTACAGAGATAATGAAGTTAAGTGGGGTCATTATGGTGGGCTGTAATCCAATAAGACTGGAGTCCGGATGAAGAGGGGAAATGTGGAAGCAGACACAAACCTGGGGAGAACACCATGTGATGATGAAGGCAGGAGTCAGGGTGATGCTTCTCCAAGACAAGGAACGCCAAAGATGGCCAGCCAGCCCTGAAGCTGGAGCAGGGGCTGGGAGATCCTCCCTCTCAGCCCTCAGAAGGAACCAACATTGTCAACACCAGTCTTGGACTTCTTGCCTCTGGAACTGTGAGGCAAAAAACTTCTGTTTTTTAAGCCACTCAAAGTTTGCAGTCTTTTGTTCTGGAATCTCTGGGAAACTAGTGCATGGGGCTAAGAAGGTAACTTCCTGGAGCAGACACGGACACCTGGCTGACCTATGGTTGTTCCCAATACTTTTTTCACTGTTGTCTTCCACTATGAAGACTGGAGAAGCAAAATATCTGTTTTCCCTGTTTCTTTTGATCTGGCCAATGAGATCTAAGCCTGTTGGAAGTTTCTGGGAAAGGTTTTGCTCTCCTGATAAAAAGAGACAGACAAGACATGTCCCACTGCCTTTGTCCCACCCTAAACCCCTCTTCGGTGCTCATCTGCTGACAGATGCAATGCCTAGCACTACAGAGACCAGCTTGCAAAATGAAAAGGTCCAAAGAGTTTCAGAGTTGGTGGGCCTTTGGTGGTTGAGCCACTAAAGCTGAACTTCTTGTTTGTATGAAAAATAAACCCTGATTTGTTTTTGTCACTGCAGTCCTATTTTAATGCAACGTACTGCCCAGTGCATTCCCAGTTGCTCTAACATCCCAGGCTAGCCAGCTTGTGAGTGACAGGGCTCTGGTTAGACTTAGTTCCTTCTCGCTTCAGTGCCTACTGCACAGTGCTGACTGTGGACAGAGCCTGTAGTTTGTTCTCACACTGTTAGTAGTTCATCCTCACACTGTATTAGTTCTCACACTGTATTAGTTCATTCTTATACTGCTATAAAGAAATACCTGAGACTGGGTAATTTATAAACAAAGGAGCTTTAATGGACTTACAGTTCCGCATGGCTGGGGAGGCCTCAGGAAACTCATAATCATGGCAGAAGGGGAAGCAGTCACCTTCTTCACAAGGCAGCAAGAGAGAGAAGAGTGAGTAAAGGAGGAGCTTTCCATACACTTATAAAACCATCAGATCTCGTGAGAACTCACTCACTATCATGAGAACAGCTTGGGGGAAACTGCCTCCATGATCCAATCACCTCCCTCCGTCTACACATGGGGGATTACAATTCCAGATGAGATTTAGGTGGGGACACAAAGCCAAACCATATCAAAGCCAGGCCACACTTCCTAGAGCCAAGTGGCTTCTTCATCTCTGTCACTCTGAGGCACTCAGGGAAGAGGCAAGGGCTGTAGCAGCTGCCCAACCCTGTAAACACAGAAGAGGAGACAGAAACCACGAGAACAGAGTGTACGGGCAGAGCATTGTCGAGGGAGCTGCAAGATGCCTCACAGAGCCCCATTCATTCTCATCCAGCTTGGCTGTCAGGCTCAGGAGTGAGTGGCGTTGATTTTTAGCTCTTTGGGGGCTGTGCTGGGAGGGGAGCAGAGCTTTCTGGTGGAGAGACATTCCAGGGCAGGGCAGCCCAGAGGGAGTGTCTGTGCAGTAGGGGCTGGACTCAGTCTGGGCTTTACTTTTTCCTTGCCTCTGCCTCCTCAACTCCCATTACCACTTCTGCTTCTATGTCTTCTATATTCCTCCACAGTGCCAAGCACAGAGTCTTCCATACAGCAGTAAGTACTCAATAAATGATTGCATTAAACTTATAAAAATGGGGAGCCTGCCTGACTCACGATGACTCTGACTCTGTTCTTCCTAGAACAGATACTGTTCTTTTTGGACCAAATTTTGGCTGGGCTATTCAACTGGATTTTACCCAGAGACCACAATGATTGATTGGTTCGAGAAAAGACATGTGACTTCAACTGAGCCAATAGGAAGTCTTCCCTGGGATTTAAAAAATTTGAGCTGAGAAGGATGCATGTTCTTCTCTGATCATGAGGCTCTAAGAATATAAGGCCACAGCTACTAATGTTCATGCCCTCTGGAGTATAAAGAAAGACCATAGGCAGTATGATGTGCTCCACTCTCACTCACCTGCAAGCCATTCCCCAAACACAACTGGACTAGAATGATAACAGTGATTGTAATACTCATTGTTATTTACCCAGCATTTAGGGTCTGTCTGTGCTCAAGATGCTCTCATTCTGGAGCTTAAAGCTGAGCTCTCCCTTCTCTGAGCTCTCAGGACGCCAGATTTGCCCTTCTTTTATGGCAATTACCACATCCTGTGGTGAATTGTTCATTCGCAATCATTTACTGGTACTTACCACATGGAAGCTACTGTACTTAGCACTGGAGAGGAATATGGAAATCTACAACATGGTTTCATGTTAGATTAGGGCAAGGGCATGGATGACTGCTGTTAGTCAGACAAGCTTATGCTGAAACAGTCTGAAACAAACAACCTGAAATTATTAGGTGGTTTTTGCACCCATTGGGAAGGGCTGAGGACTGCTTCCCAGGGCCTGTATTCCAGGACCCTCGCTAAAGAAGCAGCAGTATGTGGCAATAGGAAAAGAGAGCATGGCACACTGAGGCTTGAATCTTCTGCCTGGAAATGACGAGTCACTCATGCTCACATTTCATTGGCTAAAACAAGTCACCTGGCCATGCCTGAGCTCAATAGGTGAGGTAAGGACCATTCTTCCAAAGGAGAGATACCAAAGCTTTCTGAGCACAATACTGTCTACTACACTTTCTTCTCTTGGCAGCTGGGCAACATCTTATCACTGTAACCTTCCCAGTGGCCACCCTTGCACTTTGCACCTAATGAGTACTATGTTAGTTTGTTCTTGCATACTATAAAGGAACACCGGACGCTGGGCAATTTATAAAGAAAAGTGGTTTATTTGGGCTCACAGTTCTGCAGTCTGTACAGGAAGCATAGTGCTGGCATCTGCTTCTGGTGAGACCTCAGAAAGCTTCCAATCATGGTGAAAGGCAAAGGGAGAGCCAGAGTATCACAGGGTGAGAGGAGGAGCCAGACAGAGAGGGGGAGGTGCCACATTCTTTTAAACAACCAGATCTTGTGTGAACTCAGAGCCAGAACTCACTCATTATCTGAGGAAAGCACCCAAATTCATGAGGGATTTGTCCCTGTGACCCAAACACTTAGCATGAGACCCACCTCCAACACTGGAGATTACATTGAACGTGAGATCTGGAGGGGACAAAACACCCAAACCACATCAAACACTGAAGGATTACGTGCCCTCTTTCCTTTGTACCACTTATTGCAATTGTAATAAACACTCAGGCCACTGTATGTTTAATGTCTGTCTCACCCACTGGACTATAAATGGCCTCAGGGAAGGTTAATGTCTGTCTGCTGTTAAAGTAATTTAACTATATTTAAACAAAGTACTGCTTAATTGTTGTAACCCAGCACTTAGTATCTGATGCATACTAATACCAATGAATGATTGTTCACAAATATGTGAATGAATAGAGAAAGAACCCATGAAGGCATTGACACCTGCTTCATTCATTTGCTATTCCAGCTGTGGCATATGCCAGGTCCTGTTTCAGGTGCAGAGATGGAGAAGTGATTTGCACCCCATTGTCCCATCCTCCTGGAGCTGGTGGCTTGCTCAGGATCAAATCCAGCCTGCACCTCATGTAACCAAATGAAATTGTCAATAATGAGCTGCCTTTGGCCAATAAAAATGGCAATTTCATATGCTTCATCCCAATCCGAAACAGATGACAGCTCTGTTTGAAGCTGGGAGCCCACCTATTATTCAGTGTTTCCCTATCTTCACAGCATCCTCCTAGCCCCCAGTGCACATTCATGGAATTCTAGAATATAAAAATCTCTGGACAAAATATCCTTCAAGTCCTAAAATTCTACATCCCTGAATCAAGCTGTCATGCAGGACTCTCAGGCACTATAATATATGGACTAGAACATCTGAGGGCAAGTCCCCTTCCCGCAAAGCTGACCTTGGCACCTGATGCATCTGGGAGCCCCAAAAGGGGGTCCCAGGCCCCAGGGCCTGCACATGCTGCCGCACGCAGTGTCTTCTACGGGGCCTGTGCCGGTGGCATTGATCCCTCTGCTAACTAGATGAGAAATTGCAGCAGGCTTTCCTTGCATGGCTTTTCCATGCATCTTTGTCAATGATGGTTTACATTCTGGGATTGAACTAATTTGTTTCCGTTTGCTCCTGGCTGCAGGCTTCAGGCAGCTCAGCTTTGTTGTCCCGGGTTCGCAACTTGCCATTCTCCCTCCTCTTGCCTTTCCCCTCCCTAGCTAACCACATCTGAGGGCAAAAAGGATTAGCAAGCTCAGTGTGATGTGATTCTGGCACTTGTAGCCTGGATTCTTCTGCTACCTCAGAGAGCTGGGGTGGGGAGAGTGATGACTTAGTTGCCGCATGGAAGAAAGAGGTGGGGAGAATGAACCTTCAGTGCCCACTTGGGTGCTGCACAGCTGGGAACATCCCCACTCTGACAGCTAGCAAATACAAATGACCACAGCGATGATGCTGATTGCAGTTAATGTTTTCTGAGAATTAGGCACTAGCCCTATGCTAATTCCTTTTCATGCATTTCAGACAGTCCTTTCCATAATCTCTCTCAGTGAGAAGAACTGTTATTTTGTCCATTTTGTGGATGAAGAAACCAGAACCCAAGAGCGGAAATAATTCATCCAAGATCACTCGCTAGGATTCAAGCTTTAATACCTGGTGTGTCTGAATCAAGAATTCGCATCCTTACAACTGCTCCATATCCCCCTACTCCCCAAACCTTGATGCTTACAGGTATCTACTGAACAATAAACATCTTCCCTGAGCCTGAAAATGGTGGAGATGCGGTGTGGATTTCTGGAAATTGGAGCGGAGAGACACCTTTGGGGGGATAAAAGACGGCATTTGAGACACTTGCATTCCTCCAGCTGTCCCCCTTTGGCATGTTTTAATTTTAAAGTGGCAAATGAGGAGGATGCTTCCTCAGGGGTTCCCCAAAGGCCTGGATATTGGCCGACAAGAGGGCCAATTTTCTCACTGACATTCTTCTTCTTAATAGAATAAGTCACTTCAGCTGTAAAAATATTTATTTTTAACCCCACATGGGACTGTCTACAAACTATTTTCATGTTGAGTATAAAACAGTCAAACCTGTAACTATTTTCTTTGTTTCAGAATTGGCCTGCAAAACATCTGCTAATTATTTACCAAAGCTGAATCTATGCAAACTCTACAATCCAGCAATTCCACTCCTGGTGTTACCAGTGGAGGGTCTTGACTACAAGTCATCCAAATTCTTGGCGTTTTGAACAAAAAATTGGACAAAATGCACAAAGAAAGCAATGAAGGAATGAAGCAACGGAAGCACAGATATATGTAAACAAAAATTCACTCCACAGAGTAGGAGCTGGCTCGACCAAGTGGCTCAAGAGCGTTGGTTACAGAATTTTCTGGAGTTTAAAATACCCTCCAGAGTTTCCCATTGGTTACTTGGTTACACCCTGTGTAAATGAAGACTTGGCCTGCAACCAGTCTGATTGGTCACAAGAAGTGACCAATCAGAGGGTGAAGTCAAGTTACAAAGTTAAACATGAAGACTTGGCCCCATGACCAGCCTGAATGATTGCGGGAGGGGACCAATTATAGGTACTCTTCATTTTTCATCTGCAAGGCAGTGCAAAGGGAGTAGCCTCTTATCCTTTTGTTACTTGCGTGTAGAAAGGTGGGGTTTTCCTTTGGATTCAGTTCTAGGAAGTCAGCACAAATCAGCCTTAGGTTTCCTGTCTCCAGACCCTATTCTGCCTCACTGAGTAAATACCAAATAGAAATGAGCATGTGTTCATCTAAAGGAGACCTTCAGAGTGGTGCTTACAGCCCCAAATCAGAAACAATGCAAAGGCCCTGGGCTGGGAAGTGAATTATGGTAGAGTCACATGGTGGACTACTGCGCTGCAATGAGAAGGAGCAATCTTCAGACCAATCCAGGGACATGAAAGGATCTCACACCCATTATACTGACTGAGCAGAAAGGGTAGGACAAAGTAGGACATACATATATCCTGTATGATTTGATGCTTATGATGTTTAAAAACAGGCTAACTCTAACCGTAACCCTCTGCTCATTAATGCTTTTTGTTTGTTTGTTTATTTGAGACAGGGTTTTGCTCTGTCGCCCAGGCTGGAGTGCTATGGTGCAATCTTGGCTCACTACAACCTCTGTCTCCCAAGCTCAGGGGATCCTCCCACCTCAACCTCCTAAGTAGCTAGGACGACAGGTGTGCACCACCGTGTCCAGCTAATGTTTTTTATTTTTAGTAGCGATGGAGTTTGGTCATGTTGCCCAGGCTACCGAGGTGTTTTTAATTATCTTTCTCTTCCCTGCCTTGCCTCCCCATTCCTCTTCCTCACCTGTGCTTCCTAGAATGACCTCCCAGGTAATATCCCTGCACCAGCTCTTGTCTCAGAGTCTGCTTGCGGGGCCTCGGGAACTGAGACAATGCACAATTTTTGTCTTTGTTATGTCAGGGATCATCATTTGGCTCCATCTAGCACCTCCATGAGCCTGGGGACTTTGTCTTGTTCACTGATGTGTCCCAAGTGCCTAGAACAGTGCCAGGCAGATTATTGACACTCATTAAGTACTCCTTAGACATTGAAGAAAATATGCAGACATAGCCAGGAGGCCAAGATCTAGAAAGCATCAAGCTGCCCAGAAGCTGTTTCACTCAAGCAAAAGGGAGCAAGGTCATGTTGATGGAGGCCTGTGGTGTGTATATGAGTGTGTATGTGTATATGTATATATACATATGTATATATATATTCTGATCTCACAATAGCTCTTACAATAGTTATTGTCTTAACAACAAAGATAGGGTAACTGCTTAGTTCTTCGCTGTTGAAGCTTAGTAGAGGCAGAGCATGTCTGTCTTATTTCCGCTGTAGCCCCAGGGCTTAGCACCTAGTCAGGCCATAGTAGGGGCTCAACAGATATTTGCTGAGTAAATAAATGAGTGAGTTCAAACATCTTGCCCAAAGTCACGGCTGGGAAGTGTTGGAGCTTAGATTTGCACCCAGTTTAGTGTGAGTTCAAAGCCCAAGTTCTCTGGCTATTCCAGGTTGCTGCTCCAGTGTGGATACGCACAGAGTCTTTAACTGCTGTCCTTGTCCCCACTGGCTTTCTCATGAGCTTTTCAGATGAAAATGACTATTATTTAAAAATACAAAAGAAAAATCTTCATTGACTGGTTTTATGAAGAAAACTTTATAAAGTTATATATATATATAAAATATGTATAATATATATGTTATATAAGGTTTTATACAGAAAGCGTTATAAAGACAACTTCTTGGTGTAGGGTGGGCCCAGCCAGAATGTGGCCAAAGGGTGGACCCCATGACTCTCTTGCCCTTCATCTTTAAATTCCTGATGGGTATCAGTGAAACTCACCAAACCGTTTACCTGGATCAACAGACAAAGAAAATGGTGCTTAGCTAGGTGATCTGCAGTCCAGCTTTGCATTCTGGTTTAAATCCACAGACTTAAACAAATGGGACTTAAGAAGGATGGGCAGGCTGGGCACAGTGGCTCATATCTGTAATCCCAGCACTTTGGGAGGCTGAGGCAAGCGGATCGCCTGAGGTCAGGGGTTTGTGACCAGCCTGGCCAACATGGTGAAACCACGTCTCTACTAAAAATATAAAAAAATTAGCCGGGCATGGTGGCAGGTGCCTGTAACCCTAGCTACTTGGGAAGCTGAGACAGGAGAATTGCTTGAACCCAGGAGGCAGACATTGCAGTGAGCTGAGATCGCGCCACTGCACTCCAGCCTGGGTGGGTGACCGAGCTAAAAAAAAAAGAAAGAAGGATGGACAGAGGGCAGTGATGGGGATCTCACTGGCCAGAGACATCTCTCTAGTGCTCTATGCTGACTTGACTCTGTTCCAAACTCCCTCAATTGTTCAAAGAGTTGGGCAATAACAGATGTGAGTGGGCACTGGCCACCCATGGCTTGTCTTCTCCAGAGTCAGTAAATGCACCTGACACAATTGGCTGTTACCTACGAGTGTGGTGTCATATAGATAGGAAAGAGTGTCTTCCCTAGGGCTGTGAGCAGAGCCAGCTAGTGCTAGGGGACTAGGCTGAGTGTAGCAGGATGTTGGATGACATCTTCAAATTAGGTTATCGTGCTCAGATATGGTTTTCTAGGTTTATACGGTCAGAATAACATCCCTGGGAGTGAGAGACCTCATGGAGACCATGAGAAGTGTTTTGAGGGAAGGTGAGATTGGAAGTGGGGAAGACAGTTAAAAATTAGATGATAAAACAAAAGTGCCTAAGAGGAGGGAGCAAGATGTTAAGCAGACGTGTTGGGAAATGAAGGAAGTATAAGTGGGAGGGCAGATCTGCCTGAGAGAACCCCATGAGCAGGTGAGGAGATGGCCTAAGCCCATGGGGAAGCAGATGAGGGGCCCTGAGAACCCCTCAGCTATTGCATATTCTCAGTCTTTGCCCACCAGGTGACGTTTCCTCCTCTCAGGTGAATGCTGCATGCTGGAACGCCCTCTCTGGCCTGATTTGTTGCAAAGGCCCCTGTCCTGAGATGGGCTCCCTTTACATCCTGATTCCCATCAAAGCTTCCCATCTCCTCTGCATCTTGCTTGCTGTGTCACTCAGGGTCTGCTCCACTGAGGTGACACTTACACCTAGGGAGGGACCGGGGAACTCGAAATCAGCCAAGAAGCCAGAAGAGGCATGGATCAGCCAGTCCATCTGAGGAAGGGAATTGGAATCTTGGAAGGGAGCACCCCATACTTCTCCTGTCTCCAACTGGTCAGGGATGCGCCAATGCACTCCACTCCCAATCCTATACAGACACACAAAGGACTCTATCACCCAAACCCACGCAGCATATTGTATACGCACACACGCTCACGTATTGCACTAGCATCTTCAGCTCCACCCTGCTTTCTGTGCTGGGAGGCTCAGCTGTGTCAACTACATCCATGGGTACCTTTGCCTTCTGGCTTCCAGGTTGGTTTGGACAATTAGAAACTGGAAGGACTCAGATGGTTCCTAAAATTCTCCAAATCAGCAGAAGTAGGGTGCCTGAAGTCAGAAGTGATTCTAAAAATCAGAGGACTCTTGAAGGTCACAGACATTCCATAGCCTGACCCACTCTTAGCTAGATTATAAGAAGCAGAGGGACCCTACTGATATCTGTACTGCCCATCAGTCTATCTATATAGTAAAAGTGGCCAAGACATACTTGGGATACTTCCTTTTTAGATTTATGTCTATTCATCAGAAACAAAGGAAAAAATTATATCAAGGGTAGACATACAGGGAACAGCTACATTATTTATTGAAAGTGTTTATGTGTGTGTGTGTGTGGTAATTACCTGGTTGTCTCCTTTTAATACTTCTCTAAGTCACTAGACCGTGGACTTCCTCCAGCTGGGACAAGGCTGTTGACCAACAGTCATGTGCTCATGAGTAACACCATTGTCAGCAACAGCTCATGCCTGTCACTCCAGCTAATAACTAGGATAATGGAGGACACAGAGCATTATAATGCTTTGGAATATTATAAGAAAAAATTTCTATGGAGAGAGCCTTGCCTATCATCCTTATGCTGATAATTGACTCTCCCCTGGCCCTTACATTTACATGAACACCTCATGTTCATGGCTATAGTTGTCCAGACATTTACTGCATTGTCTGACCCAGAAGCAACGGGAGCACTGGAAGCAACTACACAGAAGAAGAGAAAGTAGCTTTTGTTGAGCCTTACTCTGTGCCAAGATTAAAGTTCGGACAATTAGCTTTTTTAAAAAAATCTTCAAATGACCCATTCGTGGAATAGGCCTTGGCAGAATTTCCATCTTACAGCAGAGAAACTGAGGTTCAGAGAGGTTACGCAACTAGCCTAAGGTCCCCCAAATTAGGCCAGCCTTGGAGTGCACCAAGGCCCCTGGAAATCTCTGCTGCTGTCAGACATTGGTGCTAGTGGCTGATGACAACAGCAGGAATTGATACGAATGTTTAGTGACAGAAATGAGGACAGTTTGTCCTGTGACGTAGAGAAATAGTTTTCTCCAACCCCAATTGAAAACTTTGTCAACAGCTTAGTAAAATGTGGCTAATGTTTGACTCCTGTCTTAGGGTTTTCCAGAGAAATGGAACCAGTACAGGAACTGGTTCACATGATTACAGAGGCTGGGAAGTCCCACAGCCTGCCGTCTGTGCCACTGGCAAGCTGGAGAAGCAGGAAACTTCATGGTGCAGTTTGCCCAAGTCTGCAGGCTTCAGAAACAAGGGTGGGAGTGGGGAGGGGCTGACAGTGTAAGTTCCCATTTGAGTGGGACCCAGAACCAGAAGTGCTGACCTCTGAGGGCAGGAGAAGTTGGGTGTCCCGGCTCAAGCAGAGAGCAAACTCACCTTTCCTCTGCTGTTTTGCTCTCTCTGGGCCCTCGATGAATTGTGTGATGCCCACCTGCATTGGTGAAGGCCATCTGCTTTACGCTGTCCACCAACCCAAATGCAGATCTCTTCCAGAAACACCTGCACAGACATTAAGGGATGCCCAGAAATAATGTTTCATCAGCTATGTGGGCTTCCCTTAGCCCAGTCAAGATGACATAAAATAAACCATCACAACCCCCAAATCACAGTGAAATGATGTGAGACCCAGATAAAAATATGCAGCTAATTAAAAAAAAATTTGAATTGCTGAATGCTACAGCCAGTGGAAGCCTCGTGGGTCCCTGGGCTGTGTATTTGCTCCCTCCTCAGCTCTGGGATGAACAGCCAGAAGACTACTGCTTCCTCTCTCCCAGTCTGGCTGGGAAGTCTCCTTCCCACAGTCCCAAGCCAGCTGACCTGGGGACTGGAGTGGCAGCTGTAGCTTAGGAGAACTGAGATGCAGAGGCCCATCCCATCAAGAAAGCCAGGGCCAGGCAGGATGAGCCCAGCATGCTGTCCTCCTCACTGCTGAGCACTGATCAGTTGGTTCATATCTAAAGGAGGAAGACCAGGGCACTTCCCAGACTCATGGGCCAACACAGACTCATAGTCCACAACTATCCATGGGTTTTAGTGAGAGCTGGAAGAAGTACCTCAGTGAAGTTCAGGAAACAGTATTTTATAAAGGTAATGAGATTTGTGCAGAATAAAGCAGACATTACATTGTTTATTCGCCCCCACACCAAGTTTTCACCTAGACCCATAAGAGATGGGAAGGTTCTAATTCCCAGACAGGATCCATATCATGGACCCAGTCAAGCTCACAGGCTCTGCTTTCATGTGCAAAGACATGTTCCACCTCCGCCCAGCTCAGAAAGTGTTTAAAAATTGTTGTCTGCAGACATAGATGGTTTGCTCACCTTCAGCATGGAGATTTATCTGGGTGGGCCAAACAAGGGGTTCTTTTACTCAATGCTGTCTCACTATTCTGGCCCATCAAGCCAGTTCTCATAAGGAGAGAGGCTGGGAGCAACTCACTGACGCAGTTGTGTCCTGGCTAAATCAGAACTCGATCTGGCTTGTCTTCTTGCTCTGGGGCTCTTATGCTCAGAAGAAGGGCAGTGCCATGGATAGGAAACAGCACCACATTCTGCAGCTGGCTCATCCCTCCCTGTTGTCTGCATATAGAGGTTCTTTGGATGTAGACACTTTTCTTTCTTTCTTTTTTTTTTTTTTGAAATGGAGTCTCGCTCTTTCACCCAGGCTGAAGTGCATTGGCACGATCTCGGCTCACTGCAACCTCCACCTCCCAGGTTCAAGTGATTCTACTGCCTCAGCCTCCCGAGTAGCTGGGATTACAGGTGCGCACCACCATGCCCAGTTAATTTTTTGTATTTTTAGTAAAGACCGGGTTTCACCATGATGACCAAGCTGGTTTTGAACTCCTGACCTCAAGTGATCTGCCCACGTTCACCTCCCAAAGTGCTAGGATTACAGGTGTGAGCCACCAGACCCGACTGCATGTAGACACTTTTCTAAAACCAATGAGCTGTCTCAGAAGTCCGACAAGAAGTCCATCGACTGGAAGGAGCTGTGATCCTCAACCTAAGGGGTGGTCTTTCTCCATTGGTGGTTTTTGAGAAACTGCTGTTGAAGTATTTGCCAGTTATGAAGGCGAATGGAAAATTTCCCCATTAATTCGTAAGTACTCTGCATAAGGGAGCAAAGCTTCCATAAAGCAGCCTTGAACCAGGATGCCCAGAAATGGCAGCTTTATCCAGACAGACACAGCAAAGACAACTCTTTGGCCAAATGTCTTTCTCTGCGTCATGGCTTTGGCCTAAAATATGCAAGCTTCTCGGAAGACAGATGAGGTCAAATACTCACTCGGCTCTCCTCACCACCCTTACCTTTATGGTTAAATGTTGGAGAGGTGCACCTTTTTGGTACAGCTGTAGCTTGGTGCATGCTGTTCCTTGGTTTTGCCTGGTGGGTTAGACTTTCAGTAATAAGGTGTTGGGGTGATTTTGCTGAAAAAGGGATCTCCTGGGCCCAACCCAGCAGGCATTCCAGTTGCAGCCAGATATACCGTTCCCTTGATATTTCAAGGATCCCTCAGGCTTCTCCTTGAAGGAAGCAGGAGAATGTTTTTTGCGTTTCTAGAACTCTGGCCCAGAAATTAAGGATCAATTTTCTGATTGTAGTAGAAGTGAAGGTTCCTAAGGAATAGTCCCGAGTGTGAGCCTTAAGAGATAGGGAATGAGAGAAGTGGGCTGGGTGTTGTTCATCCTGTTATTCTTTGAGTGTTTCATGGAATCTGAACAAGGACAAGGAAAAAAGGGATTTTTTTTTAATGGAGGAAGGATGATTTTCTCCTAGGGTTATTCTAAGTTGGGGTTTTTAAGGCAGCATGGACTGCCAAATGCTGTTTTTTGTGGACTGAAATCACTTTGGGATATTTTTTCTGCCACACTGGGAAGTTTTAGTTTTTAAAACAATGCTTATGCAGATAATGCATTTTTTCTTAATGCTTGTTTTAAGAGACAGTCTTCATTGGGTTTGCACTTTCCACCCTTGACCTTGTTAGAGATGTAATTTTTGCTGTTCTCCAGGTGAAAGTGTTAACCTTGCACAAGTTTGGTAATAAACGATTGTTGAAGTTTCAAAAAAATTTTTGGATAGTGCTGTTCCTCTGCTCAAAGCCATCAATAGTTTTTTATGACGTGTGGTGATTTCCTATCGCTGCTGTCACAAATGACCACAAACTTAGTTTAACGCAACACGAATTTATTATCTTACAGTTCTGGAGTCAGAAGTCTGACCTGGTCTCAGTGGGCTACAAACAAGATGTTCTCAGGGCTTCATTTCTTTCTGGAGGCTCTATAGGAGAAAGCTGTTTCCTTCCTTTTCCAAGGGTTCCATTCCATGGAACAGAAGTGATGTCATTTTGTCAGGCAAACATCTAACTTTCTAAGCTGACAGAACTCAACCTAACTATACCTAACTACTACATTATGTCATACATGTTTTTTTAAAATACATGTTTGGCTTTGTTTCTTATTATACTTGGTTATATTTCCAGCTTCTAGAGGACACCCTCTTCCTTGGCTCTGTTCCATGTCTTCATCTTCAAAGCCATCAAAGTCACTTCTTCCTGACTCTTTTTTGTAATCACATTTTTCTCTGTGACCATGGCTGAAAAAGTCTCTGATTTTAAGGACTTAGGTGATTAAACTGGGTGCAACTGCATACTCTCACCTGTCAAGGTCGACGGTACCTTTAATCACATAGTGAAGTCCCTTTGCCACATGAGGTAATATATTCACAGACACTTTGGGGGCCATTTTCTGCCTACCAGAAATTAAAAAACTCACAAAGCATGACCTTACTGTTTCTAACCTAACTACACCATCTCTACAGGTTTTGCTTCCAGGCACAGAGTCTACTAGGCTCCATTTGGGTTTTGGGGCAGGTGCATACCTACTGTCCCTCTGCCTGACACCTGCCTTTGATCTTCTCTCTGTCCTCCCAACACCACTTACTTCCAACTCGTCCTCAAATTTCAGCTGCTACATCCCTTCCTCAGAGATGCCTTCCCTCACTATAGTCATTGAACAAGACTGAGCTCCTTGTAAGATCCTAAAACTTATCCATCATCATATTAACCATAATTTGTAATTATTTTTCATGTGATATTCCACAAATGGATTAGTAGCACAATGTAGTGATTCTTTTTGTTAGTTTGTTTGTTTTTGATTTTGAAGATTTGTCTGCTATTGAATAGTGTAGTGATTCTGAGGCCTAGGTTAAGGTCCTTTCTCTTCTAATAACTAGTTGTATGATATTAGGAAAGTCATTTGATAGCTTATTGCCTTAATTTCTTCATCTATAAAATGTATTTATCATATTATATTAAGTACCCCAAAAATATATACACCTACTATGTACCCACGAAATTTAAAATTATAAACTAAAAAGAAAGAAAAAGAAGATAGATTGTTAAGAAAATGAAAAAAAGATTAAAAGAGTTTTTATGTGCAGAGTTCTTAGAACAGTGCCTGTCAAATAATAAGCACTGATACGTATGTCATAGATCAAATATATATTTATAATTTATTTATATATAAATATTTATCTATTTTGTATATTTATATTACATTGTAGATGTATATTTACACAAGATGCTATATTATTATAGATATAGTTATATATAATATTAGGGGAATTTTAGAAATATTACTGTATGTCTGGTGCCTGGGGTTTAATAGTTGCTCAGTAAGTCTTTGCTGAAGGAAGGAGAAAGGGAGGGAAGAAAGATACAGAGATCTCTGCTCTTTAGCAGATTTTCTGATATCTCCTTAGTCAATATTATGCAGGCAAAGTAGCCACAGCAACAGCAGGAGTAACATAACATGTCATTTTTCGTGCTTTGAAGACCTGTTTTCATAAACACAGTGCAATGTCATTGCTCTTGAACCCACTTGCTTGATAAGCAAAATCTAATTGCTAGGAAATACAGAAGTCTTAAACCACCTTGAATTGCAGGATGAAATTCTAATAGGTACAAGAATGTTGCCACAAAGCTCACCAATTAATTGTTTGAAAGTAGGCTTGGGTAAAGAAAATAGCATAGAGAAAAAGAATATGTTGGAAAATAGCTATTCTGAGATAGCTGGAGACACAAAAGAAGCTCACCAGAGCAGACATTCTGCTCCTGCTCCTTGATAAAGCTAACAAAACAGCGGACCTTATTGATGTAGCTGTTTCCTGCAGCAGAAGCATCACAAAAATCTGTCCAGACAAAACAAACAAGTATGCAGCCCTGGCAGAAGAGCTGACGTTAAGTGTGGAAACTGAGGAACATCAAAGTCAAGGCAGCTATCATCTTGGCAAGAGGGATGTTGTTCTCTGCATAAGCTGCACATCTGGTGGGTAAGGGGCTCGGTTCAGAGTTGTATGGGAAATAGCTCTGGCTTTTACCTGCCCTGCATTCACTGTCCATTTTGGCAAAAACACCCTCATTTCTCCTGGGGTGCCAACACTCTATTCACAATCATCACGGGAGCAGGGGAAACTGACCCTACCCAGGGCTATAGGAATTAGCCATGACCTGGGTCTGGCTTATGAAAATGCTACATCTCCTTGGCCACAGCAATTGGTCCAGAAATGAGGATGTGGCACAGCTGGGGCCAATGAGGCTATTTCCCTTGAGATTTCATGGAAACTAATAGGGAAGGGAAACTCTATCTAGATCTCTATAAGATCCCCATGGCCATCTTTGTCATCACTTGGGAAAACTTGGCTGAAAAACAAAGGCAACAAGGAGGAATGAGGACACCAGAGATGGAAAAAGGGCTCTGGAGCCATGATACCCACTCGATTTTCTGGGAACGTGAACCAATCATTCATGTCTCTTGGGGGAAGATGTGCCACACATAGCCTACACAGTACTGACAGACTCAGGAAGCCTCCAAGCACAGGTGACCTCCAGGTGGTCCCCTAACTCAGCATGGAAACTTGAGTTTTGGCCCAGGAACCAAGACGTCCCTGTAGTCCCCCAGACATCCCTTGTGACCTCCCGTCTCACTGAAGTCCTCATGTCCCAAGCAGCGTTGAGCCTCTCCGTCTGTGTTCAAGCCATTCTCTCTGCTGGACTGTTTTCCTTCCCCTCCTCCTGCCCTCAGTGAACTGCTCCTCAGTCTTGAAGATCTTTGATTTGCAGGCCTTCCTTCCCGCCCCCAAATGAGCTGATCACCCCTTTCTTTTTGTCATCTCTGAATCCTCACAACACTTATGAGGTAGCTCTGTAAACTGCTTGTCCCTTGTCTGTCTCCCTACTGAACAGTGAGCTTCCTGAGGGCAGGCACCAGGTCTGGTTGATCTCCAATCCCCCCACCAGCTTACTCAAGGCCCAGCCCAGCAGTCAGAGAGCCTGTGGACAGACAATGAGGAACAAATGAAGTTCTGTGAGGCCAACCAGACCAGTGGTCTTGAAAAGCTCTGTTTGGGGGTTTAGGCTTTATCTTGAGAGCAACAGGGAGCCTTTGAGGGGGTTAAGTAGAGGAGAGGCAGAACCTTGGTTGGGATGAGATTCCCTGGCATGTTGACATGGCCTCCTTCTTTGCCCCCATGAGAAAGCCCTATACCTGAGTTCCATTCACAGCTCTAGTTCTGATGTTCTGAGGTTTCTCCTTAGGCTGTGCTGGTCCCTCCAGTGGGGCTCCATGCCACACCTGTGCTTTATATTCCATGCTGGGACTGCCTGCTGTGGCATCTTGACTCTCCCTATTTATAGGATGTTTACCTGGAAAATAACCTAAGAGTACCTCCACTCTCTGACCCTGTGTTTTGCTGCATCGCTTCCTCTTGTTGGCTGGAGCGGCCAGGCTGCTGTGGATTCCAAGCTCGGAGCTTCTGCTACAAAGCAGATTTGGGACAGAAGTGTGTGCACTGGTAATTTTAAGACCTTGTTGCCACCTGTTCACACAAGGCCAAACCCAGAAGAGGAACAAGGAAGTCATGGAGGCCAATGACTCAGTTGTCCTAAGAACACAAACTTCTCAGAGTCACTTACATTCAATGGTCTGCCCTTCTTAAGTTGGTGAAAAATCAGAGATGAAGCAAAAAAAAAAAAAAAATGAAGTTTTCTAATGTCTGGCTTTTAGAGATATTTAGGCACATTACCTGGACAATGGAATGAATTTCTCCCTTATCCTACACATTGACCCTTTCACAGCCATAGCAAAAGGATACTGGCAAAAGTTCAATTCCATGGAACAGAAGTGATGGCATTTTTCAGGTAAACCTCTAATTTTCTAAGGTGACAGAATTCAAATGTTATACCTCACTACCACAGTAGGTCACACATGCTCTTTTAAACACATATTTAGATTTGTTTTATTATAGTTGGTTATATTATGAGGCTGACAATGGTACCATGTAGTACTTTGATATGAGAAAAAAGTGAATTAATGCAATTTGAGAAGTCTTTGAGGGGTACAAAGGACTCCTCCACACAAAAAGAAAAATAACTCATGAATAGTAATAGTGGTAGGGTTTGGGGAAGGAGGAGGATGGGAATTATTTTTGAGAGTTCATCTCCTCAAGGGAAACATCAAAACCATTCAAGTGGGCTACGCAGGAGCCCACCATGAACTGAAGGCAACAGGGAATCTCATTGGTCTGGTTTCCTGTTGAACGTGAAAAAAGTGCAGGGAGCTTATGCAGATGACTGCAGATCAGGGAAATCTCTTCTGCTGTAAAAATAGAGAGCAACTATCATAAAAATCTGAAATTAAAAAGAATAAAAAGAAGCATAGTTGCCCAAATCTTGGGGAGTTTCTCTATTAGATTTCAGGAAGAAATTAAACGGAATGCAAGAAAAATGCTTGATCTGTTGTCTACAGCTCTTTAGAAAATGCCTACGATGAAATAGAAATCTTCAGTTCAAAAAATCAATTGCCTGTAGGGACCAGGAAACTGACCTGAAAGAACAAAGCTGGACCTGGTGGGGACCATAGGGAAGAGGAGAGAACAGGCTTCTCTAAAAGTGGCGGCTGCTTCCAGCTCCTGCTCAGAACTGCCATGCGTGGATACCAGATTTTCTGATTTTTAATAGAACAAGAATCTTCATTTTTTTATCTTTGTTTAAAATATCCTTAATTAAACATTCTGGTAAAGAAAATACATTTTTGGCCGGGGACAGTGGCTCATGCCTATAATCCCAGCACTTTGGGAGGCCCAGGCGGGCGGATCATGAGGTCAGGAGATTGAGACCATCCTGGCCAACATGGTGAAACCCCTTCTCTACTAAAATACAAAAAATTAGCCAGGCATGGTGGTGGGTGCCTGTGGTCCCAGCTACTAGGGAGGCTGGGGCAGGGGAATCGCATGAACCCGGGGGACGGAGGTTGCAGTGAGCCGAGATCACGCCACTGCACTCTAGCCTGGCAACAGAGCAAGACTCTGTCTTAAAAAAAAAAAAAAAAAAACCACTTTTTTTTAAAGGGAGACATTCAATAGACCTCAATGTTCTTCACAAAGATAGAAGACACTGGTAAGTATCTTGGGTTTGGTTTCCCCAGAAGTGGACTCTGAGACAAGGATTTGCAAGCGAGCAATTTATTTAGACAGTGATCTCCGGAATTGCTGGCAGGGCAATGGGGAGATAAAGTGGGGCAGGGAAGGCATCCACTAAATCTTGTGCTAAGGAGCAGCATACGCCTGTGAATGTCAGGGTTCAATCCCACTGGGGAACCCTGGGAGACCCAGAGTCCATGTCTTGGAGTTGTTCCCTTTGAGGGAGGAGGAAGCCGGGGTATTTATTCACCACCTCTTTCCTTCTTTGGTAGAGTGCTGCTCCCAGAGTGTTCACTCATTGGCATTTCTGTTCAGCTTTATGAGGGCTGAGCATCTCTCATGCACAGTCCCAGGTTCTGGCAGGACACAAGAATGGTGGGTGCTGGGGAGTTACAGATGGCGCACTAACAACGTCCTCATATTATGGGCTGATCTTGAAGGCTTGATTGACCAAGGCTGATTGTGTGCCAAAATAACGCGTTTCTCCTCCTTCGGTACCTGGGAAAGACATCCCACTTTGCGAACCCCACTAAATAAGAATTTTCTTTCTGCTGGACTATGACTGGTGATGTGCTGTGACTCTTTGGTAATCATCCTTAGTGGGATCAGTTGGGGCTATTTCTTGCATGGCATTTGAATGAGAACTCTACCTCCAAATGGCATGATTTCCCAGGGCATCAATGTTGCCAGACAGTAACAGACCTGAGTATGGAGTCAAGGGACCTGGCTCTGGCACTAGCTTGCCATGTGATGTCGGCCTGCCTGTGAGCCTCTGTTTCTCTGTCTACAAAAGGCAGCGGTCAGACAGCATCTCTAATTCTGACCCCAGGCCTTCAGATTTTGCTTTGCCTAGGGGAAGAGAACCCGGCTTGAGGTGGGATGATGCTGTCACAGGGACGGCACCTGGCAGTCATCCAGTGAGTGCACACTTAGCTTTGCTACCCAGATCCTGAGAACCACCTGGACAGCGTAGCCACAGGCAACCCAATCTCTTGCTTTGCTTATTCACAGGGAAGTCAATGACTTTCTGAGCTATAGGAAGTGCCATAATCTGGGAGGTTAAGACAGAGAATCTGGGCATATGCTTCTCTTTCCTAGGGAGATGTTGGTCTGGAAGGGGCTTGGTTCATAATGTCATGAAGTCAGCAGCTCGCACCAGGTACATGTCACATCTCAAGCTTTGAACAAGGGTCGGTGATGGATAAGGGAACTTCTCACTCACTTTTATCCACAATGTCAGGGCACCCTGGCCACCCTGCCTGAGTGTTTCATTTTCCTCACCCTCCTGCCTCCCCCATGTCTTTCATCAAGGCCTTGGAGGTAATTGCTCCATGCACAAACAGCTTGCGGCCTAGTGTGCAAGTAACAATTAGTTTAGAGGCTGTGATCTATAAATTTTGAGGAGAGGGAAAGAGGACTTGGTGCACTTGGGCTATCATTTCTAATGAAGAAAAATAGCACACCGGAAGGGATCCAGAGTGTTATTGAAGCAACTTAATATCATCTGGTCATGATTTGCAGGCCTTGATAATGTCTTGTGATCTTGGGGGAAAGAGAGAAAAGGGGGTGGGGGAGTGAGTTGTTGTTGTTTGTGTTTCTTAGGAAAAAAAAAAAAACCCTCACTCCGTGTTTATGAGATTTACGACATGCGGACCACCATCTGTATAAACCCCACCAATCTTCCATCACTGTCTCTTTAGCTCTGTAAACTAGGCTGTCCAGAGAGAGACACCATAGGAATGTCGTCCTATTTATTGTTTGTAAAAATAAACTGGCCAGCCGGAGATGTATGTGAGGAATTTACACACAGCAGCTGCACAAGCAAGTGTGCGAGGGACGCGGGGGCTGAGGAAGTCGGGAGGGGAGGCAATGTGACCCCCAGCACAGCGCACGCCCTCTCCCATCAGCCCAGAGAGGACCACTTTGGGAGATAAAAGGAAAGGCGGGGAGGTGGGAGGGAGGGAGAGAGCCAGATTCAATATCCAACCAGGTCAAACCCCTTTTCTCTTTGTCAAACTAAAGCATTGCTGCATTTGGAATGCTGGCCTTCAAGGAGCACATCTTCCTTCCAAGAGGAGACACTGGGATGAGCCCCGACGGGTGGCCATGTGTTCCTTTTGGGGACCAAAGAGCAAAACAAGAAACAAAGACCCATCAGAGTCTTCCTGATGAGTCGCTGTTTTAAAAGCAGGGTGCGGTCTGTTTTTGGCTTTGCCTAAGGAGCAGAATCGAGTAGGGGTTGTCCCCTCTCATGAAGCATGTAGGAAGCGTGTGCTTGGCTTCTGTCAGCCAGCCCCTGCCACAGAGCCTCATATCGCTGGCCTGAGCTTTGTTACCTGTGTGTTAGCGGGGCTGTCTCTGGAAGGTTCAGGTAGGCAGAGGGCAGATCTGCTGTCTTTAGATTTGTCTCTGAATCCAAATGACAAAGACAAGACTAAGATTCAGAAGTTTAATAATGTCATGGTTGAAATAGCAGCAATAGGCCAGGTGCAGTGGCTCACGCCTATAATCCCAGCACTTTGGGGGCTAAGGCGGGCAGATCACGAGGTCAGGAGATTGAGACAATCCTGGCCAACATGGTGAAACCACGTCTCTACTAAAAATACAAAAAATAATAATAATAATAACTGGGCGTGGTGGTATGCACCTGTAGTCCCAGCTACTCAGGAGGCTGAGGCAGGAGAATAGCTTGAACCCAGGAGGTGGAGGTTGCAGTGAGCTAAGATTGCGCCACCGCATTCCAGCCTGGGTGACAGAGCAAGACTCCATTAAAAAAAGAAAGAAAGAAAGAAAGAAAGAAAGAAAGAAAGAAAGAAAGAAAGAAAGAAAGAAAGAAAGAAAGAAAGAAAGAGAAAGAAAGAGGAAAGGAAAGGAAAGAAAAGAAAAGAAAAAGCAGCAATAGATAGCCCCATGAGACCTTTTATTTTATAAGTGGGAAAATGGAGGCTCAGGTAGTAGAGCGACACCCGTCCTGCAAGTGGTCAGGACAAGGCTGAGATTAGGCCTTAGGTCCCCTGGCTCATGGGAGCCATCCTTCCACCAGCCTTCCAGCCAGTCTGCATCCCTTTGTTCATGCCCTGGGGCTCTCTGTCCCTCTGTCCCCTACAGTTCATTCTCCAGACAGAAGCCAGAGTGATATTTTAAAATGTTGGGTCAACCCCCTATTTAAAGCTATTCTGTGACTTTTAATAGCAATCGGAATAAAACCCAACATTCTTATACTGCATGATACAGCCCCTGCCAGTGTCCCCAAACTTCTCATCAGAGCTCTCGGTGGAACCTGTTAGCTCTAGGCACAATGGCCTTCTTTTTGCTCCTTCGTCATGCCAAGCACCCACTTCAGGGCCTTTGCACCTGCTGTTCTCGCCATCTGGAAGCTTCTTCTCTGGAATCTTCTTATTGCTACATCTTTCTCACCACTCGATCTAGGCTTCAATGCCCCTTCCTCAGAGAGAGCTCCCAGACTGCTTATCTAATACAGCATCCCCCTGCCACAAGCCACTCTCAAGCTCATTGACAAGTTTTAGTTTAGAGGAAAGAAATCTTTCTTTAGAGCATTTAATACAGTTGGAAATAAAATATTTACCTGTTTATTTATAGTTTTTCTTTGCTCACTATTTGTCTGACTTAAGAGTGAAAGAGCTTTCTTATCTTTTTGTTCTCTTCTGCATGGAGTCATCATTCATACATTCATTCATTCACTCACTTATTCAGCTATATTTACTGGATTCACTTGTAACTGACAATTCCAAAGAAACCTACATTCCAGTAAAGAAAGTAAAATAATAAACACATGGGCAAATAAATGATAGATTATATTTCTTAGGATTGTGAAAAGTATTAAGTTTTTAAAATTTAAAATAGTTTATTAGTGTAAGGTTCTGAGCCCAATGCCTGGTACTTAGTATCTGCTTTGCAAACATTGAAGTTTTGTGCTAACTCAGCACTCGAGACTCTTAGGTAAACCTGTCTTCAATGAATTTATAGTCAAATGCAGGAGACTGATGTGTTTAAAGATAAATTATATTAGATGGGGCTACTATCTCTTTAGAGAGGTTAACTGAGGCCAAGAGGCCATTGATAAGATCATTGAGCCCGTTGGAGATGTTTGGACGAGCAGTCATGCCCAGCAAGAGGTTAGAGAAGATGACCTCTTAAGGCCTTCTGCTTGCCTGACCCTGTTTTGCTTGCTCCATGAGGTGGCTCCCATTTAGCCAGAGCTGTTTAAATGGGTGTAGACCATAGAAGGGGAAAATTACATGCAGTTACTCCTGCAACACTCATTTGCCTGCTAACTTGGTGCCATTTACAAATGGTTTTCACATAGTCTTTAAAGTAGGGCTTCTCAACCTGGGGGAAGAAATCTTGAAATTGCACGCATCATATTTAGTGGATATACAAGAAAATATATATACATTTTTTTGTTCCTGAGGAGAAGGACAATAGCTTCATCAGTGTTTCCAAGGCATTTTGTGTCACAAGCACCACTTAGTTAAGTTGACAACACTTAGGGTATTTCAGAATTATGAACCTATTTTCTAATTTTTTTAAAAATACAAGGCTTTCCTCCTAATTTGGGGTGAGATTTCTAAACCTACTAAATTCATATAGCTTTATATTTGCTGATTCAATAAATATTTATTGAGCAACAGGTAAGGCCCAGCATTGCTGAAGATTCTGTAAAAACAGCAAGGCCATGTCAAAGGAAGTTCCTGCTCTAAGGTTCCCTTCTGGGAAGCAAGGAGAGAAGAGACTAAACAAGTAAAGAAACATAAGATAACCTCAGTTGGTGCTAAGTGCTCTGGAGAAACGAAAGCTGAGTGATGCCATAGAGAAGGAAGAGGGCATTGCTTTCTATTGAATAGTCAGGGAAGGTCTCTTTGCCAAGGCAGCATTATAGCAGACACCTGAATTGACAAGATAGAGTCAGCTAAACAAAGATTCAGGAGAAGAATATTTCAGGCATTTTAAGCAAGACAATGGCTTATGCAAATGTTCTGAGGCAGAAATCAGCATGGTGGATTTCAAGGATGCAATGAGGCAGTGTGGCTCTAGAGTCATGAATAGGGGGAGAGGTGATATAAGATGAAGCAGAAACATAGGTGGAGGCAGGATCTCCTAGGGCCTGGTAAGACTTGATTAAGAGTTTGAATTGGATTTTCATGTCGTGGGAAATCACTGGAAGTTATTACCAAGGCCTCATAGTTTCCCATGGCATGCGATGCTTCTGACAATATGAATGTGTTCCTCTATTTGGACAGAATAGCAACACACCCTTATTCTTTTAAGAAGAGACCTTGGGTGTGACCTTCCCAATTGAGTTTAGAATATCACTTTGTATCCCATAAATATGTACAATTTTGTGTCAGTTAAAAATAAAACAAACCAAAATACCCTCACCAACAAGCCCTGCAGTTGAAAGATACTCCGCTAAGGTACGCTGAGAGAATGCAAGGCCAGCTGTGCTTCAAGAATGCAATCTTTTCTATTACAATGCAAAGCAGCTTAGCTCACCAGTGCCTTCAACCTCTGCATCATAGATGGGGAAAGTTGGTGCCACTCTGCATAAGCAGACAGCCTCTTAGAGCATTTTTCTCAAAATAAAGTTTATCTTTCCTCAGATTTTAAATGAACCTTTATTCTAGAAGAAAACAAATCAATAAAAGCATGCACATAGCTCTGTGCTTACATTTATAAAATTAATTTAGGAATGGTTTTTTTAAAAAGTTAGTGTAAAACAGGTCTATCCCAAATTGGGTCCTTTAGGAAGCAGACTCTGAGATAGAGATTATCAAGTGGGAAGTTTATAAAGGAAGACTCTTGAGATCGACGCCTGTGAGGGAAAATGCGGAAGCAGAATTGGGGCTGAGGGAGTGGCTGGGCTGTGATGCTGTCACAGTAATGCAGTGATTCCATGGGGACCTCTGAAGCTGGGCTGGCTCTTCAGAATGGTCCTTAGTTGAGTGAGGAAACCAGGACTTTACATCACTGCTCTAGACTAAATATCTTATGTAGACTACCTCTAGAAGGAAGGGACTTGGGCGAGGCAGCTTTCTTTAGCTGAGGCACTATCTGAAGAAGGCTGATAGCTGAGGACTGTCTAGTACTGTAGGCAGTAGCCCAACAGCTGGGGCAACGTTTTTCTTCTCCAAAGGTGGATCTGAGGGGGGAAATATGGGTGTAAAGTGGAAAAGAAAAGCATCCCTTTTCCCTACCTTTTATACTCTATCTACTCCACAGAGGAACCATATTTGATTGTTTCTATTTTTAGTTTCTCCAAGTTGATTTCAAATGTCCACATGCAATGCACACAACTCTACTTCTTGGTCTATGAATTCTGAACAGTGTTTGTCAGCTTCCTAATAAGAAAGATGAGGGTCTGAACTAATTCTCCTCATGTCCTCCTTCCAATTTTGTTAGGTATATTATTTCAAGTTTTTCTGTTGGAGGGCTTTATATCTGTTAAATAATGTATTTCTATTTTCAAATTTATTAACATTACATTGTATCATCCCTCTTGACATTGCAAGATTAAGGAAATTAGCAATTCTACATAGCCCTCCAACTTCCTTTAATTCCTGTTAGTCATATGATTATTTTCACATCGTCAGGGTTTATAACACTTTATGTTCTGTAAGTATAATCAATAATCAATATTTTCCTGTAAGTTAAAACCTGATAGACTGCAGTGAAAATATTATGATTATGTAAATACATTTGTTACCACAGGGTTTATCCTGTTATATGACCATAGTAAGGTAACATATTCATAGATTAAGGGATCAATATGTGGTTATCTTTAATGGGGGGCATTATTCTCTCTACCACATATGGTGATCCTCTATTGATAGAATCCTGTGTCTTTTATTGGTCTTTTTTCATTTGCTGTAGTATATTGTTAAAAAAAATTGAGGGAGAGATATGGAGGAAAAAACCTTGAGTCTTTATATGTCTGAAAAATATCTTTACCCCATCCTCTCATGATTTGTATAGTTGAACTCGGTATAAAAGTCTAGACTCAAACATTTTAAAAATAATGTTCAGATCCATCCATTTTCTTCCTGTATTCTGTATTATTTGTAACAAGTCAGATGAAGCTTTGTCTTTATAGATAACCTGTTCTTACTCTCTGTAACTTTTTATAAGAATATTTTGAAATGTGGGGTTTTTTTCCAATCCTGCACAGTATTTGGTGTTTCTGTTCAATATGAACTTTCATATGTAAAATATTTTCAGCTATATTTTTTATTTTTTAACAGCTTTATTGAGATATAGTTTTCATATGGGCATATCTTAGAGACATTGAAGGTTCAGTTCCAGACTCATAATAAAGCAAATATCACAATAAAGTGAGTAAAAAAATTTTTGTTTTCCCAGTGCATAGAAAAGTAATGTTTATACTATATTGTAGTGTATTAAGTAAACAATAGTATTATTTTTAAAATGTCCATACCTTAATTAAAAATATGTTATTGCTAAACAATGCTAACACTCTTCTGAGCCTTTAGTGAGTTGTAATTTTTTGCTGGTGAATTATCTTGCCTCAATGTTGTCAGTCAGATGGCTGCCTACTGATCAGGGTGGTGGTTGCTAAAGATTGGGGTGACCGTGGCAATTTTTTAAAATAAGACAACAGTGAAGTTTGCCACATCAGTGAACTTTTCCTTTCATGAAAGATTTCCCTGTAGCATGTGATGCTATTTGATAGTATTTTACCCATAGTAGTACTTGTTTCAAAATTAGAGTTAATCTCTTCAGACCCTGCCACTGCTTTATTGACCAAGTTTATGTATTATAATATTCTAAATCCTTTGTTGTCATTTCAACAATGTTTTTGGCATCATCACCAGGAGTAGATGCCATCTCAAGAAGCCACTTTCTTCACTCATACATAAGAAATAAGTTCTCATTCATTCGAGTTTGATCATGAGATTGCAATTATTCAGTCACACATTTTTGGGTTCTATTTCTAATTCTAGTTTTCCTTTCTTTTCTTTTCTTTTCTTTTCTTTTCTTTTTTTTTTTTGAAGCAGAGTCTCACTCTGTGGCCCAGGCTGGAGTGCAATGGTGCGATCTTGACTGACTGCAACCTCTGTCTCCCAGGTTCAAGCCATTCTCCTGCCTCAGCCTTCTGAGTAGCTGGGACCACAGGTGCCTGCCACCATGCCCAGCTAATTTTTTGTATTTTTAGTAGAGATGAGGTTTCACCATGTTGGGCAGGCTGGTCTTGAACTCCTGACTTCAGGTGATCCACCTGCCTCAGCTTCCCAAAGTGCTGGCATTACAGGCGTGAGCCTCCCTACTCATCTAATTCTAATTTTCTTAATATTTCAATGGCATCTGCAATTATTTCCTCCACTGAAGTCTTTAACCCCTAATACTCATCCACAAGCTTTGGAATAAACCTCTTCTAAACTGCTGTTAATGTTGGTATTCGTGAGTCATGAATGTCCTTAATGATATCTAGAATGGTGAATCCTTTGCATAAGGTTTTTAATTACTTTGCTCAGATCCATCAGAGGAATTACAATTTGCAGCAGCTACAGCTTTTTGAAACATATTTCTTAAATAATAAGGCTTGAAAGTCAAAAGTACTCATTGATCCATGGACTGCAGAGTACATGTTGTGTTAGCAGGCATGAAAACAACCTTAGTCTCTTTGTATGTCCTAATCAGAGCTCCTAGGTGACCAGGTGCATTGTCAGTGAGTCATAATATGTTGAAAGGAATCTTTATGTTCTGAGCAGTAGGTCTTAACAGTGGGCTTAAACTATTCACTAAACCATGTGTAAACAATTGTACTGTCATCTAGCCTTTACTCCACTTAAAGAGCAGGCCCAGCAGAATTAGCACAATTCTTAAGTGTCCTAAGATTTTTGGAATGGCAAATGAGCATTGGCTTCAACTTAAAGTCACCAGCTCCATTACTTCCTCACAGGAGAATCAGCCTGTCTTTTGAAACTTTGAAGCCAGGCATTGACTTCTCTTTAGCTATGAAAGTCCTAGGTGGCATCTTCTTACAATAGAAGGCTGTTTCATCTACATTAACAATCTGCTGTTTAGTGTAGCCACCTTTGTCAATGATCTTATCTAGACCTTCTGGATAATTTGCTGCAGCTTTTACATCAGCACTTATGGCTTCATCTTGCACCTTTATGTTATAAAGATGGCTTCTTTCTTCCTTCCTTAAACTTCATAAACCATTTTCTGCTAGCTTCAAACATTTCTTCTGCAGCTTCCTCACCTCTTTCAACCTTCATAGAATTTAAGAGAGTGAAGAATAGCTGCTAGGAGGAACTGGGTATATGTGTCTCTTTGTTAATGTCTTTCCAGAGAAGATCTCCAAAGACATCTTAGAAAACTAGCCAAGCTCTCTTTACATCTCCTTGACTTGAACTTTGCCATGTGCTCATTCCCAACCCAAGCGTTGAGAAAGAGGGAAATATGTTCTGAGTAACTTCCAGTGTTTCTTAATTTGGGAACCATGGCCATTTTGGTTAAGTTAATTCTTGACTGTAAGCAACTGCTCATGCATCTCAGGACATTTAGTGTTCTTGGTATCTGTCCACTAAATGTCAATAACACCACTTGTATTGGTTGTATTATTGCCACTAAAACAACTTGCCACAAAGTTAATGGCTTAAAATGACACAAATTAATTCTCTTATAGATCTGGAGATCAGACATATTTAATTTAATTTAATTTTATTTTATTTTATTTTATTTTATTTTATTTTATTTTATTTTTGAGATGGAGTCTCTCCCTGTCACCCAGGCTGGAGTGCAGTGGTACAATCTCTGCTCACGGCAACCTCTGCCTCCTGGGTTCAAGCGATGATTCTCATGCCTCTGCCTCCTGAGTAGCTGGGACTACAGGCATGTGTCACCACACCTGGATAATTTTTGTATTTTTAGTAGAGACAGGGTTTCTCCATGTTGGCCAAACTGGTCTCGAATCCCTGACCTCAACTGATGCTCAAGATCAGACATTTAAAATCAAGATGTTGGCATCTCCCTTCGGCTGTTTTCACAGGGAGAATCCATTTTCTTGCCTTTTTCAGCCCCTAGAAGCCACCTGTATTCCTTGGATTGTCACTCCTTCCTGACATCATTCCAACCTCTTGCTTCCACTGTCACCCCTCCTGTGACTACCCTGACCCTCCTGCCTTGCTACTCTATGGACTTGTGATTACATTGGGTCCAACCAGATAGTCCAGGACAGGTCTCCCCATCTTAAGGTCCTAACTCAATCACATCTGCAAAGTCCCTTTCCCCGCGTAAGGTAACATATTCATAGGGTGAATGGGTGCTGAGTCTAACAGTGAAATAAGAATTTGGGCATGAATGAAGAGTGGGAGAAGCCCTGCAGCCTTCTTCACTAGCGGAGGATGGATTTCTCATTCTTTCAAGATTAGGACCTGGGCATCTTTGCGGGGCCAGTACTCAGCCTACCACACCCTCATTCCTTTTAACCCCCATCTCCTTGTAGCAACTGTAAGTCGCTTATTGAGTCACATACGCTTTCTAGGATGAGGGGACACCTCAACAAAATGGGTGCTGTTTTGGGAATGATTGAAGGAGCAATGAATGCTGAGTGGGTAAGCAGAAGTATTTCCATATTATCACATGTTTATTTTCAAAGTACTTTTTCTTATCTTCTGATTTGTTTCCTCAGTATATTTTGTCATAAATGTAATATTGCCTTAAATCTGAGTGTACTTACTTGATTTTTAAAATATTTTTCTCCTGTTTCCTGTTTTCTGGGATCATTTTTTTGCTCACTTGTTAGTTTGGGGCTGCAAGTTATCCTCAATGGATTTTCCACCTGGCTCTTGATCTTCAGTTGCCCATTCTTGTGTGCCAGTTATGCACTTGGCTGATTTACACAGCGGGCATTCTCCATTTTGGTTTTAGAATTCTGCTTCCCAACTCACCTTCCCTTCATTCCCTTCATGGTAGAATAAAGTGATTTGAACCTTGGCATATGGTGGTGAGAGTTTGGGGCGGCTGGGACCACTAGCAGGTTATCCCTTCCTTTATGTTGCAAGAGGCAATTGACAGCCATATCGGGAGCCCTAGTCCAGGTCTTGGGTATAAACTGTCATTTGTTCAGTGTGCTAAGAGTAGGGAATAAAACAGAGGAGGCTGAGAGAGCTTTAATTTATTACCTTATTTATTCTCCCATTTCTGCTTCTGCTTTGCCTACCTACAGGTAAAAGGCTTATAGCTCTCCAGGGGTCTGCAAGGAAGAATGTCTTCCACCTTTGCAGGGGCCTTCTCTGGGTGCTCTGGACTCCAGTTTCCTCTTCTGTGACTCATGCATCGGTAGTAACCCATACACTTTCCACATTCCAGAAACAATACGGATTCTCTGCTCTACTTAAGGATCTCTTCCTCCTTACCTCAGCAATCTTTGGGTTCATAGCACTATTCTGTTAGTATTGAGGGAAAAAATAAGATAAAAGTGTCTGGTCCCTCTCCCAATTTGAACTAAAAATCTGTCTTTAGTTTTAAAACGGTTTTATAGCCTTAGTTCTTAGGTATCAAGATTTTAGAATTCCAGCCTCAACTGGAACCCTGTTATAATTTTATATAAAAGACAATGAAATGGTTAAACCTGGGCAGGCTAACAGTGAAATAAGCATTTGGGCATGAATGAAGGGTGGGAGATGCCCTGCAGCCTCCTTCGCTAGCTAAGGATGGATTTCTTGTAGAGGTAGACTCATTTCCTGTCCTCAGGAGTCATCACATGGCCACCAGAGAACAGGACATTGGGTGAGAGCAAAAAGCACTGGCAAGCCGTGGGGAACAGACCTGCAGAGAGTGACCTCAGTGGCCCACATTACAATTTTCCTACAATTTTCACAGCCAGCCCGGAGGCTGCCCTTCCAAATTTTGGAAACTCTTGGAGCTGGATCTATCCAATTGCCCTGGGGAAGATCATTCACATTCCACTGCAAGAGCAGCCGCCTTTCAGTCATCCTGTAGTCTTTAGGGGGTGATAGGGCTGAGGGAGCATTTTCTGTCCTCGTGTGCTCCCTGACCCCAACCTCCCTAACCACTGCTTTGTCTAAGGTGGCAGCTGAAGGCAGGATCTGGGATGCCAGGCCTGTGAACCCTGCACCCTGGCCATCCATCCAGGCCTTCTCTGAACACCAGAAGGCAGAGACTGCAGGCCCAAGGATTTGGGGGACAAGAGGAATGAACCCATCGATTCTGGAAGTTTAACCAGGGGGAGCTACAGGTGAAGATAAAATGGTGGGTGGGCATCAGAATGAGGAGTGGGGTGGAGGGGTTGCCTCCTGCCATTGTCTCATTAACACTGAGTATTTTTTCTTTCTGATAATTATCCTTTTTCACTGGTTTTTATTGCTAATTTGTTGAAATTATATAAACAAGGAGCCAATGTAGGCTTCCTATAAACCGACTGCTGCTTATCCAAAGTCCCTCACATTTTAATTAAGATTTAACCTCATTCTTAGGAGAGCTCATGCTTTATTTAGCATTTATTACTATTAGGAGTAGTAATATTAAGTACTCAGTGAGTAACTGCTATTATTACTCATCAGTGCTTTTATCAAGTTGTTCACTTTTGTAAGAAGCTCTCCTTCCCACTTCGTATTCAAATTACTCCCTGGTCTTCTCTGCCTCCAGATATCAATTGTTGCCCTATGTTGTGGGAGCCATTGTTGGAATTTTCAATCCACTTCAGTGAAACTGGGAACTCCATGGCTCTTACCTCATTTTTCCAAGTCATTTTCCTGAAGGAGGTACATTTTCTTAAAACATTGTATAGAAGATTGTAGAGAAAATGGCCCAGACATCTTGGGAGGTAGGGTGCCTACTGGTTGCAAGAAGACCATGTAGTGTCATGGAAACTGGGTAACAACAACCCTCTGTGGGCAAATGGTGGAAGAATGGGTTCTTTAGTTAATTTTTTTTAAGCAAAATCTTGTTGATGATACCCCTCCCCTCTAAAATAGACAGAATGCTGTTTCAATGGGTAAACATTCTGGACTGGTATACTAGTCATGAGATGATGTGGTAGATTGCAAAAAATGACCACAAGATCCTCCCCTCCCTATATTTGCAATGTGACTTTGCTGCCACCTCCATAAGAGGTAGAGTCTAATTTTTCACCCCCATGAGTCTGAACTAGAGACTTGCTCTGATCCATAGAATGTGCGAGTTCTTATCACAGGCCTCAAAAGGTGTTGTAGCTTCTACTGTTGCTCTCTTGCTGTATGGAGGCTCAGGTGAAGAAGCTTGGGCAAGCCTACCAGAGATTGAGAATACATGGAACAGTGATGGGATATCCAAGCTGAAGACTCCTAAGCCATCAGCTTCCAATCAATATACCCATGGACTGCAGCTATAGCAGTGACTTGAGTGAAATAAGCAGAAGAACCACTCAGCTGAGCCCAACCCAAATTGCTGACCCACAGAATCATAAGCAAATAAAATGGTGGGTGTTTTAAATCACTAGGTTTTGGGGTGGTTTATTATAAGTATAGGCAATAGCTAATTAATGCAAATATTCTCTATTTTCCCCATTTTTCTTAATCTTGACAGACTAGATTATGCTGCGGTAACAACTCTAATGTTTCAGCAGCTTGGACCATAAAAATTAATGTCTCATACATGTCCATTTTGGGTCAGTTGGGGGCTTTGTTCTCTGTCTCTATAATCTGGCATGTAGGCTGACATGTCAAGTGTTGCTGGGTACTACAGCAGAGAAAACAGATCTCTAATGATATTTTCCTTAGCAATTAAATTTTCTATATTGGAAGTGACACATCATTTCTACATGCAAGTCACGTGGCTTCACTCAAACACAAGAGGCCAGGAAACAGTCCTGTGATGTGCAGAAGAAGTGGACAGCCAAACATATTTGATAAACACCATAAATAACTACCTATAAGCCAACCCAGTAAGAGGGGAAAATGGTGAAAATTTCCTCTACCCCCTACCCCCCGACTCACAAAAAAAGGGAAGCTGGGCACAGTGGCTCATGCCTATAATCCCAGAACTTTGGGAGGCCGAGATCCAGTGCATCACTTGAGGTCAGGAGTTCAAGACCAGCCTAGCCAACATGGCGAAACCCTGTTCCTGCTAAAAATACAAAAATTAGCTAGGCGTGATGGTGCATGCCTGTAATCCCAGCTACTAGAGAGGTCGAGACACCAGGAGGCAGAGGTTGCAGTGAGCTGAGATCGCACCACTGCACTCCAGCCTGAACAACAGCAACAAAGTGAGACTCCATATCCAAAAAAGAAAAAAAAAAAGGAATGGGAGAAGGTACAGGCAGAGTACTCTCAATGGTAGGTGGTCAAGTTTACTGAACACTGCTTAATCTTTTATCCATCGAAGAATGTCCAAAGCAATGGCAGCCAGAGACTCAAGTTTTTCCTTTCTCAACTTGTGTCCAAGGTGGGAAAATCTCTTAGTTCTAAGTAATGATGTGTCTCATAGTTAAAATTAAATTTGGAGGGAGCAGGTGGTATTTCAAGATTAAGTGATGCTCTTCAGAAGGAAACAGATGGAATCCTTTTTCAGAGCAGATAAGGAGAGATAGTCTTGAAGATTGCACTTCAAAAGGAGAATGTTCACACTCTATGAAAATAATCATTATCTAGTGAGGTGGGTCCACACTTTACAAAAGGCATTTACATCTTCTATATAACATCACCACATGGTACCAAAGTAGAAAAAAAAAGCACTCTAAGAAAGTTTCTTGTCTGAAATACAAAGTCTGTATGTTTGTAACATTTCTGAGTTTTGTTTCTCTCCAAATTATTGTTCCACTTAACCCTTGTACCAACTCAAGGGGAATAGGTGAGTAATATCACTGCCACCTCTGGGAGGGGCAGAAGTCCTAAGACTGCACAACTGCAATGGCCCAGACAGAACTTGTACCCAGGTATACAGGAGCTCATTATAGTTTTCTTTCTAGAAAACTGTTGCTTCAATGTATCCTTTGCAGAGGATAGGTGGGAATTCACTCTTCAACTGCTTTCTATAATTAGGTAGAAGAGTTCTGAGATTTTACAGGTATTATATCACATTAACAGATCTATTTGATTGCTCACTTGTATTGGATCAAGGGTTATGAGACAGCTATGGTTTGATTTTAAAAAAGCATTATGAAGAGATCCATTTGCTTAATCATCTATGTGTCTATTGCACATCTAGTAAGTGCTGGAGACTTTGTCTACAGTGCTGTATTAGAAGACATGAACCTTGCCTTTCTTTCATGATGCTTATACTCACGTTGTGTGTGTGTGTGCCAGCATGTGTGCTCATGTGTGCACATCATAAGGGTATCTTGGTCCATTCAGGCTCCTGTAACAAAATGCCTTAGGCAGGGCAATTGATCAACAACAGAAATGTATTGCTCACAGTGCTGGAGACTGGAAAGTCCAAGATCAGGACATCTGCAGATTTGGTGTCTGGTGAGGACTTGCTCCCTGCTCCTCAGGTGATGCCTTGTTGCTGCGTCCTCACATGGTGAAAGGGGCAAGGTGGCTCCCTGGAGCCTCTTTTTAAAGGGCACTAATCCGATTCACGAGGGTGAAGCTCTCATGACTTAATCACTCCCCAAAGACCCCACTTCTTAACACTATCACATTGGGTATTAAGTTCCAACATATGAATTTAGGGGAAAATATTAACATTCAAACCATAGCAAGGTGTAGAAAATAAGTTAACAGCAAAAATGTGCATATGTGTATACACATTGTGACTATTAACTATGCTGGAGAACTATTAAAACACCTGATTTCTGTTCCTAAATTGCCAGTTGACTTGCTGTGGACCTTGGGTAAGTCATCCTTTTTTCTCTTGACCTGTTTTTATTTTTCACCTAAAGAATGAGATTGTTTTTCTCAGGCTGCATTAGACATATCTGAGTGTTTTGGATTGAGCATCTATTAGGTTAATAATCAGAAAAAAGACAGTAAAGACTAAGAAGATGAAGACAAAGAAGAAGAGGAGGAACTGAAGAAGGTGGAATTCCAGCCAGGATCTTCTGTGGTTTGTGCATCTGAAATTCTGCTGATTTTCCTGCACTCAGCTGGATTTTTGCATATTGTTTATTATTTTGAGGTCTAGGCAACGGAGAATATGTTCTCTTATCTAATGAGCCTAATTTTTATACACAACAAATTGTGATCCTCACATTTGTGGGGGGCAACAGAGTTAAAGAGACGCATTTCTACCTCAATAAATGAACGACAGTTTAGATGCTAAGCTGAGTTTATATTTGTCCTGGCTTGGAGCACACTTTCCTTCTTTCTGCTGCTTCTTCAGAACTGTTTTTATCTTGGTATTTAAATATCCAAGTGTTTAAATATCTTATGTTTAAATATCTTATTCCTTGTGTTTAAATATCTTATTCTGACTTTCCTGGCTTTTGTGTTTCAAGCAAGTTGTTTGAACATCTTTTTTTGGTTTAAAATTCTTTAAAAATGCCATGTGATTTCACTGATCTTACCAGAAACCAATAAAAACACATTACTTTAAAAATAACTCTCATAAAACCTCTTACTTGTGAAAAGCTTTCATTCTAATAAAAGTGGAGCTAACCAAAACCTTTTAAAACTGCTTGCAGGCATACAAGGGACTTGGCATGTCCAGATTGTACTACCTCTAGTGGTGATGAAGATACCAGATCTCTATTCTGTCTGTAGGAATGTTGGTCCAAGACAAATTAACTCACCTACTTTAGAAAAGAAAAATCTAATATATGAGACTAGTAACACCCCAATGAAGGCCACGCATGCTGCATTTTGCCAATATAGCCACTGGGATTCTACAATCTTTTCCATTGTGTGTGAGGTTGTGGTTGATTTTTCCCCCTTTCCTTTTAGTTTCCTAAATATAGAATTAATGGGTTGTAGGGAAAGTCAACAATTGTTCTTACTTGAGTTTGGAGAGTGGAAAGAAAATATCCCTCTTTCTGCAGGCTTCAAAATTCCCTTTGGGTTGGTTGCCATCATGTGCCAGTTTCATTTTCAGATTAGACTCATGACAACAACTGTAAAGTCTGCGATGACAAGACGACGGAAAATGGTGTCAGTGATACAGGGGAGGGGAGAGGGAGTGGCTTCCATGTCAGTCTTTGATTAGCTGTGCCAGGTTGGCTGCCCCAAACTTCCTGGTGGAAGATTTTCAAAGTGCAGACTCATGGGCTGCTATTTAGAGAGGTCTGAACTGGGGCTCCAGATTTTAAATTGTTTTCATTTTTCCTAAAAAGATGCTCACATGACTCAAATGTGCAGCCAGTTTGAGAACCAGAGGTGTAAAAACAAAACCCAGCAACAATGAAAAATAAATAAATAAACAGTTTCCATCCAAGAAACATGAAGGAGAAACAATTTGCTGATGGATCAGCACTGCTTACACCAGCCCTCTCCAGGATGTATCCTTTGGATCATGAGAGCCTGGAGAAAAGGAGCTGTGGCCAACTAAATATGGGAAAAGTTCCAAGCTATATCTCCCTCTCCCAGATTCCCTGGTTCTCTAAAGAGTATATAAAATGTACCAGGATGATTTCTACTGAAGACTTGTTTAGTGCTTAGACGATGTTTGTGTGCTTCTCAGATGAACTTGACCATAGAACCACTTCTGCTAATTAAGTGTTAACATCTTTCAAGGAATGCAATTTTCCTAATGCCCTGCTGGTGAGTTGTGACAGTGCCATTCCTCCCACAAGGAAGGACTAGGGCACTTTCTTGAGTGACTCCCAAAATGCATCTTGAGAACAACTTTCATTCCCTCAGAGCCCAACCCTCTCCATGTTTCAAGTGGGCGATCTGGAGGGGAGTTCTCTGTATTCCTTAATAAGAGAGAAGTCACTTTATTTTGCTTTATGTTTATGGCTGAAGGTGTCAATCAAGACACTTCAGAAATGTCACCCCACCTCCACAGAACTGTTGCTGTTCAGGAGGCCCACGCTGCTCTGCAGAGACTCTCGGAACATTCAGAGGTTCCCCTCATCAGCAGACAGGTGGGAACCAAAACATGTTTCTTCTGTGTAGTTGCATGTCAAATTCATCTGCTCTGTCTGGTAGTCAGCGAGCGTGACAGCAAATGGCTTGCAATGACTGATGATCTACTATGTGCCAGAAGCAGCACCTGTATCACTTCTAATTTTTATAATGCCCCACAAATCAGCCCCCAATTTATAGAAGAGAAAACCAAGGCTTAGCAAAATTAACTTGCCCACTTGGTAAGTGACAGAATGAGCTGGTTGCCTTTCAAACCAAGGCTCTTTTCTTTCCAAACAAGCCTCAAAAAGACCATTTTTCTTTATCTTTCCACATAAGAGTTTCTCCTTCCATTTTCTTCCCCATTTCCTTAGGTTTCCATTGATTTTCTTTGGTTATCTTGAAGACAGAGAGAATGTGAGAGTGGAGTCATTTTTCCCCCTCTGGGCTCTTATTTCAGTGACATCAGGCATTTTACTTTCCAAAGAAGATCGAGATGTTAAAAAGCGTGGGTCCAAGTTGGGCCAAAAAAAGCACTGATCCAAGTTGGGCCAAAAGCTCAAAGACCATATTCTTCTAATTCCATAAGGCCCTACATGCACAACAATAAGTTTGTTTAGTTTTGGTAAAGCACGATAGCCCGCAGAAGAGTCAGCGATACATGTTCATGTTGCTCTAAGGAATCTCTTTTCAGAAATTTGCTTTTCATTTGTTCTGTCTACCCAAACCCAGGCCTTGCCCATATTTACACCTGGAAAACCCAATATTCTCTATATGCTTCCAAAGTGATATCTATTCCTAGGTCCAGATGCTTGGATTCCAGTTGGCTCTTTCTAGAAATAGGGTGGAGTCAACACTGGCCGTGAAGGAATCTGGTCTCCCAGCAGGTCACTGTTTGGAAGAGCAAAAGCGGGAAGAGGTGAAACTCCAGGTGGTCATTATGAGCCTTTTTTTGGGAAAAGAGTAGTGGGTATCCCAGACTCATTTTCAGGGAACACAAAGACAATTCTCAAGGCTGAGTGTCATTGTTCCTGCTGGGCCATAGCATCAGCCTCATTTGCTCCTCTAGACCCAGAACCACCAGTGATAATTCTGGACCTCCTAAAGTTCTCTGAATGGTGCTATTGAAGGAAGCACCAGACATCAGTGTTGCTTATTTTTGTTGTTGTTGTTTGGGCTTTTTTGTTTTGTTTTGTTTTTGTTTTTTGAGACAGGGGCTTACTCTGTTGCCCAGGCTGGAGTGCAGTGGTGTGATCACGGCTCACTTTCATCCTCCTGGGCTCAAGCGATCCTCCCTGCTCAGCCTCCTGAGTAGCTGGGATTACAGATGCATGCCACCATGCTCAGCTAAGTTTTGTATTTTTTATAGAGATGGTGTCTCACTATGGTGCCCAGGCTGGTCTCAAACTCCTGGGCTCAAGGGAACTGCCCATCTTGGCCTCCCAAAGTATTGAGATTACAGGTGTGAGCCATGGCACTTGACCCAGTGTCGTTTATTTAAAAACAAGTAAATATGTCTGGGATCAGTGGCTCATGCCTGTAATCCCAGCATTTTGGGAGGCTGAGGTGAGTAGATCACAAGGTCAGGAATTCCAGACCAGCCTGGCCAACATGGTGAAATCCCACCTCTACTAAAAATACAAAAATTAGCCAGGCATGGTGGCAGACACCTGTAATCCCAGCTACTCCGGAGGCTGAGGCTGGTGAATCGCTTGAACCCGGGAGGTGGAATTTGCAGTGAGCCAAGATTGCACCACTGCACTCTAGCCTGGGCAACAGAGTGAGATTCCATCTCAGAAAAAAAAAAAAGTAAATATTTCCTCAAATCCTATTTCTTACCACTTACCTAAAAATTATACTGATTCAAAACAAAAGTGGAACTTTGGTCATTGTTTCTGAGAGTGTGAATGTGAAACTGACTGATAATGTCACAGCTTCCCATTGACATGGAGAGGGGAGGCGCCATGAATCCTGGCACTTAGGAGGAGGATTAGCACCTCTGGTCCAGGTCTTCATGGAAGGCCCTGCTCTGCCTCCCAGGGAACACTCTGGCTGGGTTGCTGCTTTAGCTAGCAACAGGGAGTTTTGGGCTCTGCGTTCCTTCCATGCTGACACCTGTCATTTTTGCCACCCAGAAGCTGGCAAGTTGAGTTGAGTCTCTTCGGCTTGTGTGTTGTGGGAGCCTCCAGAATCCCAGCACATCTTCCATGTTTCTTGACTTTCTTGTTAACACAGGTTTTGAAGGCCTTAAAAAAAAACTAAATATATTTCTTGTTCTCAACAAACAGCTTTTCAAATGACTATTATTTATTCATTAGTATTACATTCAGAGTGCCGCGCTTCATGTTACTTGGAGAAATAAATGAAAGAAAAGCAATATCTCTCTAAATCCCCAATTTACAGCTTTCGGGGAGCCTGGAACAGTTCTATCGTAAAGCTCTGTCCTGGCTGGCCCAGCATATCTCTCTCCACTGTTTATATGTCTCTTTATCACTCTATCTGCCCAAGATGGACCAACCTAGTCATTTTGTGGGCTCAACAAATATCTTGATCCATTTTGTGAATGTTTTCAGCTTGGCTAAAACTTAAAACACATTTTCCCCAAGCACTTTTTCCTCTTAATTTTTAAACTCGTATATTTTAAGGAAAATTTAGCCCATGTGTTTCTCATTATTCCTGATTCATTTGCACTTAACTCATCAAAATGTTGCTCTGCAAAAGTTGTTTGCTTTCCAAGAAGACTCCTGAAGCTCTTTTTTTTTACATTCAGCCTGCCCCCATCTTTTGTCTCTTCCTTCCTTTTTTTTTTCCCTTCAGAGGCACAGTTTTCTTAGAAACAGGAATTTTTGCCCCCGGCAGCAGATCTATTGGCACATCATAGGAAAAGCTGACCCTGGTGTGGACTCAATCTTCTAGCTCAGTCGTGCCTGGCTATCCCTTCATAGCATTTGTGTTCAGGAGAAGCGTGTGCTCATGCAGTGAGGAATGGTCATTTTCTGTTCTGTTGACCAGAAAATAAATGTTGAGCACTAGCAAAAACCAACCATTTAGGATGTAAACTTTAGAGCTTTTTAGGTTTAACCAGATATTAAACTCATTGAATTTTACTTTTCTCATCTGTAAAATAAGGGCAACAATAGTACCTGTTGCATAGTGAGGATTAATTGATATACTGTACATAAGGCAGGGCAATACATGACAAGCACATTGTAAGTGCTCAATTATTACCTTTTTGATTTTACATGAATTTTCCCAGAATCACACACCTCTTCTCCATGAGATGCTCAGGATTCTTTATTTAGGTTATCCCAGAAATAGACCCTGAGTCCAGGATTCAAGTGCGGGTAATTGGTTCACATGATTTTAGAGACTTGGTGAGTACAAAACCTGATGAGACTCAGGAAAGAGTTGAAGTTTGAGTCCAGGGGCAGTTAAGAGCTATTGTTATGGGTCAGGTCCAAAGTCAGTCTACTGGACAATTCCCTCTTGCTTGGGGGAGGTGACTCTTTTGTTCTATTCAGGCCTTCAGTGGATTGAATGAGGCCCATCCACATTCTGGAGAACAATCTGCTTTACTCAAGGTCCATGATTTACATGTAAATCTCATCCCTTACTCATCCCTCATAAAAAACATCCAGAATAATGTTAGACCAAATATCTGAGTACCATAACCCAGCCAAGTTGACACATAAAATTTACCATCACGAGAAGTAAGACAGGGAGTGAAAAGAAGCCAAAAATCAGGCAATATTAAGCAGGCTGCCTCTCTGGGTAACTGGAGTTTCATCTCCCCGTGCACCCACATTCAGGCATTGGCTGAGAGCTGCTCCTGCATGGATTCCAAACTCTGCTCTTTTGTCCTGTTGCACACACAGGCAGAGTGGCTCTGCCACTCCCAAAGAAAGCCCTTAGATAAATGAAGACAGATGCTGATGGTTGAAAGTCACGCACATGTGCTAGGAAATGATATGGGGCCAGAAGACCAGGCAAGGCAGGTACAGTATTCACCACAAGGTCCCTTCATCTTTCAGTCTCTGATTGATACAGTCAGGCCTCCCTCTCTTTCTCACACTTGAACTTCTCACAACTTACAAGTCAGATAGCAAATATGCTCAAGTTTATCAGCAACAAATCCAGAAGAGGTTCTTAGAGAGAGTCTCTGGGTCTCTGTGTACAGAGAGAGAGAAGCAGGTACAAGTCTTAGTTTAGGAAGTTGGTGTTGGCTAGAAGCATGCTTTACATTCACATATGTATTGCGCATAAATAAACATTGCCAATATCCTAGTCTAAATTGGCATGAAGGGCCCATTCAAGAATAAATAATGGTTTTATTTGGCTTCAAAAAACAATAAAATACATTTTATTAGAAGTTCATTAACTCTGAAATAACTAAAAGCAAAAAAAAAACACGTAAGAAATATAAAAGTTGTCCCATAAGAAAAGTATATTACTAATTTGTTTTTTTAAACACAAAGTTTAAAATATTATAACAAAAAATACTGTGTCTAGACTTTATTCTTAGCTTAGCTAACTCGCAGAATCCATGCAGGGTCATTTTGTTAAAAACAGCTTTATTAACATTTAAATGATCATTGAAAATAATCAGTGGATACCTTTTCATAGCACTGAAATACCTTGGTTTAAATCCTAGCTCTACCCTCTCCTGGCTGTGTGACCTTGGAAAAACTAATTAACCTCTCTGAGCCTCCATTTCCTTCTATAAAATGAGGATAATATAAGAAGTTCCTACTTCATGTAGTTGCGAAAAAAAATTGTGAGTCAGAACATGAAAAGCATTTACAATAGAGCATGGAACATACTAAAAGCTCATGAAAGTCTAAGCTATTGTAATTAGAATAAAGATGCAAGAGTTTGAGTCCAGTGACCCCAGTTCAAAACCTGACTCTTCCATGTACTTGTGTGACCCTGGGGAAGTCACTTCATTTCCTGGGGCTTTCATCATCTTGCCTATAAGATGGTCATTTTTGCCCACCTGTCTCTCTCATGGGGTCAAATAAGTTCCTGAATGAGCAAGCATGTGGTCTCTAGGGCTTCCTTTGCTCTTTGCACTACATTTTGACATTCTTTTGGAATATCTCTCACCCACTTGTCAATCTTAGAAGTTTCTACACATTGGTTGGTTTAGATGAACCAACATCTAAAGTGACAATCTAGCAAATGGGATGACATGGTATAGTCCTGAGAAAGAACCCCTATATAGCCAGAAATACCTAAATGTGCATAGCAAGGATTTAAGCCCATAAGTTTTGCTGGTAAACTTTAATTTTTTCTAATTTTCTTTCTGAAAATGTCCAAACATGTAGCAAAGTTGAAACTAATTGTAAAATAAACCATATACCTACCACCTAGACTCTAACATTAACATTTTTCCATACTTGCTTTATTGCATATCTACCCATCTATCTACCAATTGAGGTTTTGCATTTTGAATTCAGAGTTGGAAGCTGCCTGTCAGATATGGTGATTATCCATCTTCTGTTCTCTGAGCAATCCTAGTTCCAGTGTATACTATGGACTCTATAGACCATTTGAATGCATCGGGGATTCTCATAGGTTGCATTCAAAAGCATCTCATAGATTTCCTTTTAGATTCAGTCAGAAGAGACCTATAAGAATCTTATTTAGACCCTTATGTCGTTTGGCTCTATGTCCCCACTCAAATCTCACCTTGAATTGTAATAATTCCCGTGTGTTATGGGAGGTACCCAGTGGGAGGTAATTGAATCATGGGGATGGGTTTTTCCCATGCTGCTCTTGTGATTGTGAATAAGTCTCACAAGATCTGAAGGTTTTATAAAGAGGAATTCCCCTGCACATGCCCTCTTCTCTGCCACCATGCAATACATGACTTTGCTCCTCCTTTGCCTTCCACCATGATTGTGAATTCTCCCCAGCCCTGTGGCACTGTGGGTCAATTAAACCTCTTTCATTTGTAAATTACCCAGTCTTGGGTATGACTTTATTAGAAGCATGAGAATGGACAAATACAGACCCCATCACTTTATTTTTCTTTGAAAAATGTAGTTGGCATTGTTAAATTAGCTAGTGCAAATCATTTATTTTAGCTCAAGGACAGAGAGGCTTGGAAGTGATTGACCTTTGATCTCATAGTCCATGCTAAAATCATAACTGGAATTGAGGCATGCTGACCCCAAAGTGATTATGTGATAAAATTGTCTCCCTGTCGATTCTCTAATAGTCTTATTAAGGTTTTGCTGCACTTGATTTGGCTTAAAAATTTTTGACCCAACTAACTCCACATGAAAAATAATTGTTAAATACTGCTTTTACACACCACAGTTAAAATGTTTCTTAAATATCCTTAATTTTTCCTTTACAAAAGAAGGTCTTGGGAGAATGTGTTTTCAGTTTACATACTGAGAAACTGAGGCATTGGGGGATAAACAACCCTGTTGGAACTCTGGATCTGCATTTTCTCAAGTCCCATTATATGAGATTCATTCATTCATTTATTCATTATTTATCAAATATTAAGATTGCACCTACTATGTGTACTGTTCTTGGTACTGAATATAATGCTGAACAAAACAGACTAGGTTTCCTTCTTTTCTAATGATGCTTACTGTCTAGAAAAGAAAGTAACAATAATAAAAAAGTGAATAATTCACTAATATTTTCTTAGAGACTATAAAAAATAAGAGAGATAATAAGTGAATGATTGGGAATAAGTGACTAGTTCAGATAGGGGTTAAAAGATTTCTTTTGAGCAAGTGAGATAATAAATTAATCATTTATAGAGTGGGCAGAGAGAACCACAATTGCAAAGGCCACAGACTGAGCCAGTATTGGAGGTGGAGCTGGTGAGAATGGTGAGAGTTTTCAGAGAAGACCCTTTCTTTTTTTTTGAGGGAGTGCATGGTCTTGGTGAGAGAAGGGAGCAAAAAACTGATAGGGGCTGGGCACAGTGGCTCACCCCTGTAATCTCAGTACTTCTAGAGGCCGAGGCGGGTGGATCATTTGAAGTCAGGAGTTCAAGACCAGCCTGCCAACATGGTGAAACCCCATCTCTACAAAAAATACAAAAATTTGCTGGGCATGGTGGCATGCACCTGTAATCCCAGCTACTCAGGAGAATTGCTTGAACCTGAGACGTGGGGGTTGCAGTGAGCCGAGATCACACCATTGCACTCCAGCCTTGGTGACTGAGTGAGACTCCAACCCTCCCCCCACTGCAAAAAAAAACCTGATAGGAACAGGACTATATGACCACAATATGGTAAAGAATCTGAATTACAATGTCCATCATTCATATTTTTTTAAGTAAAACATTCTTTTTAACATAATCTCATACCACCTTTACTTTACCATCATCTATATAAGCAGTCCATTATGGCATGCATCCTTTGCCCATGCCAACTTGAAACTCCTTTTGGACATAGACTGTATGTATCTGAATTAATATTGTATTCCCACTTAGGAAGGTGCCTGGCACACCATAGGTGTTCAGTAAGATTCAACTGAATTCAAGTAGGCAGGTCAAACACTCATGGGGTCATTAATTTGTCCAGATGGACATTCAATTCTGCAGAAGTGTCAGAGATACCCAAATTTTGCTTCCATAGTTTTATTAAATATAAACTAAATGTACAAGCAAGGAGGAAAGGTTAGTTTACAAATTTTGCTTCTGGAACTCAAGGACTCTGAAAAATAGTACTTAGTTAACTTTCAGTCCTCCAGAGAAGATTTTTTTTGGAAAATAATGCCAAAGGGATCTTGTGGCACACAGCCTTCTAACATGACTCCCAGAAATCCGCATCTCCTGGTGTTCATGCCATTGTGTAATTCCCTTCCATTGAGTGGGGACTGGATTTAGTGACTTACTTCCGATAAGTAGAATACAGCAGATGTGATGTGATACTACTCCTGAGCTTTGGTTATAAAAGATTATCATTTCTATCTTTCTGGCATCCCCTCTCTGGCTCTTATGGTGTGCTTGCCCTAAAGGAGAGGGCCATTGGCAAGGAACTGAGGTGGCCTTCGATCAACAGCCCACAAGGAATGGAATCCTGCCAATAACAATCAAGTAAGTGGGCTTGGAAGTAGATCTTGCCCCTGTCAAGCTTTCAGATGAGGCTGAAACCTCAGTCAGTACCTAGATTGCAAGCTTGTGAGAGACCTTGACACAAAGGACCCAGCTAAATTGTGCCCAGACTTCTAATTCATGAGCACTGTGAGACAATAAATGTTGTTGTTTTAAGTCACTAAGTTTTGGGGTAATTTTCCAGGCAGTGATAGAAAATAAATTCAGCTCTAATAAAGCACTGATAAGATGCACATGAGATTTACTAACCTCTGAAATAGGGAAGACTCACCCATGTAAGCTGCAAGGGTTTAATCTCCTTTCATCCATTTATAATTCATGCTTGGAAGTGCCTGACATCTGGGGCACAGCACGTTTACTTCCAAATAAGTAGAATCCTCATGTTGGTACTACCCTCAACATCTCTATGCACCTCTGTATTTTCTATAACTGGTCAGGGAGACCGATAAAATCCCTGCTGCTTGAAAAAGTAAGTCACAATAAAATACCATGTTGAATATACCCCTTCAAAGCACTAATGGACATCTTAAGAGGAAAAATCTTTGTGGGAATGGAGGCTCCTGCATGTGTATGCGTGTGTGTGTGCATGCACATGTCTGTGAGATGTATGTGTGAATCTCTGTGTGCCTGAGAAGTGAGAAGAAGAATGACTCTATCTGTGCACTTCTATGTTTTTCAAACACATTCAGTCTGCCTTCCAACTGCCCTTCCTGCCAGATGTTGACATGTAAATTTTGGCTTCAAAAATGAGAAGGCCAAGCTGATCCAAACAAATTTAGCTCAATGAGCCAGAGTCAAATTACCCAAAGGTTAGAAGTGACCCCTTATCCAGAGAGATCCAAGCACTGCACTACTATTTGCTACAGGGCTGCCCAGGGAGCTAGTCTAACATGCATTTCTGGCATTGGTATTGTTTCAATTACTAGACCATTCACATCTCAGCTGACACATGCAATGAAGCTTGCTCCTTGCCTGGTACATAATTTAAGGTAAAAAGAAAAGAGGGTGTGTTTCATCATGGTCTATCATATCTTTGTCTTTTGTTCTGGGAGGTATTTGCATACCTAAAGGGAAATGGCCTCTTTAATTTCTTTCCCTTCTCCTAATCAGCTGAGGCCTATTAAGAAGTGCTCTGTATCCTGTAATCAGACAATTTATACAGCATGCACCCTTAGGCAACAGCTATTATAAACAAGCTGGAGAAATCCTTTACAATAAATGATTAGCATGGGAAGACACCATTCATAATTAATTTTTTTTTCTGTTTTTGTTGGCAGATGGTCCGAGGCATCCAAGCATGGCCTATTGCCTGTGTCTTTATTCTGAACAGAACAGGGCAGCCTTGGGAAAATGCTGGCTGCTCAGCTAGCTCACTTAAAAAAAATCACGTAAGCACTCCCTCTGCTCCTCTTATTGGTGTTCAAGGCTTGAAGAGAGCTTTAGGGAAGGGTGTCTAATGGATCACATGACTGTACCTACTGGTCCTTTTCCTGCCTTGTTAATTACAAGGTGTTATGATCTTCACCACAGATTGATTACATAAAGGGGATCATTTCTTCATCCCCACCATTTGCCATGTAACTTTGTCATGCCCTGTATCTCTGACTCTGGCCTCTGTCATTGACTTGCTGTGCCAATGTTAGCAAATGTGAAGCACACACAGGCTTGAATAGCACTGTGCAACGGGACTTGTTAACACTTACCTTCTACTGTTGCTACATGAACATGCCCAGGCTAGCCTGATGGATGATGAGAGACATGTGGAATAGAGCAGAGTCACCACATTCATCTCAGCTGAGACCTTTCTAGATGGGTCAACAGCCCTCTACCCCCAGACGTGTGAGCCAGCCCAGCCAAGATCAGCCAAGTCCAACCTGAATAATTGAACACTGAGGTCTTGTTGCAGAATAAAAGTGTATTATTGTAACCCACAGTGGCTTTATGATTTTTAATTATGCAGCAGTATTGTGGCAGCAGATAATTGATACAGCCCTCAAATGGATAATCTCTTTGGGTATGGAGAAACAGGATTTGGAAACCCATAAGTGTAAGCCTTCATATATGGGTAGAACAGGTTTCTTGCTCACAAGAGACACCAACTTAAATTGAAAAGAAAGTGGTTTTGGACTAGTGCTAGGTACTGGTGCATAAACCCATGTATATACGCACAGGCTCTTGAGGGGTCAGTGAAAGAAGCTGCTGAAATGTCACTCGTAGAATGGGCTTCAAACAGGAGTGGGATTTTCTCACCTTCATCTAACTCCCTGCTGTTCTTTAATGCAACTCTCCTAAGCCCCCAGCATCCAGGTGTTCCTTTTGCCATTTATGATGCTGCTTCTCTCCTACTTTGGGATACCCTCCCTCTTTTCTGTTCATCATTATCCCCCTGATGCTAACCCATTGAATGGCTCTATTTTCCTCTTCTCTGCAGTACTTTTAGGTTTTCAGCATCTGTGTTACATGCACTAGGCTTTGGTTTTATATGATTACACATCAGACTGCAACTATTCTACATCTAATCCCTTAATTAATCTATAAGCTCCTGAGAGGAAAGCTATGGTACTAAATGCTTTCACAGCGTAAGGCCAAAGTAAATGCTTTTGGCACTAAGTAAAGGTTTCACATATATTCATGCCTTGATTGAGGTGGAACAGGAGACCTACTAGTGATATTTAATAGAATGCTACCAATTTCTTCTGTCTGACTGAAAGGCTCATAGATTCTAAGCCATTCCTTTCCAGAAACATCTTTAAGAACCATGCTGCAATTGCTTGTTGATCAAGGCTTGTCTAACTATGGTCCTGCTTGAAGGCAGAGAAGCCATTTCTATTCATCCAACCAACCATTCAATAAATAGTTAATAGGTTCCTTCTATGTAGAGGAGATCTCTATTATGTAAGGATAAGTGATAGAAGAGAAAGACTTGAGTATAAATCCACTGAAAATCAAGGACCAAAATTTTATAAGAGTGAATAAAGTAAAATGATCTCATTGGGTCTGCATATTGATTAAAATGAAACAAATAATTTATTTTACCTTATATTTAGCAAAATATAGACTATAAACACAACAATTTGTTAACTCTGAGAATGAACAAAGAATGAATCAAAGGATGAGATTTTGGCATATTTTTTGACATCCCTTACCTAACCATTGATCTTTATTGAAATTTTAAAAAGTCATGTTAATTACCCTGACTTGATTATTACACGTGGTATATATGTTTCAAATTATCCCATGATACCCTGTAAATGTGTACAATTATGTATCAATTTAAAATAATAAAAGACAAGTGATTTTTTGGAGTGAAAATATTTGAGAACTTCCTCAGTTTCCCCAAAGACTTCTATTAACCCTTTAATATTTAAATCACTAATGAAAACCCTTTTCCTGACATTTATTGTTGATTTTTTTCTTCTTTCATTGTTGTGTTCAATGAAACACATTTATTTGTTGTATTTGTTGGTAGTTTTGTGTGTGTTCCCTCCCAGTGGCCTCTACTATCCTTTTCATCAACTTTGTGGAATCTGTGAATTAACTTTGCCTGGGGCTTACTTTGTATTTTGCATTTTAGCTGAAGACTTCCTCCAAATGGTTCATAACTGATAGGAGGGGATGGTTGCTAGTGTTAAGCAAGACGGGACAAAGGAGTGGAGACTGAACTTGTAAGTTGCTAGAATATTACTTTGGAATATTTTGAGATTTTGATGTTTATGAGGTTCCCTATGAAACTTTGTAACTGCATGCACTTAGACAATAAAAACCTGAATGACAAGATCCCAATATAAGGCTAATTGATTAGGAACTATGAGGGAGGTAAATACTAAATCTGAAGTCAGGACATCTGGGTTGTAGCCTCCATCAAGTCAAGAGTCTTGTGTTCAAGCCAGTTCCCTCACTTTTCTTTTCTATCATGAAAAGCCTCTAGCTCCCCTGACTACTTTTTATGTTCTTTCAGCAATCAGATAAACCCAATATTTAAACTGTAAGGTCCTTGGCTATGGAAGGTGACTGGAGAACCATTGATCCCTGCATTTTATAGGAAAAGCAAGGGCCCATTGGAACCTGTTGCTGTTGGTAAGAGTCTTGCTATTGGTAAGAGACTTGCTATTGGTAAGAGACTTTCTCTTGTGTCTGGCTGTGGAACTCCTCTAATAGAGTGTTTGAGATTCCAGATTTGGCTTCTTGGCACCCTTTTGTGTGACCAGGAAGGAATGCCTCCTTCATACCCTGTCTTTTGTCGCCTCTTCTGAGAGGCACAGACTCTTGGCTATAACTTAACCTTCTCTTTCTTGGCAAGTGATTGTCCTGCTGTCACTTGGGCTTCTATAGCCAGCAGTATTATAGAAAGGTTCAGTTTTAGCTGCTTCTGGCATTTCTAAGTGGTAATAAAATAGGCCCTCTAAGACCCCAGGCAAACGTCTAAAGTGCGGCATCCAAAATAAAAAATAAAAACCCTTTTCTTTGACAGATTCAACTCTTGTTTTAAAGCCCCTAGACTGTTATATTCCTAAGAGAAGTTCCTCTCTCTTATCATCTCTGCCAATATAATAGCAGGAAAGAAAATCTGTGCTCTCTTCACTCCAGGACAGTTACGACCTATTGGAGAACTTTGTCTTAGGGGTTCCTTGGGGAGAACAGTATGATCCTTTGCAAACACCAATCAGAAGAGGAAGACCTTACATTTTAAAAGCTTTGTATAGCTTATCTCATTTTATTCTTATAATGATTTTATGATATATGTAGTGTATGATTGGTTTATATTTGGTTGGAAGTGACATAAAACCTGATTCAAAATAGATCAGGCAAACGTGAATTTGTATGTAGAAATGGCTTCAGTCTGAAATGATCCAATCTCAGGTTCAGATTCATCGTATTTTTGGGTGGCTCTGTTCTACAAGTTCCTCTCTTTGTAGCAAATAGCTATACTAGTTCAAAGCATCACATCTTCATAGAACCAAGCCAAGCCCTCTTTTATCCAGCCTGGAGTTTACTTCTACTGGATTGCGCCAGTGGTGTGCTTGTCCCTTAAGCTGATTGTGTAGATTTCTTCCTGGCTTCAAGTTCAAGGATGTCATGTTGGTAGCTCAACATCAGCCATAGTGGGAATATTTAGGCCATAGAAATTGGCAATTGCTGAAAATAAGGCTTTTATTATTTACAGAGCCAGTTGTCAAACATTTGTCAGCACACCTGTTTGTACCCAACTTTTAAGATTTACCAGAAAAATGGGCTTATGCCATTCATAGGTGGCTTAGGTACTAGAAGTGAAGTTCAATCTCAATCAAATTACACATCTAAAAAGGAGGTAAGATGGTGACCCAAAATATATTCAGGGCACTCTTACCAAGGAAGAGGGGTAATGGATGCTAGCCCTAAACAACAGATACTTTATTTTCCACAGAAGGAAAAAATGCTGGCTCTGTATTTTCGATGAAGCAGCTGAGACTCAAGTGCTACTCAGGCTTTCAGTGGAGGAAGTGCTAGATCTGACACTAGAACCCAATTCTTCTGCATGTCAGTTTCATTGTTCTTTCTTCTACACACTTCACTATTCTTACCTGACCTCTCCAGGGTCTGCCTAACATGGAGATTGCCAAGCCTGGGGATGATATGAGTCATTTCCTACAAAATCCTTTACCAAGTGATATCCAAACAGCATTGGGATATCACTGCTGAATGGTGGCATTTCTCTGCCTGCATTTCTTTACTGACATTGAATTCAGACTAACTTCCCCTCTCTTTTTCTTTTTTGGCAGGCTCTCTTTACAAGGTGAATTTAGACATATGAGCACTCCAGGAGGAGATCTGATTTGACAAACATGTCTAGAAAGAGGAAAAGCAAGCACTGGCATTAACTTGGCTTCCACTGAGACTAGGCTCCATTAGTGAACTAAATGTTGGTATTCTGGGAAAAGCCAGCTTGTTACTGGAAATTTTAATTCTTTGAAAAAAATGGCATTAGATTTGCCTTTGGTTGTTGCATTCCAAGAGCTCTTGCCTATGAAACCTTTCTTGATCATAGAGTGCAGCAAGTCTACCAGAATGTTCAATTTATCTGCTACCAGTCATCATTTCTTGCCCTGGCAGACATTGCTAATCAATCTGATGCTGACTCAGCTCACATTTAAACTAAGATTTCCTGAGATGATTCTGTATGCAACCACTACCAACTGATGAGTGCTGACATGAATATGAAACCTGTTTGAACTCCTTGTGCTTTTATGGTGTGTACTTTACAATGAACTCTGATCTATTCACTACCATTGAGTTTTAGTGGCATTTGATAATGTTGCACTTGATTATATTGTTATAGTATCCTCTTTTTTGATTCAAATCTGTTAAAAATTGTTTATCTCCAAAACGTTTAAGTACCTAGGGCACTTGGACTGTGTTTTATACTACTTTGTGACCTTCCCAGTGTCAAGATGGGTACAGACTAGATGCTCAATAAATATTTGGGTGATTAATTACCTAAGGAATTAGGATTAATCACCTAAAGGATTCTTTGGTTGATAAACCTAAGGAATTCAATAGAATGGAAGTCTAGGAAAAACTTTGCTTGCATGGAACTATCAAAGTAAAGCTTTGGACTGTGAATAATTCAGTCAACCTGCAAGCCTCGATTATCTGCTCCGAGTTTGTGAAGACCATTGCTGTTGTCCCCGAGGTGTATTGATAAGTTAACATGATCGTAACTCTCAAGATGTTTATGGTTCAGTACCAGGAGCAAGAGAGATAAGTGTGATCATCAGAATTGTAGAAATATAAAAGTGGTGCAGAGGAGAAAGACTGAGATGAATGAAGTTGACAAGGATAACAGGTTGAACACTCCATAGTGGAAAGAGGCAGTGAGATGGGAAATTATTCCATAAAGCTTCCTTCAAAGAGTGTCAGCAAGATGCAATGCCAATGGAATAGAAAAATCTTTAGAATCACAGTGTCATATTTGAGGGACCTTTGACTTTACATGAAATTACCACTGCATGAGTACAGCAACACTTTAATCTTGGATATTCCTTTATTATTTATTCATCCAACCTAGCTTGCATAAATATTTCCTTGGGCTTTTTTGTTTTTCCATGTTTGTTGGCACTGATTTTTCAGCAAAGGAGCCTCTTAGACTGAATGTGCTGTTAAACTGTGGCCTCCTAGGCCTAACCCACTTGATAGCCTGCAGTTTGTGATGGTACCTCTGCTGCCCACTCCAACCACATCCCCTTCTTCTACCTGCCTGATCCACCCAGATCCCCTCTGATTAATTATTCACACCTATATATCTTCAACTTCCATTAGGACCTCCCTCACGTTGTGGTGCTTCTTTACCCGCAAAATGCAGAGCCCTGGCCGGGTGCGGTGGCTCACGCCTGTAATCCCAGCACTTAGGGAGGCCGAGGTGGGCGGATCACGAGGTCAGGAGATGGAGACCATCCTGGCTAACATGGTGAAACCCCGTCTCTACTAAAAATACAAATAATTAGCTGGGAGTGGTGGCGGGCGCCTGTAGTCCCAGCTACTCGGGAGGCTGAGGCAAGAGAATGGCGTTAACCCAGGAGGCGGAGCTTGCAGTGAGCCGAGAATGAGCCACTTTGATCCAGTAGGAATGCAGGCCGAGGGCTTCCCCTACAGGGTCTTACTGAAGCTGGGACTTTACCTGAAGTCACAGCCTGGCTTAAGTTCCTCCCCTTCCCTGTCCTGCTTCTTCCACTTTTCTGATAGTTTCTACTGGGAGCGATTCCTTAACCATCACTTATATACAATCATCTTGCCAGCTCAAGAGGCTCCAGCCTAAGTGGTGTTTCTTACAGTATTGTCTATTATAAGAAGCTAGGAGGCTTCTTATAATGGCAGGCTCTAAGTCCCCACCTCAGACCTTTTAAAACAGAATCTTGGGGGAGGTGGGGCAGGCCAGAGAATCTGCCATTTATTAACAAGACCCCCAAGTTAGCTTTTATTTTTTCTTAAATATAAGATGTTGATTAATAAATATTAAATTTTAATTAATAATTAACTTTCTTAAGGTTTTGCTTAATAAAAACTAAAGTTTTACTTATGGGGCAGTGACATTTAAAGCAAGTATACATCAAGTATTTGGGGATGAGGATTAATGAGGTAGGTTATAAATAATACCTCAGTTGGCCTTGCCTCAGGGTCTATTAAATGATTGAATGATCTGAATCTAGAGGTAATGCTGGCCGGGCATGGTGGCTCACACCTGTCATTCCAACACTTTGAGAGACAGAGGCAAGGGGATCGCTTGAGCCCAAAAGTTCAAGAGACCAGTCCAGGCAACATAGCAAGAACCCATCTCTATTTTTTTTTTAAATGTCGATGTTCTGTGTTGATGGCATTTTGTGTATGTGTGTGCCTGCGTATGTAATGTCTGGACAAATCTTAGAAACACTATTTTCCCCCCCTCAACAGTAATTTTTTTTCCTCAGAAAATTTACTCTGGAAGCCAAATTCAGTGGTTTTCTATATTATTTTACTTTTTAAAATATTTTAATCAATGAAACACTTTAATTGAGTTTAGGTAGAAGTTCAATGTGTAGTGTGGACAAGCGCTGAGCTGTTCCACCTGATGGAGGTGGAGAGACTGGGATCCTGCCTGCTTCAATTCCTTCCCATTCTCTGATCAGAGCTACTTCCACTAACTCCTATTAGTTATTGAAAGGAGATTAATTGCCCTGTTATCTCAAGGATCTCCTAGAGCTCTTGCTGAGTGGAAGAGAAAAAGATAGATGAGCACTTTTTTTTCTAGGTTGCAGGCTTGGTACTTTGAGGGACTCAACTTTTTGGCAATGGAAAATGATATCCACTTGTTTGACCTAGCTACAAATGTATTGAATTATTATTATTATTATTATTTGAGACACAGTCTCACTTTGTCACCCAGGCTAGAGTGCAGTGGTGTGATCTCAGCTCACTGCAACCTCCGCCTCCTGGGTTCAAGTGAATCTCCTGCCTCAGCCTCCTGAGTAGCTGGGATTACAGGCGTGTACCACCACGCCAGGCTAATGTTTGTATTTTTAGTATAGATGGGGTTTCACCATGGTGGTCAGGCTGGTTTCAAACTCCTGACCTCAAGTGATCCACCAGCCTCCTAAAGTGCTGGGATTACAGACGTGTGAGGGGTCTAGAAATGACCCTTCTTGGACTCTCAGCCCCCAGGTTTTAGTGGGAGCCTGGATTTTAGCTTCCAGAGCCTGGAAGAACTTTACTAACCAGGTCTAGGCCTGAACCTTGGCTTTATTCACCTTGTGACTTATTGCAGGTTGTAAAAAAGGAAGAAGTCACTTAGCATCCCTAAGACATGGGGGCTGGTGGTGGGAATAGATTACTCTAGAAGGAGTTTAAGCTTAAAAATAGGAGGGAGAAGAAAAGAGTGTGGGGACCATTTCTCCTAAAGTGCTGGGATTACAGACATGAGCCACTGCACCAGCCCAGTATTCAACTATTCTTGAAGTGTCTGCATACAATTTTCTTTTTCTGGTGCAGGAGAACATTCAGTAGCTAGCAGAGAACCTAGCCCTGAGATTTGTATGAAAATTGTTGAATGGGTTCAATGGGACTCAGCAGAGTCCATCCCAAGCCACCTGAATAACGAAGGTGGATCTTACTTGTATCAAAGCAGCTGATCTCAGAGCCTCCAGCCCGTGGTTTCAGGTCAGTTAGCTGTTTTTATGATGCCCTAGTGGGATATGCCTCTGTCCATTCCTCTCATTCTTTACCCTGCCTTCTGCTTCAGGGAAAAGTCACACTGGGTCGGCTCCAAAGAGTGTCCCTGCTGATTCACTGTGGCTTTCTCTGATCATTAGCCAAACCAGGGACCTTTCCCTTGCCACTAAGCTGCTGGAAGTTCAGATGTGCTGAATTTTACCCAATGGCTTCATGCTTGAAACAAAAAAGCAATCAACCGAGGCACTTGGGGATGAAGGCACAGTGTCTCTCTCCGCTAACTCAGTAAAGGGACTACTGTCACTAGGGAGATGGTGATGAAGTCAGGCCTCAGGAAGCAGGTACTGGATCCAAGGCAAATCTCTGGATCTCAGGAAAAGAATTTAGGGGATCTTTCTTGGGATCCTTGGATACTCTACCCACTAGGTCTGTGCTTTTTCTGGCCTCTCCCCCTCTATTCCTGGCTTCCTTTCTTCCTACTCTATATGTGTGCCTTTGCTTGGTTTTATACCTTCTGTTGCTCATAGTCTCCACTTCCTTGTAAATTTGTCTTGTGCATGGCTCTTCAGAGCACAGCATTGGCTTGCGGCTTTTGATCCTCAATCCTGCTTTCCAGAAATAAAGTTCTATTTAAACACAGAAGAACTTATTCTTCAAAGAAGACTTCCTTGAAGTAAAGTAAAAATCCTTTTGGAAACCAAACATCAGTCTATTTGTGGAGTTAATAATTTGGCTCCAAGCAGGACACATATGTACTCTAAAGCATTCTTGGAAAGGTCCAGGAGATGACAATGAAAGTGCTGGAGTATCTGGAGAATAGGGATGAGGAAGAGATGGCTGGGATATAGGAGATGTTTTCCAATAAGGGAAGTAAGGGCTTAAGAATGAAAAGACATGGATGAATATTCAGGAGACACAAATTCTAAAGTCAACTACGCTGGCCTTCATAAACCATGAAGATGTTACCAGTTCTCCTGTAAGAATCTTGTGCAAAGAATGAAGGGTGGTCTCCCTGCTCTCTGTCATCTGTTTCTCATTTCCCCATACATTTCTGTAATGATGGACTTTCCATCCTATCACATTGTGGGAACAGCTCCGAAGTCCCTAATTCTACCAAATTAAAAAGACTTTTTACCAATTAACCATTGGATACCAGTATGAATTGCTTGAGAAGTCCCAGGTTAGGCAGACAGAGACTGATTTGTGCCTCTTAAAAGAGTGTCTACCCACACAAGCAAGCTTTCTCTTTGGGGGGAATCTATTTAAAAGAAACACACACACACACATACACACACACATGCACACCACAGATTGTAGCCATTTCGTCAGCCTGAGCTTTGGTCTTTTCCTTTTTCATTGGAGCAGGAGGCTGATACAAGGGGCAAGGGGTCTCAAAATGACCTTTTTTGAACTCTCAGCCCCCAGGTTTTAGTGGGAGCCTGGATTTTAGCTTCCAGAACCTAGAAGAACTTTACTAACCAGGTCTAGGCCTGAACCTTGGCTTTATTCACCTTGTGACTTATTGCAGGTTGTAGAAAAGGAAAAGTCCTTTCTTCCTGCTCTACACGTGTGCCTTTGTCACTTAGCCTCCCTAAGACGTGGGGGCTGGTGCTGTGAACAGATTACTCTAGAAGGAGTTTAAGCTTAAAAATAAGAGGGAGAAAAAAAAGAGTGTGGGGACCATAGAGCTCAGAACAGAGGAATGTGTTTCATCTTTATGAGACAAAACAGCAACAGGCCTATGTGGGGAGGCCAAGGCTCATGGGAGACTGTGTAGGGAAGCATTCTGTCGTTTTCTAATCCCTCCTGCCATTATAGAGAGGCCAGCTCCCTCAGCCTGGAAAAGTGCCAAGCCAGAGGGAAGGGATCAACTTGAGACCTCAGTCTTGCCCAGCTCTGAGCAGAGTCAGTCTTGCCCAGCTCTGAGCAGAGTCAGTCAAAGAACCTCACCACCATATGAATCCTGAGAGGTCACTGTTTCAACCCTCTCATTTGACACAAACACAAAGAAGGAAAGAAACATCTCCAAAGGCATGCATATACCCATGGCTAGAGCTAGAACCCTACGAGCTGCTTCCTACCAAAAATGAGCTTTTGCTTTAGATCCAAGAAGGACAAATCTCTGATTTAAGAACCCAGAGAAAAAACCAACACCTCATGGCTAAGTCATTGTTAAGTAAAGGGGTAGGGGAACAAAGGACACAGGTGTTCCAAAGCCATCAAATCATGGTGTCCTCCAACTCCCTGATCAGATGTGGTGGTGTGAAGGCATCCCCGAGCTTTGCTGGTGACAGGTCTTGTAAGCCAGATAGGTAAAATTTTAAAGCAATGTGAATGCTGAGAACATTATATAATTATGTTCTTAATTTTCTATGGTTTTAAAACTGTACTATCAGTTGGTTAGGGCTCAAACCAGTTTCACCAAAAGAAGCACTTGCTTAACTCATGCAATCAAACCAACGGAAAGAATGGAGGTCCATTCGAGCCTCTGAAATGACTGGACACCAGAGATTATGAGAGCCAGGAAGCTTTCCAGCCCCCTCTGCATGATGGTTTTATTCACGGTTTTACTTACAGTAGTTTTGCTATAGTCTCTGACACCCCTTAATCTCACATCTCCAGGCGTTACTACTGAAGAAAACTTGGAGCTCCTCATTTAGCTCCAGATGAAAACAATTCAAAGATAGATTTTCCCAACAGGGACCACTTGTCCATGTCTTTTCTTTTTTTTTTTTTTTATGAGTTCTTCTCTGAATCAGCATTCAGCAGAGAACAGATGTTGATTTGGGGGCCTCTGCTATGTTTTTCCATTGTCTGTTATTATGTTTCCAGAGCCTTTCCTAACCAAGGAAGGCTTCATATTTAGGCATATGACAGGGGTATAGAAAAGGTTTTTTTCTGTGATCATTTGGTGGTGTCAACCCACAGGTTTATCTTCAAAATTCTAAGACCAGCAAGAGGTTCAGTGCAGTGATTGATTAGCAATATCTTCCACGACTGTGGGAAGGTAGAGCAGGCATGCATGCTACACATTAGTCATCCTTGTGCAAGGGGCCTTAAAGGCGTTGAACCAAAACTAGGGGCACTAGGTGCATCAGATATGGTCTCTGCCTTCAGAGTCAAGTGAAAAAGACAGATAATTAAGAGATTAATTACCACAAAATGACAAGAGGCAATGCTGTGGATATGTATAAGAACACAAGCTAACACAGAAGAAAGAAAAGAGCAATTTTTCTTGTGGCATAGATAAATTTTGATTATCTACCCTTCTTTGGGGAGGGAAGATAGAAAAATAATTACGTGTATCTTAAAATGCACTATTCTATTTTTTTCTCCAATCCATTTACATGTCTAATTATGATTTTCTCAGATTAGTATTGAAATGCTATCTCATTGCCTGAATACACAAACCAGATAAGAGTGCAGCTAGAAGCGCTCTCTAAGAGATGACAAGGTGCCGTCTCCCTGTCATTGTTTTCTGTAAATGAATCATTTGGAGTTTATTGATGGTTTTTGCATATATTTCAAACTTACATTTGAAGTAATATTCTAACAAGGTGATTAAGGACACTAACACTATGGCATTACAGCATGACACAATGGCTCCTGTTCCCTGTACCCCTCCCTCCCATCAGGAATGAGGTATAGGAGCTTGAACAAGTCACTGAACTCTTGAGCCTAAGAATTCTCATTTGAGAACCACTCTTGATAACATAGCTGATGTGGATAAAGCCCTTAATATAGTGCCTGGGACACTGCAGTGCTCAAAAGGGATGGCTACTGCATGTCAAAAGTCATCTAGGCAAGGCATGGTGGCTCATACCTATAATCCCAGCACTTTGGGAGGCCAAGGAGGATGGATCCTTTGAGGTCAGGAGTTGGAGACCAGCCTGGCCAACATGATGAAAACCTATCTCTACTAGAAATACAAACATTAGCCAGGCATGGTGGCGCTTGCCTGTAATCTCAGCTACTCAAGAGGCTGAGGCAAAAGAATCACTTGAACCCGGAAGGCAGCGGTTGCAGTGAGCTGAAATCTTGCCAGTGCACTCCAGCCTGGGCAACAGAGTGAGATGCTCTGTCTCAAATAAATAACAACAGAAAAGTCATCTATATGCCCATGTGTGTGAGAGTAGGCTCTTACACATCTGTAGGATATCCATACCAGAGACCCAGATGCCTGGCTTCAGACTATATCAAGATAGCACATCTATTGCTGAGCCTGGGTTTGACGCCTCCCTTGCTCAGAATCTGTCTTTTGTAAGTGCGGGGGAAGAGATCAAGAAATTGGTTTCAGATTTTTAGCTATGCTGGGGAGCCAAGAGTTTATCCTAGCCAAATCTGCCCCTTCTTGCACTTTGGCCATGGTGTGAGAACTCGTGAATTGTGGCCACCTGACAGTGAGGTATGGGAGCCACCTTAGGGTCCCACAGCTCCCAAAGCCCACTGCATGCAAAGGAACCCAGGTGTGTAGTGCACACAGGCCAGAGCACCTCCCTCTGGGCTTGGCCCAGACCACAATGCATTTGGCACTGGTCCTATTTTCTTTTAAAATTTTAAGCCTGTGAGTGTTTTTAGGGGAATTTAATCCACATGTTTTTTATTCATTTGCATTTAACTCATAAAAATGCTATTTCTAAAGAGGTGGTGTATGACCAAGAACCACTTCTTAATTCTTCTTTCCTCTTGCCTTCATCTTTGTTCGTTGTCATCCTCTTTCTTCTCTGCCTCCACCTTTTCCTTCTCCTCCCTCCCTTTTCAAGTCTTTTTTTCTCAGAAAAAGAGATTACTTTCCACCCTTCTTATTCATCTAAATATCTAAGGTCGAATGTCTGAGCTTGCCTGGAAGTTAGCATCCATTGATGTGAATAAGAGATATATGACTTCTTCCAGGGCAAAACCTGAAGCGTTATTTCTGTTTCAATGCTTATTCTGTGGATGCCATCACGGGGTGCATTTAGGATCATGCTACTTATCTCAGGGTAACATTAGTCATCCTGATGACTCACATGTGGGTGGAGATAGAGCAGATGGCTGGGAGGATGCTCTGCAATGCAGAGTTTCTGGAAATTTGGGGTTTGAGTGCATATCTTCAGGCTCTAGAGCTCCAAAGGAGTCAGCATCCTGACAATCGTAGTTTTGGACTCGGGATTTAAACCAGAACATCTGGTTACCTTCCAGATGGCTGCTTGGTGTGGGGACCTGTAAAGTGGCCGAAGCACTCAAGCATGCACATGGAAAGACAGAGGGGCAAGACTGTCTCCAGGTCCACTGCAGGGAGTGGACTGCAAGGGAAGGCTGGGCAAAGCCTGTGCCTTTGTAACACAGTGACCACACCCTCTAATAAATGTCACTCTTCACTTGCCTCAAACAACTCCTCCTTCTATTGGGAGATGCTAGGAAGGGAGAGGTCAAGAACTGGGCTGAAGCATCATTCCTGACACAGAGGTGTGTGGTTGGCTGTCTTCTGCCCTGTGATTAACGTTCTGTGTGTGTCTGTGTGTGTGCCTCTGTGTGTGTCTGTGTGTGTGTGTGTGTGTGTGTGTGTGTGTATTCCAGTGAAAAGAAAACCATATATTTTTATTCTATTTTCACAGTATGTAGATCAGGGTTCTGCAAACAATGGATACTGAATTGAAATTTGGTTACATTGATATCACTTTTGACCATCTCCCAGAAGATACAGGGAAGCACACAGGTTTCAGATTTGTGTCGCCATTTCAAACCTAGGACTTGAGTTCTTTTCACAAAGTAGTTTAATTTCCCCTGGGATGTTTTAGGGGCAACCCGTTCTCCAGCTTCTTTTACTGTGGATTGGGAAAGAATTCTACACTAGGACTCAGAAGGCCTGGGTTGGAGAACTGGCTCTGATTCATTGGCTTACTCATAGCAGCAAAACACTTCATTTCTCTGAGGCTCATTTTCATTGTCTTTAAAACAGAGACCCTATAACCACAGAACTTTGAAGATCACCTAGTTCAGCTTACTTAATTTTATAGATGAGCAAACTAATTCATATTTGGACTATGTAGAAACAGATACTTAAATCCTTTAGGGAGGAAGCATGCATAGCAGGTAGAGAGCACCAGCCCAAGACTGCCTGGATTCAAATCCCTCCTCAGTCAAGTACTGGCTGTGTGACTTTAGGCAAGTTACTTAAGCTCTCTGATCCTCAGGTTCTTCATCTGAGAAACAGAGTAATAATAGTACCTACCTCAAAGGCTCTCAAGAACTGTCAATATGAGAAAAGGGCTTGGAACAGCACTTGACCCATGGTAAGGAGTAAGAGTTAGCTTTTCTTATTCACCCCAAGATCATGCAATGTACCAACAATATTGATGGAGCTTAGAGCCCTATCTTCTGAGGGCCACTATCCTGCTGTTCTCAGCACAGGCTGCATGTTAGATTCACATCTGATTTAATATTTTTAAAAAACCTTCCCTGGGCAATTCTACTCCACAGCTAGGACTGAGAACAACTGTTTTACATATTGCCCTCAACTACTTCAAAAGACATATATGTGTGTGTGTGTGTGTGTGTGTGTGTGTATGTACATATAAATATATTAAATATATACATATAAATATATACAATATAGAAATAAAATATATAAAATATATATATAAATATGTGCAATATATAAATATAAATATATACAATATATACATATAAATTTATTATATATACATATAAATATATAAAATATATACATACATAGAAATATATAACACACATATAAATATATAAAATAAATTAATATAAATATGTAATATATAAATATACACATATAAATATATAAAATATATGCATATAAATATATAATATATAAGTATATGCATATAAATATATAGTATATATAAATATGGAAAAATATATATGTATAGTAGATGTAAATATATTATATATATTTTTAAATCAAGTATAATTCAAAAACTTTATGTGTAAGAGATATCATTAACCATTTCTCAAGGCCTCATTCTTTTGTAAGGGCCATAGGTTTCAATTATTTTTCACTGTTATTTTCATTTCAAGGATGATGTGAAAAATACATTTTTTCCTGTTTTCTCACTTTCTTGAAAGCCCCTGGTGGGGGCTGTGCACAGGCTCACTGAGACTTATTTCAGAAGAACCAGAACAGCCCCCCACCCACCATCTCCCCTGACTACCCCCACCCCTTGATGGAGAGACACATCTGATTCCTCCAGTCATTATCATTTTAATGTACAAAATGACATTATGCCGAAAAGAAGGGGTTCATAAATTATATCTGATTTTAGAAAGTTTTCCAGCTATTGTATAAATGACAGATCTATAAAAGAAGAGTCAAAATGAATTTCAAATTAAAAAAATAATTCCATGTTTTTATGGCAAGGTGAAAAAAATTCTCGGAACAAAATGTTTCTGTGGAGGGTGATTCAGAAGCCCGTGGAACTGAGGAAGCTTGACGGGAGGCAGGAGACTGAGAACTGGAGGGAACCTGGGGTCTGTCAGAGCTGGGAGGTGATCACCAAGCTGGCGTGCCTGGGAGCCAGAATGTAGTCCCAGAGGCCCGAGGAGGAGCAGCTTAATTATCTACTTCGAGGAGAGCAGACGTGGAGGCTGTGTTGAAAACCACTGTTCACAGGCATTTTGACAGGCCTGGAGGCCTAGACTCGGGTGATGGATGGAGTTCTGCCTTGAACTTCTCAACACATATATTTCCACTGGAGGCCTGGATGTAACAGAGTAGAGTTGGACAATTTCCTCCTCTATTCACACAGAAATTTACATAAGGTCAGAAAGCCTTCCTGGGAAAAAATTTCCCCCAAACTGCTCCCACACATCATGGCAGTTCAGAGACATTGAAACCTGTCTGAAGGCCTGGGGTGGTGACCAGTGAGGCTGGATTGCAAACCAGGACAGGGGGCCCCGGAGAGAACAGGAAAGGGGTGAAAGAAGGTAGTCTTCACTCCATGCCTGAGGGCTGCAGAGAAGAGGCTGACACTGAAACTATAGCAAGCCAGACACCTTTGTGAGGTCCTGTAACCTAACGGGGGATGGTAGATCTTGCAAAGGTAAGGGGGTTCTTTCTTGAAGCCTTGAGGCCTCTTCATTGCAGAAGCAAACCAATTATACCCATAATGCCAGAGAAGTCATGTGTAGGGAGCCGTCACTTAGTTTCTGGCCTCATCTGTGACTCAACACAGTGACTGAGGTCACCAAGTCCAGCAGGCAGGTTACTGTGGACCAGACATGGGGGCACAGTGGTTGTGGGGTTCAATTTGGAGGGGTTCAACAGGGCCATCATCCCCCTCATGAGGCAGCATGGGGCCAGATTTCCAGGCACAAGGAAATGCCCCTAAGAGACATAGAAATACATAGGAGCAGTAACATAGACTGAAATCTCTGCTAAGAGAGTAGGGGGCAGTGGAGGGACAGGGTGGGACCTGAAACTATCATCGCAGACTTCAAAAATGGGTAACCCGGGGGGTGGTCCCAAGATGGCCAAATAGGAACAGTTCCAGTCTACAGCTCCCAGCATGAGTGATGCAGAAGACAGGTGATTTCTGCGTTTCCAACTGAGGTACTGGGTTCATCTCACTGGGGCTTGTCAGACAGTGGGTGCAGGACAGTGGGTGCAGCCCATTGAGGATGAGCTGAAGCAGGGTGAGGCACTGCCTCACCCGGGAAGCGCAAGGGGTCAGGGAATTTCCTTTCCTAGCCAAGGGAAGCTGTGACAGACGGCAGCTGGAAAATTGGGTCACCCCCACCCTAATATTGCGCTTTTCCAACGGTCTTAGCAAATGGCACACCAGGAGATTATATCCCACACATGGCTCAGAGGGTCCCACACCCACGGAGCCTCACTTACTGCTAGCACAGCAGTCTGAGATTGAACTGCAAGGTGGCAGTGAGGCTGGGGGAGAGGTGCCCGCCATTGCTGAGGCTTGAGTAGGTAAACAAAGCGGCTAGGAAGCTCGAACTGGGTGGAGCCCACCACAGCTCAGGGAGGCCTGCCTGCCTCTGTAGACTCCATCTCTGCAGGCAGGGCATAGCCGAACAAAAGGCAGTAGAAACTTCTGCAGACTTAAATGTCCCTGTCTGACAGCTTTGAAGAGAGTAGTGGTTCTCCCAGCATGGAGTTTGAGATCTGAGAACGGACAGACTGCCTCCTCAAGTGCGTCCCTGACCCCCGAGTAGCCCAGCTGGGAGGCCTCCCCCAGTAGGGGCAGACTGACACCTCAAACAGCTGGATACCCCTCTGAGATGAAGCTTCCAGAGGAATGATCAGGCAGCAACATTTGCTGTTCAGCAATATTTGCTGTTCTGCAGCCTCCACTGCTGATACCCAGGCAAACAGGGTCTGGGGTGGACGTCTGGCAAACTCCAACACACCTGCAGCTGAGGGTCCTGACTGTTAGAAGGAAAACTAACAAACAGAAAGGACATCCACAGCAAAATCCCATCTGTACGTCACCATCATCAAAGACCAAAGATAGATAAAACCACAAAGATGGGGAAAAAACAGAGCAGAAAAACTGAAAATTCTAAAAATCAGAGTGCCTCTCCCCCTCCAGAGGAATGCAGCTCCTCTCCAGCAATGGAACAAAGCTGGATGGAGAATGACTTTCACGAATTGAGAGAAGAAGGCTTCAGATCAAACTTCTCCGAGCTAAAGGAGGATGTTCGAACCCATAGCAAAGAAGCTAAAAATCTTGAAAAAAGATTAGATGAATGGCTAACTGGAATAACCAGTGTAGAGAAGTCCTTAAATGACCTGATGGAGCTGAAAACCATGGCACGAGAACTATGTGACAAATGCACAAGCTTCAGTAGCAAATTCCATCAACTGGAAGAAAGGGTATCAGTGACTGAAGATCAAATGAATGAAATGAAGTAAGAAGAGAAGTTTAGAGAAAAAAGAGTAAAAAGAAACGAACAAAGCCTCCAAGAAATATGGGACTATGTGAAAAGACCAAATCTATGTCTCATGGGTGTACCTGAAAGTGATGGGGAGAAAGGAACCAAGTTGGAAAACACTTTTCAGGATGTTATCCAGGAGAACTTCCCCAATCTAGCAAGGCAGGCCAACGTTCAAATTCAGGAAATACAGAGAACACCACAAAGGTACTCCTCGAGAAGAGTAATTCCAAGACAAATAATTGTCAGATTCACCAAAGTTGAAATGAAGGAAAAAATGTTAAGGGCAGCCAGAGAGAAAGGCTGGGTTATCCACAAAGGGAAGCCCATCAGACTAACAGCTGATCTCTCGGCAGAAACTCTACGAGCCAGAAGAGAGTGGGGGCCAATATTCAACATTGGTAAAGAAAATAATTTTCAACCCAGAATTTCATATCCAGCCAAACTAAGCTTCATAAGTGAAGGAGAAATAAAATCCTTTACAGACAAGCAAATGCTGAGAGATTTTGTCACCATCAGGCCTGCCCTACAAAGGCTCCTGAAGGAAGCACTAAACATGGAAAGGAACAACCAGCACCAGCCACTGCAAAAACATGCCACATTGTAAAGACCATCGATGCTAGGAAGAAATTGCATCAACTAATGAGCAAAATAACCAGCTAACATCATAATGACAGGATCAAATTCACACATAACAGTATTAACCTTAAATGTAAATGAGCTAAATACTCCCATTAAAAGACACAGACTGGCAAATTGGATAAAGAGTCAAGACCCATCAGTGTGCTGTATTCAGGAAACCCATCTCATGTGCAGAGACACACATGGGCTCAAAATAAAGGAATGGAGGAAGATCCACCAAGCAAATGGAAAACAAAAAAAGGCAGGGGTTGCAATCCTAGCCTCTGATAAAACAGACTCAAAACCAACAAAGATCAAAAGAGACAAGGCCATTACATAATGGTAAAGGGATCAATTCAACAAGAAGAGCTAACTATCCTAAATATATATGCACCCAATACAGGAGCACCCAGATTCATAAAGCAAGTCCTTAGAGACCTACAAAGAGACTTAGACTCCCACACAATAATAATGGGAGACTTTAACTCCCCACTGTCAACATTAGACAGATCAACGAGACAGAAAGTTAACAAGGATATACAGGAATTGAACTCAGCTCTGCACCAAGTGGACCTAATAGACATCTACAGAACTCTCCACCCCAAATCAATAGAATATACATTCTTCTCAGCACCGCATTGCACTTATACCAAAATTGACCACATAGTTGGAAGTAAAGCACTCCTCAGCAAATGTAAAAGAACAGAAATTATAACAAACTGTCTCTCAGACCACAGTGCAATCAAACTAGACCTCAGGATTAAGAAACTCACTCAAAACCACTCAACAACATGGAAACTGAACAACCTGCTCCTGAATGACTACTGGGTACACAAAGAAATGAAGGCAGAAATAAAGATGTTCTTTGAAACCAATGAGAACAAAGACACAACATACCAGAATCTCTGGGACACATTTAAAGCAGTGTATAGAGGGAAATTTATAGCACTAAAAGACCACAAGAGAAAGCAGGAAAGATCTAAAATTGACACCCTAGCATCACAATTAAAAGAACTAGACAAGCAAGAGCAAACACATTCAAAAGCTAGCAGAAGGCAAGAAATAACTAAGATCAGAGCAGAACTGGAGGAGATAGAGACACAAAAAACCCTTCAAAAAAATCAATGAATCCAGGAGCTGGTTTTTTGAAAAGATCAACAAAATTGATAGACTGCTAGCAAGACTAATAAAGAAGAAAAGAGAGAAGAATCAAATAGAGGCAATAAAAAATGATAAAGGGGATATCACCACCGATCCCACAGAAATACAAACTACCATCAGAGAATACTATAAACACCTCTACACAAATAAACTAGAAAATCTAGAAGAAATGGATACATTCACGGGCACATACACCCTCCCAAGACTAAACCAGGAAGAAATTGAATCACTCAATAAACCAATAACAGGCTCTGAAATTGAGGCAATAATTAATAGCTTACCAACCAAAAAAAGTCCAGGACCAGACGGATTCACAGCTGAATTCTACCAGAGGTACAAGGAGGAGCTGGTACCATTCCTTCTGAAACTATTCCAATCAATAGAAAAAGAGGGAATCCTCCCTAACTCATTTTATGAGGCCAGCATCACCCTGATACCAAAGCCTGGCAGAGACACAACAAAACAAGAGAATTTTAGACCAATATCCCTGATGAACATCAATGCAAAAATCCTCAATAAAATACTGGCAAACCAAATCCAGCAGCACATCAAAAAGTTTATCCACCATGATCAAATGGACTTCATCCCTGGGATGCAAGGCTGGTTCAACATACGAAAATCGATAAACCTAATCCAGCATATAAACAGAACCAAAGACAAAAACCACGTGATTATCTCAATAGATGCCTAAAAGGCCTTCAGCAAAATTCAACGGTCCTTCATGCTAAAACCTCTCAATAAATTGGTACTGATGAGACGTATCTCAAAATAATAAGAGCTATTTATGACAAACCCACAACCAATATCATACTGAATGGGCAAAAACTGGAAGTATTCCCTTTGAAAGCTGGCACAAGACAGGGATGCCCTCTCTCACCACTCCTATTCAACGTAGTGTTGGAAGTTCTGGCCAGGGCATTCAGGCAGGAGAAAGAAATAAAGGGTATTCAATTAGGAAAAGAGGAAGTCAAATTGTCCCTGTTTGCAGACGACATGATTGTATATCTAGAAAACCCCATTGTCTCAGCCCAAAATCTCCTTAAGCTGAAAAGCAACTTCAGCAAAGTCTCAGGGTACAAAATCAATGTGCAAAAATCACAAGCATTCTTATACATCAAGAAGAGACAAACAGAGAGCCAAATCATGAGTGAACTCCCATTCACAATTGCTTCAAAGAGAATAAAATACCTAGGAATCCAACTTATAAGGGATGTGAAGGACCTCTTCAAGGAGAACTACAAACCACTGCTCAATGAAATAAAAGAGGGCACAAACAAATGGAAGAATATTCCATGCTCATGGATAGGAAGAATCAATATCGTGAAAATGGCCATACTGCCCAAGGTAATTTATAGATTCAATGCCATCCCCATCAAGCTACCAATGACTTTCTTCACAGAATTGGAAAAAATTACTTTAAAGTTCATATGGAACCAAGAAAGAGCCTGCATTGCCAAGACAATCCTAAGCAAAAAGAACAAAGCTGGAGGCATCATGCTACCTGACTTCAAACTATACTACAAGGCTTACAGTAATCAAAACAGCATGGTACTGGTACCAAAACAGATATCTAGACCAATGGAACAGAACAGAGCCCTCAGAAATAACCCCACACATCTACAACCATCTGATCTTTGACAAACCTGAGAAAAACAAGCAATGGGGAAAGGATTCCCTATTTAATAAATGGTGCTGGGAAAACTGGCTAGCCATATGTAGAAAGACGAAACTGGAACCCTTCCTTACACCTTATACAAAATTAATTCAAGATGGATTAAAGACTTAAATGTTAGACCTAAAACCATAAAAACCCTAGAAGTAAACCTAGGCAATACCATTCAGGACATAGGCATGGGCAAGGACTTCATGTCTAAAACACAAAAAGCAATGGCAACAAAAGCCAAAATTGACATATGGGATCTAATTAAACTAAAGAGCTTCTGCACAGCAAAAGAAACCACCATCAGAGTGAACAGGCAACCTACAGAATGGGAGAAAATTTTTGCAATCTACTCATCTGACAAAGGGCTAATATCCAGAATCTACAATGAACTCAAACAAATTTACAAGAAAAAACCAAACAACCCCATCAAAAAGTGGGCAAAGGATATGAACAGACACATCTCAAAAGAAGACATTTATGCAACCAACAGACACATGAAAAAATGCTCATCATCACTGGCCATCAGAGAAATGCAAATCAAAACCACAACGAGATACCATCTCACAACAGTTAGAATGGTGATCATTAAAAAGTCAGGAAACAACAGGTGCTGGAGAGGCTGTGGAGAAACAGGAACACTTTTACACTGTTGGTGGGACTGTAAACTAGTTCAACCGTTGTGGAAGACAGTGTGGTGATTCCCCAAGGATCTAGAACTGGAAATACCACTTGACCCAGCCATCCCATTACTGGGTATATACCCAAAGGATTATAAATCTTGTTGCTATAAAGACACATGCAGATGTATGTTTATTGTGACACTACTCACAATAACAAAGACTTGGAACCAACCCAAATGTCCAGCAATGATAGACTGGATTAAGAAAATGTGGCACATATACACCATGGAGTACTATGCAGCCATAAAAAAGGATGAGTTCATGTCCTTTGTAGGGACATGGATGAAGCTGGAAACCATCATTCTCAGCAAACTATCGCGAGGACAAAAAACCAAACACCGCATGTTCTCACTCATAGGTGGGAATTGAACAATGAGAACACATGGACACAGGAAGGGGAACATCACACACAGGGGCCTGTCATGGGGTTGGTGGAGAGGGGAGGGATAGCATTAGGAGATATACCGAATGTAAATGATGAGTTAATGGGTGCAGCACACCAACATGGCACATGTATACATATGTAACAAACCTGCACATTGTGCACATGTACCCTAGAACTTAAAGTATAATAATTTAAAAAAAGCAAATAAAAAAATGGGTAACCCCATCGTTTTCCACAAACTGATTAAGTTTGGATGCCATCTACCCAGTTTTCTTCTCTAATCCATTATATCTCTTTATTCTTTCAACAAACATTAAACCCAATTCTGTGATAGGAACAGAAAGCACAGAGAAAAACTGAGGTAAGTGTCCACCTCTCCTGGGTAGAATGGTCCCGATATTCTGGCACAAGCTCATGGGTTGTCACACTCTCCCATCCTCAGCCTCTGTCACTTCTCCACACCTGTATCCCACCCCAGCCGGAGGCTTGGACTGTCATGCCAGCACCTCCCTCCTGGCTTGCAGATCCTTCAAGCCAGTGGTTCTGCACACCTGATGGCGGTCCTCTGCCTACAGGTGTCTTCCTTAAACATTTTCCCAATGATTAAAAGGTCATTAGTGAGGTGCTGTGGAAGGAAGGCTACAGAAGCAAAATACATTTAGACAATGCAGTATCCTTTATCCTCTTCTTGGAGACTCTTAAGAAACACTGAAAAACATAAGACTCCTGGATGTTCTGGGGTGATGAAGTCTATTTAACTTTGTTTCACCAAACACTCTCCAAGCTTAGGTGGCCACAGGGCGATTGGTCCCACGACACTTAATATCGTTCACTCTTCTTTTCCCATCACCATCTCCATTTTCTTTTCCTGTTTTGTCTTTCTCCTTGGAACTTAGCACTTTCTCAAATTCAGTTTGTCACATGTGTATATTGAATATTCTGTTTCTGTCCTCCCCACATTCCTATTGGAATTCAAGCTTTATGGAGTTAAGGATGAACACACACACACGCACGCACTAACAGGCACGTGCACGCATGCACAGGCACACGCACCTAGAATAGTGCCTGTAACATGGTGAATCCTCAACTCACTACATATTTGTTGTAGTGAGTTGTAGCATGCTTAGGCCAGCATGCCTCTCTCAGTCCATGTTAGACAATATCGGGATCAAGCAGAAATCACTTAGCTGCTAGCTCCAGGAAATACCTGCTCTTGTGAATCAACCAAAACACTTACTTTTTATCAGTTTTGATGACTGACTTCTTGCTCATCAAAGTTTGCTTCAGGACCCTTGCCTCACTCTGTCTGCTAATTCGAAACCACTTGTTAGAAATTCTGTCCTGTGCCAATAGCTCTCCTACCTTGTAAGACCCCCCCTTAAAATCACTCACCCTGGCCCTAAAGCCCCATCAATGCCTTCCTTAATTGTCCCCATATTGAGATTCTATCAAGGTGGTGTTCTGCGTCACCGCAGCTGGTCTGATCAACTTAGCTGTGCTCAGTCCACAGGTTTTCTGACGGTCCTTGGCAAGGCCAGTGATTGACAATTCAATTATTGTAGTATGAATGAATCCTGTTGACTGCTAATCCAAAGAATCAACTTTGGCAAACAGGTGTTTTAACAGGCCAGGAGCAAGCTTCTCAGCCTGCAGTTCAAGGTCTTTGGGTCACATTTCTCACCATATGCTGTACCCTGGCTATTTCAGATACTCTTACACCTTAGCTTGCATTCTTCTGTCAACCGCTCACAGGAGTGGTTCACTGGCTTGTTGATGAGCCTCCCTAATCTCTCACAATTTCAGGGACTACATTTAGGGCATGCAAATCTACTGAAAAATCTTTGGGTCCAAGTAGACCACACTTTTTGATTAACTTATATAAGAGCAGGATCTTGCTTTTCTCACTGGTCACATAGGTATTAGAATTCCTCCTCTGCCCTTCTTGAAGCATTTGTATTATAATTTAAAGCCTGCTAGAGCTGCCTTAAATGACTACAAACTTGCTGGCTTAAAACAATAGAAATGTATCATCTCACTGTTTTGGAGGCCAGAAGTCCAAAGTCAAGGCATTAGCAGGGCCACACTCCCTCTGAAGGCTCTAGAGGAGAACATTCCTTTGTCTTTTTTAGCCCCTGGTGGCGGCTCCAGGCATCCCTTGGCTTGTGGGTGACATCCTGGCTGCCTAACTCCAGTTACTGCTTTGATCTTTACGTAGCCTGTGTCTCTCCTTTGTGTGTCGCTCATAAGGACACTTGTCATTGGATTTAAGGCCCATTTAGATAATCCAAAGATCTCAAGGTCTTTAACATTATTACATCTGCAGAGATTTCTTTATTCCAAATAAGGTCACGTTCATAGGTTCTGGGAAATAAGAGATTTCCGGGGCCACCATTCAAACCACCTCAGGGTTGTCAGAATGAAACCCAGTCATTCATGAAACATTGCTCTAGAAAGAAATAAAATGTGTTATTTTTACTGTCATTTTATTGTCAGAGGCAAGGGAGCATCACTGTTTCCAGAGCAAAGATACTGAACCCCTATTATAGAATACTCTGCCTTCCATGTAATATCTCACGTGAAAGAACTTGGAATTGTTTTTCTCTTACTTTGGATTTCCACCTGTAGAATTCACTTATTCAGAGCTTGCAACCACTTTCAGAATAAAGTACTCAAGGTCTCCTTAAATCAGGTAGACCATATCTTTGCAACCTCCTCTTCCATCCCACCTGCCAAGCCAGCTGCGACTCCTCCCCATGCAGTGAGCATGCCTTGATTCTAGGGTTTTTGCTCAAACCTTTCCCTGCCCGTCTCCACCTACAGGACCCCAGAAATAATCATCCTCCAATGTTCTCCTCATCCCCCAATCTCTGCTTCCTAATCCCATTGTGAGATTTAGTTGTCTTCTCTAAAATGTCTGTGATACTTTTCTACTTCTCTTTATTACCAACTATACCTGTATTAGTTAGCCAGGGCTGCCAAAACAAAGTATCACAGACTGGGTGGCTTAAAAAACAGGAGTCTATTTCCTCAAAGTTCTGGAGGCTGGAAGTCCAACATCAAAGTGATGGCCAAGTTGATTTCATTCTGAGGCCTTTCTCCTTGTAGATGACTTGTAGATGGCCGACTCTCCCTGTATCTTCACGTGGTCTACCCTCTGTACATGTCTGCGTGCTAATCGCCTCTTCTTACAAGGACACCAGTTATATTGCATTAGGGCACACTGATGTGACTTCTTTTTACTTTAATTATATTTTGAAAAGCCCTGTCTCCAAATGCAGCACATTCTGAGGTACTGGGGGGCTAGAACTTCAACATGTGAATTTACACGGGGCATGGTTCAGCCCATAGCAATACCCTAGTTATTTTCCATATGTCAGTCTTCCTTACCAGATTGGGAGCGGCGTCAAAAAGACCCTCATCTCATCTTTTCCTTCTCCTCTGTCTCCATGTTGATTTGTTTTCTTCTCTTTTGTCACCTCTGCCATCTCCTCTTCTTCCTCCTTCTTTCTCTTCCCCTCTCCCTCTTTCTTCTCACTCCCTTACTCCTCCATATTTTTCCTCTACTCCTTCTTAATTTTTAATTTGTATTTGTTTTTATTTTTACTTTATTTATTTATTTATTTATTTATTTATTTATTTAGAGATGGAGTCTCGCTCTGTCGCCCAGGCTGGAGTGCAGTGGCTCGATCTTGTCTCACTGCAACCTCCGCCTCCAGGTTCAAGCGATTCTCCTTCCTCAGCCTCCCGAGTAGCTGGGATTATAGAAGCATGCCACCATGCCCAGCTAATTTTTGTATTTTTAGTAGAGACAGGGTTTCACCATGTTGGTCAGGCTGGCCTTGAACTCCTGACCTCGTGATCTGCCTACCTTGGCCTCCCAAAGTCCTGGGATAACAGGCGTGAGCCATCGTGCGCTGGCCTTTATTTTTATTTTTTAGAGATAGTCTCACTCTGTCACCCAGGCTGGAGTACAGTGGTGTGATCTCAGCTCACTGTGCAGCCTCAAACTCCCAGGCTCAAGTGATTCTCCTGCCTCAGCCTCCCAAGCAGCTGGGACTACAGGTGCATGCCACCACGTCTGGCTAATTTTTTTGGTTTTTAGTAGAGGCAGGGTCTTACTATGTTGCCCAAGCTGATCTTGCACTCCTGGGCTCAAGCAATCCTTCCACCTAGGCCTTCCAGTCCTGGGATTACAGGCATGGGCCACTGTGCCCAGCCTCTGCTCCTTTTTTGTAATAAGTACTGCTTTCCACCTGTGAGATATTTAATTATATTATTTCATTTAGCACCAACAACAACTTTAAAAAGACAGTGGCATGATTACCATTTAACATGAGTGTGTGAATCCATGGAGCAGCTTTTTAATCTATATGTCGGGTGACAAGGCCAAAGTTGAAATCCCAACTTGTTGGGTGCCAGAGCTTCTACTCTTCCCAAAACAGCCTCCTAGGATCCCTCAAATCTCTGATTCAATACCTTGCACACAGTGGATATTATGCAAATATGTGTGAATGAATCAACAGAAGTTGAATAATCAGGGCCATTTAAAATATTTTAAAAATAGCAAAGGAGGGTAAGAAAATCAAATCATTTGAGCACAAGCTATTTGTGCATCTGACAATTGCAGCAAAAGCATCTAAACAGCAATGTTTGTTAGTGGTCTGTGGGTTAATTAGTAGGTGCATGCTTGCTTCTGTGGAAATAAGACCTCATTATCCCATCTTTTTTATTTCAAGTCTGACATTTATGAAAGGTGAACAGATAACTTATCTGTAAGAGCAGCCAGCCACTGCAGGGCTCCTGCCTTGACAAAAATACTTCTCCTAGTATTTGTTTTCCTGAGAGTCTACACTCGTGGCTCTTTTGGCAAGACTCTTGAAACCTGGGACTGCAGATGGGAAGCAGTGATCTGGCAACTCCATCAAAGCCACAGAAGGAAAGAGGGGAGGATCCCTCTCTTGCTGGTGACCTTTCTGATTCTGTCCCATGAGGCTGCTTTCCCTCTCTGAGACCCTTGACTGGCCAAGGAACACTGCTGGGAATTCTGGTGGCCAGCCTCTGTGTGCACGTCTGAATTTAGGAAGGGGTCAAGTTCAGAGATCTTTGGGGCTCAAAGAGGGGGCAGATCAGATCATGGGTGGTGCTCACAGCTTGCTTTCTGGCTAGACCACACCAGTACTTTCTCAGAAAAGTCTTCAGCTATTCTCCCCCAAAAATGGAAGCTTCCCCTTTTTTTTCTGAGCACCTAGGTAACCCTTTCCAATGAATAACTTTTAGTAGCTAGCCATCATGGTAAAAATAACTCATATTTATTGAGTACTATCAATGCCCAGCACTGTTCTGAAGTCCATGAGTCCCCACAGTAGTGCCATGAAGTAAATATTAATTTAATTATGCTGATGATAAAGCGATAGCTGACTCTTGATGTGGCAGTACTTCCTCACGTGAGTACAGATGTCAGAACTCATTGAACTGTACAACTTAAATGGGGCTAGTTTTTTTGCACATAAATTACTCTTAAATAACGTTGATTTAAAAATTATACAAACATTTGTACAGTGCTTGCTGCATGGCTAAGCATGATCCTAACTGTTTTATGCAGTATCCCACTGAATCATAACAGCCCTGTAAGGTCACGTCATCCACTTATGAGGTTAGTGTAATCCCAATTCCACCCAACTTTAAATATCAAGGAAAGAACAACCCCCATACTAACAATATTTTACATTTACAAAACACTTTGCAGTTTCCCAACAACTTCCTGTGGCGTGCTTGTAAACTCCCCTCAGTTTCTTTGAAAGTTCTAGAGTAATCATTCCCTATACCGCTTGCTCCTCTGGCAATGAATCACGTGCGATTTTTGACATACTCCCACTTTTTAAGTTTTTGTAAAACCTGCTGTTTCTGTTCAACTTCTGCCTCCTTAGCTCTTCCCTTCACATAGTCTGTAACTATGCTTAAGGCGGAGGTCTGGAAAAAGGAAACAAAGAATGAGCTTGAAATTAGCCTCAGGAGGATAAAGTTCCAGGTTTAGATTTGGCCAAGTCATTTTAACCTCACCACACCTTGATTATTCTCAACTGTGCAATGGGGTAATAGTATCTACCATACCTTTATTGTGGGTGCCTGCTATATTGATAAGATTAGTATGGTCTTTTAAAGTGTATCTAGACTCTGGAAGCGAGATGCGCATGTTCATATCTCAGTCATACCACTTACCTATGTGACTTAGGGATTCCTCAGTTTTCTCATCTATAAGATGGGGATATTAAAAATACTGACGTCACAGGGTTGATGTGAGGATCAAATGAGTTGATACATGCAAAATTCCCAGAACAGTGCCTAGAACATGGCAATTACTACATAAGTGAATTACTGTTATTGTTATTGTTACTCAATCTAGGCTAAAACTATATTTTGTAAGCCGGGCAAAAATTGATACCTTTACTTTGCTGATGTGGAAGCCAAAGTTTAGTAGGTTATGAGACTGATCAATATCCAGTTAGTTAGAAGGTAGCAGAGCTCAGCTCACACACTGTTGGGAGGATGAACGCTGGGACGTGACAATGCTATGTCAAGTGTGCAATGTTCTGCAATGTGGTGGCATGAAAGGGTGCTGTGGCTTCTGCTCCTCTTCTCTTTTTTTTTTTTTTTTTTTTTTTTTTTTTTGAGACAGAGTCTCGCTGTCGCCCAGGCTGGAGTGCAGTGGCGCAATCTCGGCTCACTGCAGGCTCCGCCCCCTGGGGTTCACGCCATTCTCCTGCCTCAGCCTCCCAAGTAGCTGGGACTACAGGCGCCCGCCACCTCGCCCGGCTAATTTTTTGTATTTTTAGTAGAGACGGGGTTTCACCGTGTTAGCCAGGATGGTCTTGATCTCCTGACCTCGTGATCCGCCCGCCTCGGCCTCCCAAAGTGCTGGGATTACAGGCGTGAGCCACCGCGCCCGGCCTCCTCTTCTCTTAACACAGTTCCTGGCACCCAGCACATGGCTACTGATAAAATAAAGGCAGTCCGTGAATGGCTCACCACCTGCTAAGCTGTGTGTTAAGGCATTACATATGTTTTCATGTTTAATTCTTGTCATGACTCTGGGAGTTAAGATTATCTTCCTCATTTACAGATGAAGAAACCAAAGTTCAGAGCAGTTGAGAGAATTTGTCTTCATTACTCAGATAACAAATGACAGAGTTGGAATTCGAACACATGACGCTCTAACTCCCAGGCCCAGGCTAGTAAACACTAGACTAGATTCCTTGGATTTGACTGTGAGGCAGAGGGTCAGGGGAGGCGTTGGGTATGGGAGGAGGTGGTTTCCAGATGCCCTTTAGGTGCTTGGATTCAGCTGTCAGACTCATGTCTGTCTTCCTGCTCCCAAGATGGCTTGTGACATCTGGAAGGGCACAAGCCCAGGAGTGGGTCACCTAAACCAGAGACAAGTTGTGGGTGGCTTCCCAATGCCCCTGGGAGCCCTGGTGAATGAAGTCCCAACGTTCTGTAAGTTGGATTTTAATGCTTACCTTCTGTGAAGGTCTTAGCTTCCAGGGAGAGAAGGAAAAAGCAGGAGAATATCTGAACTGGGCATCCTCATCCCCATTCTCAGTACTCAGCCTTTGCCCCATTGTGCCTTCTGCTGCATGCACCGCCTGCTTTCTTCCTGCCTCGGCCTACCTGGCTTCCTCGACCCCCACACTCTGCCTTCCCCATTCATTTGTCTAAAAAAACCCTGGCCAAGGGCTCCTTAAAGGAGTGGTTGATTTCAGCACTGGGGCAGGGAAAATCCGAGATGAGCCAGGAGCATCTTGTCATGCCAGAAAGCAAGAAAGTTCTCAAAATATGATAGAGGCCTTTCCAAAGAACGCAAAAGCCAATGTGAAGAAACTCTAAATAGGCAGAGCTGGAACAATCTGAGTCACAAAATAAATAAAGATAGTAACCCACAGATTATAACCCATAGAATAAAATAAATATCCACAAACCCATACTGGTATAAAAAAATAATTGAATCAGTTCAACTGGCATTCCTGCCTTTACATCCTTTGTACATGCTGTGCCCCCTGCCTGGAACGTCCTCCCTCTGCACCTAGTGAGCTTCTCTTTATCTTTTAGGACCAAAGAGAAGGATTTCCTGCTCTGTAAAGTCTTCCTTGATGTCTTGAGCATAGCTGGTCTCCTCTTCCTGTTCCATGCCTCCTATATTTTGTGTATATTTCTATCCGGGCCCTCCCCACACTATTCCTCCACAACCAACGAATGTCTGGAGAACAGGTACCATAGCTTAGTCATCTGGGCATCCCCTGCGTGTGGCACAAGGCCTAAAGCACAGATGCTTTCGAGAACTTGAACTTGCTGAAGTAGGTTTGTCTTTCTCAGTTACGGGTTCCATCATCCATCTAAGTGCTCCCACCAATAACCCGGGAGTCAACCTTCCCTCCTCTCTTGTCTATCTGCCCTAGTCCAATCAGTCTGGGCCAGCTCTGTCCACTCTTCTCCAAAAGAATGATTGATCCAGGCTTTCTATGCCATCTGCCACACACGCATGCCCAAGCTGTCATCAGCTTTCCCTTACAACATGTTCTTACCTGGGCTTTGCAGCCTGCTTCCAGTTGATTCTGCTTAGGGCATAGCCAGAGTGCTGTTTGTAAGTAAATCATTCGATGCAATGCTCTTTGGCCAAGTCATTTTAACCTCACCACACCTTGATTATTCTCAACTGTGCAATGGGGTATAGTATCTACCATACCTTTATTGTGGGTGCCTGCTATATTGATAAGATTAGTATGATCTTTTAAAGTGTATCTAGACTCTGGAAGTGAGATGTCCAGGTTCATATCTTAGTCATACCACTTACCTATGTGACTTAGGGATGCCTCAGTTTTCTCATCTATAAGATGGGGATATTAAAAGTACTGACATCACAAGGTTGATGTGAGGATCAAATGAGTTGATACATGCAAAATTCCCAGAACAGTGCCTAAAACATGGCTTTCAAGGCTTCCCTGGGTCCCTCTGATAAAGCACAAATTCCTCCATGGGCTTTGCAAGGTCTTCCTTACACTCCCTGAAGTCACATCTCTTTATTTTCTCTGCTTTTTCCAGTTCCTCCAGTTCCCAGGCCTTTGTACACACAGAATCTCTGCTTGTACACATGACCTCCCTTTCCCCTCTCCTCCATGTCCTTGGTTTGTCTACCAATCTGCCTGGTTTCCATGAATGCTGCTTTCTATGATGCGTCCCCTCTGACATCTGAGACTGGATCAGGTCTCTAGTTGGAAGCATTTATAGTATATTTTCCTTTTATCACATTTGCAATTAAGGTGACCAACCATCCTGGTTTGCCAGGACTGGGGAGCGCTTAAGTGCTAAAACTGGATAAGTCCCAGTCAAATTGAGGCAAGTAGGTCACTCTACTTGTAATGGATTGTTCAATGCCCACTCACAAAATTAAGCACTATGAAGGTAAGGGCCCAAGTGTTTTATTCACATCTCTGTTCCAGGGCCTAGTACAGTGCTTGGCATGTAGTGAATGCTTAGTAAATATTATCTGGATGGACGGATGAGTGGGTGGATCTTAAAGGATCCTTTCAACCCTTTCGTCTGAGATTCAATAAAGGTAAATCCAAATAAAGCAGTAGTAATGTGTACAATCTTTTCAAATGTCCTGCAGTGACTGGAGAGTGAATTCTGCTGGTGGGAAGACGGAAATTAGAACAAAGGATTGTTTCTAAACAGAATGCCTGCACGCAGATATGAAGATGAGGGGAGTAAATGCCTTCAGCAAAATGAGGTCCTCATGATACTATACTGAACACTATTCATGCATCCATTCCTTAGAACTACTCTATCAAGTAGGTACTGTTTTTCATCTCTCCTCTGCAAGTGAGAAAAGTGAGGGACTGTGAGGTTAGGTAGCAAGTTCCAAGTCACAAGCCACGCTGGTGTTAGAGATGGGGCAGACCCCAGCCCTGGAAGCTGCACTGATTAAATTGCCTCTTTATTCATCTTAGATCCCCTTATGCTTTTCAGTCTCTAGGCACCAGTGATGGAATTGGGGATCACAGGAAAGAAAGGAAACACACAAAAAGAAAGAGGGTCTGGAGCTGGAGAAGAAAGCAGAGACCCCCAGTAGGCATCTGGGGCTCCAGGGAGAGTCTGAGTAACAGAGAAATCATAAGAGCGACACAATCTGAATATTAAGAAATCAAGGGTAAATGATCATTCCCTAGTATTCAAACTTGGAAATTGTCTTTTTCCATAGAGGAAGAGAATGGAAATATTGATTGCATTTATTTTCTCATGACACAAAAGGTAAATTAATCCTTTTAGAGCAGAAAACATGTTTTATTACATTCTGAGTAATTTCCTTTGAAAAAGCAAAACATTTTTTAGAGCCACTGGCGGTAAAACTAGATTTTCCCCCCACATCTTAGATGAGAATGTGTGTCATTATTCATGCATAATCTGATTCCAAGTGATTCCTTGTTTACAGTTTGTTTTTTGTATTTCCTTATGTAAGCAAGAATTAATACACTCAGACATGAAAGAAGTAAGTTAAATTATTTTTACTGCTTCTCTTTAGGACGTACAATATGTCTTCTTTAACTATCAATGACACGTAAAACAGTCAAAGAAAAGCACAAATAAATACCTATGGAAACAAAGACAAACATCCCAAGGAGAAGCTATGTGCTTTGGGGTCTTGCCTGGCCCGCCTTCCTCCCTGGCACCTCCTAGGTACCAGGGGACCTGGTCTTCCCCCTCCCTGACAACCATTGTGTGCCACCCCATCCTGGCTTGCCATCTCAGAGAACCTACTCCCAGCTGAGCTGGAAGCAAGATGAACATCCAGATGTGCATGCCTTTTGCACATCCTGGGGAGAGTGGCTCCTGGTGGGGAAAAGCCATAGCTATTCTCATTTCCAACCCAGAAAGCTGCCAACAACCTCTGGTGTGTGCAAATGATCTGAAGATGGTATTTGTGTGTTAATTTGTCAAAGAATTTCAAAGCCTGCCTGGGACTTTAAAAAGACTTGGTTATGGCTACATATTGGCTATTGTGAATAATGCTGCAATAAACATTGGGGCATTCATATCTCTCTTCAAGATCCTGATTGTAATTCTTTTGGATAAATAACCAGAATTAGGATCACTGAATCATATGGTAGTTCTATTTTGAATTAATTTTCATTTTTTGATACAGGGCCTTGCTCTATTGCCCAAGCTGGAGTGCAGTTACGCTATCCTGGCTCACTGCAACTTCCACCTCCAGGGCTCAAGTGATCCTCCCACCTCAGCCTCCCTAGTAGCTAGGACTACAGGTGTGCCCCACCATACGTGGCTAATTTTTGTATTTTTTTTTTTTTTTTTGGTAGAGATGGGGTTTTGCCATGTTGCTCAGGCTGGTCTTGAACTCCTGGGCTCAAGTGGTCTGCTCACCTTGGCCTCTCAAAGCACTGGGACCACAGGTGTGAGCCATTGCACACAGCCTATTTTTAATTTTTTTAGGAACCTCCATACTGTTTTCCATAGGGGCTGCCTCATTTTGCCTTCCTTCCAACAGTGAACAAGGATTTCTATTTCTCCACATTCTCACCAACACCTGCTGCCTTTTGTTTTTTTGGATAGCAGCCATCCTAACAGGTGCAAGGTGATATCACATTGTGGTTTTGATCTGCATTTCTCTGATAATTAGTGATGTTGAACATCCTTTCATAAACTTGTTGGCTATTTGTGTGTCTTCTTTGGAGAAATGTCTAGTCAAGTCTTTAGCCCACTTTTTAATTGGTTATTAGTTTTTTGCTATTGAATTGTAGGGGCTTCTTACATATTTTGAAAATGAAGTCCTTATCAACTATATGGTTCACAAATATTTTCTCCCATTCTGTAGACTGCCTTTTCACTCTGCTGATTATTTCTTCTGTGCAGAAGCTTTTAAGTTTGATATAGTCTCACTTGTCTATTTTTGTCTTTGTTGCCTATGCTTTTGGTGTTATTTCCATGAAATCATTGCCATAACCAATGTGATAAAGGTTTTTTCCTGTGTTTTCTTCTGAGAGTTTTACAGTTTTAGTCTTGCATATAAATTTCCATCAAGAGATGAATGAATAAGAAAATGTGACAAATATATATGACATATATATATATACATGACATATATATATACATGACATATATATATATACACACACACATACATACATACAATGGAATAGTATTCATCCCTTAAAAAGAAGGAAATCCTGCAATATGTATCAATATGGATAAACCTTGTGGACATTATACAAAGTGAAATTAGCCAGGCACATAAGGACAAATTTTGCATGCTTCCACTTACATAGGTATCTAAAATAGCCAAACTCATAGAATCAGAGAGTAGAAAGGTGGTTACCAGGGGCTAGAAGAGAGAGAGAAATGGGTTTGCTAATCATAGGGCATAAAATCTCAATTGTGCCAGATGAATGAGTGTCAGAGATCTGCTGTATAATATTGTGCCTATCATCAATGCTGAATTGTACACTTAAAAATGTGTTAAGAGGGTAGGTCTCCTGTTAAGTGATTTTATCAAAATTAAAATTTTATATATTAAAATCATAAATAAAAATAAAATATTATATAAGAAGCCTTGGTCAACATAAAGGATGTCTCAAGGTGCAAATCAGACTGAGACAAGCAAGGGACAGAGGACTTACATGTAAGGATGTGCTTACTCTCAAGTGGTAACCTGCACTGACTTGAGCCTGAAAGAGAGTGACTTCTTACCTCTCTTGCCTCATTCTAGTTTCAGTCTAAAGATACCTCTAAGTGTGTGACCTTAAATTCATTTTTATACTGCCTTTCCTGGAACTCTGTTCTTGGCAATCTGAGCAACTTACAGTTTGCTAACTTACATTTCCATAAACAGCTCTGTATATGTGACAACTGTTTAGAAATATGTTTCTACCTCTTTAATTCCTGTGTATGTGACATATAGCTCTTTTATGCCTTCATTATAAGAAAAACACAGAAGCCACTTTTTTTGCATTTAAAGCAGAGATGAAATAGGTAGCATATTTCTGATAGGGATGATCAACTGTGGCAGTAACAGGGCTGTAAAGTTTGACCTTATGAATCTGGAATACTATGGCCGCTGGGAAGTGGAGGCCTCCTGTATCACTGGGTCTGTCTTGTCATCCCGTCACCCCCCCGAACTCTCTTTGAAGAGATAAAGTGGCTTTATTTTCTCTCCAACTCAAATAAAGTGTATTCTTTGTCATCTGTTAGTAGGTCTTAGGCTCAGAGGATAGTTGGACCTTCCGCAGCCAGATACCATAGTGAAACTGACATGAAATATAACAGCAGCTTACTGAATCTTTACCAGGTGCCAGCCCCATTCTCAGCCATCACTTAAATCTTCTGCCCAGTACCAATCTTGGAACCAGGCAAGACGGGCTCCTGCTTTGGTCCCTGTGTGCATGTGTGTGCATACATTTTCCATGAGCTCTGCCTTGGCTCTTTGCTGGCTGTGCCTTTCCCCCTGGGGATGAAACTCTGGGGCTAAAGGCATATATTCACCTGTAACTCACATCTCCTCTTCTAGTCCACACTCAGGGTGTCCAGGACCTCGGAATTTCCTGTCTGTGGCTGCACACACCTCTCTCCTAGGTCTGTCCTCTCAAAGGAGGATGGCACTGCCGGTGTATGTCCCCATATCCAAGAGGTGGACAACTGGGGTGGGGTGGGTATCAGAGTGGAGGGGTATCTGGAGTAGGGATAGGTAGATCATGCACTTGAGAACCCCTTTTGTGTTCTGCTTCTTCAGCCCTGCAGATGTCAGGAATGGGCCTGCTCACTACAACTCTGTGAGGTTTTCTTATTATTTATCTTCATTTTATAGAAAAAGAAACTGAAACATAGAAAAGTCCAGACATCTCCAAATGCACACATTGAGTGGGTCAGGGAGCCTGGATTTTTAACTCAGGCACCTGACTTCAGAGCCCCCAGCTTTATCCATGGTCCTGACAAGCAGCAGTCCCCCTTCTGAGATCACCACTACCTGGTGATGCCATGCTACAGTGTAACAGGGAGATCATGACAGCTACCCCAGAGGCAGCAGCAGCAGCAGCAGCAGCAGCAGCAGCCGCCGCCATGAGGGCTTCCTGGGAGCAGGCCCTGCATTGGGTGTTCTGATGCAGTGTGTTAGTCAGGGTCCTCCAGAGAAACAGAACCAATAGCATGCACGTGGTTTCTCATAAGGTACTGGCTCATGTGACTGTGGAGGCTGGGACCCAGGAAAGCTGATGGTGTCATTGGAAGGCCTGAGAGCCAGAGGGCTGATGGTACAAATGGTATAGATTCCAGTCCAGGTGTAAAGCCCTGAGAACCAAAAGTGCTGAGGGCAGGAGAAGATTGATGTCCTAGCTCAAGCAGTCAGGCCAAGCAATCCCTTCCTTGCGTTTTTGTTCTATTTAGGACCTCAGAGGATTGGATGATGCCCACCCACACTGGGGAAGGCCATTTGCTTTGCCCAGTCCACCAATTAAAATACCAGTCTTTTCCAGAATTACCCGCACAGACATGCCCAGACATAATATCTAATCAGCTCTTGGGACATCCCATGGCCCAGTCAAGATGGCGCGTAAAGTTAACCATCACAACAAGTCAGAACAACCTCAGCCTGGAGGCAGAGTCCTGGAGAGGTCCTTTCGGGTCAGGTGTTACTCACTTAGTCACTGGATTGCAGATGGATCCTGGGGGTCAGTGGGGGCCTGATCAGTGGCTGAAAAGATCAGAGGGCATGAGGGCACTTAGTGACTTCACTAAGCCTGGACCTTTAACCAATATTAAACAATGGGATGAACTGAGAATGTTTCCCTAAACCTGTGTTATCCAATAACATATCTACTAGACTCAACTGGCTATTTAAATTTAAATTGAGTAAAATTAAATCAAATTAAAATATAGCTCCCCAGTCACACTTGCCACATTCCATGTGCTCAATAGCCACACGTGGCTGGCAGATACCCTATCAGAAACACAGAACAGTTCCATCACTGCAAAAAGTTCCACTGGACAATTTTTGAGTAGCCTTTGCCACTATTATTGATTTTGAAAGGACACATTTCCAACCTGTATTGGTCCGTTCTCACACTGTTATAAAGAACAACTTGAGATTGGGTAATTTATGAAGAAAGGAGGTTTAATTGGCTCACAGTTCCACAGGCTGTAAAGGAAGCATGGTTGGGGAGGCCTCAGGAAATTTACAATCCTGGCAGAAGGGCAAAGGGGAAGCAACCACCTTTTTCACATGATGGAGCAAGAGGAAGAGAGAGCAAAGGGGAAACTGCTACACAGTTACAAACAACCAGATCTCTCCTGAGAACTCTATCATGAGCCAGTACTAGCGGGATGGTGCTAAACCATTAGAAACCCCTGCCATGATCTAATCACCTCCTACCAGGCCCCACCTCCAACACTGGGGGATTACAATTAGACATGAGACTTGGGTAGGGACACAGAGCCAAACCATATCACAACATTTTTGCCTTATTTCCAAGTGTCAAATAATTTTTATACTGATAGGCCAAAACCGGTTAGGAAGTGTTTGAGGCAGCAGGTTAAATTGTGCTCTTGACTTTTAAGACCTTTAATATGCTCATGTGCATTTTCACTATCCAAGAGGGAACTAGAGAAGGCAATGTTTTCCAACTTATTTGGGCTAGATTATCTTAATTTTTTCCATATGTATTGGGTCTGATGTTCCATCTATAAGGTGCTCCATCCAAGTAGGAAATGTTTCTTTAGAGGATGAATGTGAAGCCAAACTTGTTGGGACTCTTTTTCCTGGAAAATCAATTGCCACGTAAGAATTCAGGATACTCTGAGACCTGCATGCTGGAGAGCCCTGTCCAAAGCATCAGACACAGGGGAAGCTACCTTGGTCCCTTCAGACGAGACCAGCCATTCATTGAATACTTCTGTGTGACAACAGTTGATGCCCAGAGGGATTGACCAGCCATACACTGCCCCAACTTCTGACTTAAAGAATCCAGGAGATATCATAAAGTGGTGTTGCTTAAGCCACTAAATTTTGAGGAGTTTCTTATGTGGCAGTAGTATCCAGGACAGAATTTCTCCACCAAGAAACTAAAAGTGTTAAGAAATCAGTCACTTACCCTTAGCTTACAGCTTCTTTTCAGTCCTCAAAAGAAAAATAAAGTAAAACAAAAGATGCCAGACATTGATTATTACAAAAAGGGAGCTGGACTAAGATATTTAAGGGCAAAGAAAGCTAAAGGCAAATTCTGATTATGTTAGTTATCCATGCTGCATATCAAATTACCCCAAAATGTATTGGCTTAAAGGGACTGGATAATCTTACAGTTTCTGTAGGTCAGGAATCTGGGTGAGCGTAAGTTATCTTCTGGCTCGGGGTCTTTATAAAGCTGCTGTCAAAGTGTAAGTTGAGGCTGCAGTCATCTCCAGCCTCCACAGGGGAAGAACCCACTTCTAAGCTCACTCATGTGGCTTTTGGCAGAATTCATGGACTGAGGCCTCAGTCCTTCCCTAGCTGTTAGCTGGAGGGCACCTTGGTTCCTAGCCATGCAAACCTCTCTATAGGGAAACTCCCAACATGACAACTGGCTTCAACAGAGCAACTGAGAGGCCAAAAGAAGGTGAGTGTATTAGTCCGTTCTCACAATGCTATGAAAAAATATCTGAGACTAGGTAATTTATAAAGGAAAGAGGTTTAATTGACTCACAGTTCCGCAGGGCTGAGGAGGCCTCGGGAAACTTACAATCATGGCAGAAGGGGAAGCAAACAATTCCTTCTTCACATGGTAGCAGGAAGGAGAAGAATGAGTGCCAAACAAAGGGAGAAGCCCCTTATAAAACTATCACACCTCATAAGAAGTAATTCACTATCACAAAAGCAGGATGGGGGAACCACCCCTGTTATTCAATTATCTCCACCTTGTCCCTCCCATGGCATGTAGAGATTATGGGAACTATAATTAAAGATGAGATTTGGATGGAGACATAGACAAACCATATCAGTAAGCAAAACAGAAATTGCCATCTTTTGTAACCCACCCTCCGAAACAACATCTTACCACTTCTGCGATATTCTATTTATTGTAAGCAAGTCACTAGGTTCAGCTCACATTCAAGGAAAGGGGCTTAAACAAGGGCATAATTAATAGGAGGTGGGGACCACTGCCATCAAAGAACCTGCCTACTCTACACTGACATTTTGTTAATGGGAGTCAGGTTGCAGTTACCTGATGGTTAGCAAGGTTCTTGCACTGACATGGAAAAAGCAGTGACAACATCGTATTATATAGGATATGACCATTACAAATGGAATACAACAACTCATATCTGCTTTCCCAACATATCTGCCTTCAACCCCTATTCCCCCCATTGCCCTTCTTGCTTGTGGATCTTTGCCAAGTTCATGCAGCATTGTGGTCTAAGGTATGGAAATCTCAAGCTAGACTTTCCATGTGGTAGCTTCTAGTAGTTCTGCTTTCTTGGAAAACCCCACGTGTTCTTTTGATCCTTCTGCCTTTGCTCTGTGTTCATTACTGACCTAAAGAGCATAAAGTTAAATTCATCTTATCTTAGCAGCTGTTGTATTTCTCCTCCCAGAACATGGGAAGCACAGTAAGATAATCCTTCCAGCCCAGCAGAAAGAGAAGATTCAACATGCACACTGCGGTGAGGATAAATAAACTCACCTGTCATATATATTAGCTAAGGTTATAAGGTTCCAAGGTATCACAAGAAAAGCTTCTTAGATTGTAAAGTGAATGTACTAAGGTGCAAAATTAATAATATGCTCAAAATTAGCCCCTGAAAAATTTTCTTAACTTCCACATAAAGTACAGAATACATTTTGTATGCACCCTGCAGGTTATCGAAAAATTTATCACCTGGGCTTTTCTTTGTCCTGCATTGGAAAAGATCATCATTTCTTTGACTGAGGCACAGATGAAGCAGTTGCCTTGGTTTACTGCCATTGTTTTATCAAAATATTCTTATTTAGTTATGTATCACCCAGCAGGTTTATGAGAGTTTATACAAGTTGAAAGAGTGTATTTGGTTTACTGTCTATGTGTTTTGTTTGTTTGTTTTATCAATAAAACAAAGAAAACAAGGAGAAGAAGTAGTGTGGACTCAGAAAATCTAGTAATAATGTGGCTCAGTGGTTAGTTACCTTATTCTGTAAAGAAACAGTAAATAATTTAGGCTTTGCAGGCCATACTTCTTCTGTTGCAATACTTCAACTCTGCCTTGGATCATGAAAGCAAACAAACCTAAATAATGGTCATAGCTGTGTTCTAATAAAGCTTAATTTGCAAAAAAAAATGTGGTGGGTCAAACTTGGACTATGGGTCATGGTTTGCCAAACTTTGGCATAGTTAGTTGAGTGATTACTTGTCTGGTTTACTTTGCATTAAGTCTCTAAAATCATCCATCCTTCCATTTACTCACCCATTCATGCAGCCAATTAGCTAGGCACCCATTCATCTATCCATCTATCTACACATCCATCCACACATCCACCCATTCATTCATCCATTTACCCATCCATCCTCTATCCATTCATCTATCCATCCATCCATCCATCCATCCACCCATCCATCCAGCCACTTATCTAGGCATCTATCCATTCATCCATCCACCTATTTATCCGTTGAGTCAACTGGCCATCCATCCATTCATTTATTGATTCAACACATGTTTATTGAGGGCCTGCAGTACACAGGAAGCACAGACATCAATAGTAGGTGGAATATTATTCTTTTTATGCTGAGCCAAGAGGACACACGGTAATTATGGCTCTATACCGCAACTGTCACTGAGATTAGTGAAGCTGAGGCAAGTCCCCAAAGTCAGGACATTTGCCCTTTCACATCCAATTGCCTTTTACACCCACCTTCATTCCAAGCTGTCTCTTTTACTTCTTAATTCCTCCTTGAGCTGCAAGAACAAAAAACAAACAAATAAGCACATCTCCTTAACGTTAGAGCTGCAATGTAAAATCCCTTTGCCCAGGCAAGGTATGGAGTGGTGAGATAAACAGACCCTTTGAAAGGTGCCCTTGTGTCTCCTTTGCAACCTACAGAACTTCTCATCCTTTCAAATTCTGATAGAAGTAAGAGTTTCTGTTTAGTTCTTTCTATTGTATACTTAGCCATATTTGTAAGACCTTTTTGTTGATCCCAAACCCTTTAAGTGTTGTCGCTGTTACCTCTGGGAACAAGTAAAGAGCCTCCACTAACCCCAGAGACATTTCTGAAATTATTTAATCCTGAAAAATTTCTAAAATTTACCTCAGGCCTGCAAAAATTACACAAATGGCTAATGACTAGCGCCCAATGCTATGCCAAAGATGTGACATTGCCCCCCCCCCCAAAATACAGAATAAATGATAAGGGGATGAACATGAAATATCTGGGTTAATTTCTGATGTGGTGAGACAAATTGACACATGCATGTGACGATCTTTACATAATGAAAGATCTTTCTGTGAGATCTGCCGTTTCTCTCCTGCTAACACTTCTTCTAGGAGTTAAGATAATAAGAGTCACTGCTTGAAGGGGCTTGGGTTTGCCACCAGGTTGCAACATTGGCTCCAGCCATGAGGTGGCCTCTCTTCAATTGCTGGCTGGGCCTTCTGATGTGTGCAAAGAGCTTCGAAGTCCCTTTGGTTTGAACAGGTGCTGAAAGCTGGGGAAAGCCAAAATATTTTTTTCTTTCTGGGTCATGAACTGTTTGCTGTTGGAAACATCTGTATGGACAGGCGTATGGGCTAAACAAAACAGAAGCGCAATGAACGATGATACCAGTCTTTGCTAGGGAGCCCCCTGAGGACCCCAATAAAGTTCACTTTTTAAGCACGAGCTGTGCACAGCGACAGGCAATGAATTATCCACGTTGGTTAAAAGGCCAAGGTCACCTCATAACAACGTTGCCCATATTCTGCAGTTAAGTCAGGCCTGTCCCCAAATATTATTTGGGGAAGATGTGTGTGTGTATATGTGTGTGTGTGTATGCATGCATGTGTGTGTGAGCATGCATGCATGTGTGTGTGAGCATGTTCAGAGTCAAGCGATGATGTAGGCCCGCTTTCAGTAGCAAAAATCACCATAATTAGAGGAAATGCTACAAGTTCATTTCCGCAAAAAAGAGCAAGTGAGGGAGAAGGAGCTTAAAGACTAGATGTTTAGACAGGCCTGCAAGCCCCCTTGTGACCTTGCTCTGATATTTAACAAAACATTAATCTTCTTGCCAGCAATTATAAAGGATACAGTGATGTCGCTGGCTCTCGGAGAGTGAGTAATAGTAATTCCATTGTTCCCCTTTATTTATGCCTTGGCTGTACCAGGCAGATGAGGTAGGTTGGGGCTTTGATATGTTATTATTCCGCACTGGCAATACATAAAGGATGATTACACAAATATCTGTCTGTTTCGGAGGCACTGTTTCACACCTCCTTACAACTCCAGATCAAAGCGTTTCAACATTTTATTATGAAATCATGGAAATCCTCCTCTAGTTTGCATATGAATTGTAGCCTTTTTTAAAACTGCCTATGTACCCCAGTGACAGTGGCTTTTGAACCGCAAAAGGGAACAAGGTGTTAGATATTTATTCCTTGAAGGCTGTGCTAGCCGGATAATCTTGCCGAATGCTTTTCGCCAGGGTACTGTCCAAGATCCAGCAAACACAAAAGCTTGCAGGTGGGGGGACCCTCCATGTCACGCAGAGGCCAACGATTTCTCCTTCTCTTGTCAGGAAACAAAATGTGGTGTGAAAGCTTCCCTGTGGGAGAGAAGAAGAAAGAAAAGTTTATGCACCTTGCAATTTCAAGCTAAACAAAAAAAAAAAGCCATCTTTGCCTTCCTAAAATAAAATAAAATCCTTACCCAGTGGTTGGAGTGGTGGCTGTGTTTACTATAGGTGATGGCCTCTGAGGTGTCACTCAGATTTTTGCCCACATTGACTTGGCAAAAACAGAGGAGAATCAGTGGCTTCTTTTGTGGGATTCGCATATAAACTGAGTATCTCCCTTTTTAGTTGACCTCCTTCTCTGGGGACAATTAATAATCTCCCTTGGAGTGTGGAGGGTGAGAGGGAAGTTGCCTGACAATTTTGATGTTTCCAGCATATATATGTGCCCCGGGGTGTTGCTTCTTTTACAGGGGTTTTTGTTTCTTATGTGGATCTATAAGGAGTACACAGACTGCAAGAAATCAAAGCCATTTTAGTGAAGGAAGCTTTATTTGGGATGGGAAAGGTCCATTTGTAGTTACAGAAGATAGAGTTTGAACTTGAGATTCTCTGGCCTTATGGATGGGCCTCTGGCTTTGATTAGCACCTGTGGGCTGGGCGCCTCTCAGAGACCATAAAGGTGACCTGTCTTATGAAACGTGGAGGGCGAGGAGGTGCTTCATGGAGGACAGAGAGGAAGAAAGAGAAGCAAAATCATGTTCCTTTTCTGAGGGAGTCAAACAAAGTGTTATTCTACATGGAATGGATTCCAAACCTCAGCCCATCCCTGGTCGTGTGCAGGGAAATGGACACTGACCATATAGGAGACAGCTGACCCTGTGACTGAAAAATCAACCTCCCTGTTTTTGTAGAGTTGCGTGTGGTGTAGATGGCAAAGTGAGGAATTGCCAATGTTTCCTGCAAAGGAAGGTGTATCTGCAGGCCTGATTGTGCCTCTTGCTGGCTTTCATTCAAGGATACTTCAAATTTTGTTAGGACATACTATTCTTACAATAAAATATTTGTCTTCGTCTCAATTAAGAGCACCCTGAAATGTATACCATTATACATAAATAGCTTATGGAGTGACTTATAGTTTACCCCGTTTGGCTTAAAACCAGCAGGGATCTATCAAGATCACAAATCCTACCCTAACTTTGAAGCCTGTCCTGGTACCCACACCCCGCTACTTACAGACAATGTGATAGTTGACACCGTACTTAACTTCCACCATCCTACCTGCCTGTCTCTATTACTCATAGCCAGCAGGAAACCTTTGCTCATGGTCTGACCTCTCCAACTATCAGACCCCGTCTCTCCTCTCAGACCTTCTGACCTTCAGACCTGTTGACTCATGCCACTTCCCTCTACTCAGAGGGGCAAATAGTTTTATTTTATAAAGTAGCTTTAAATGATTGGTAATGTCTACCAGGAATACTGTGTTGAGAAGGATTATGAAGCTTAGACTGGACTAGGGGGTGATGGAGAAGAGCAGCTTGATTGATTGGTGATGATTGATTAGTGAGGATTGATTAGTGATGGCTGATTAAGGATGATTGATTAGTGATGGCTGCCATAGTCATAGAGGAGAAAAGCAAGCAACTGTGCTGAGCCTACAGAAGTCACAATGTCTGAGCCTGCTGGGCTGCCCACATTTCCCCTTTCTCCCTCCAAATGCTACCATCCTCCCAAATCCATAGGGGAAAAGGCCACCCTTAAGAATTTGCACCTAGAATACTGAAATGATTAATGATGTGTTCACAAATTGTTTGCATAAGGAATACTTTCTTCTTGTCATCCTGAGAAAACATGATATTGGTCTTCTAACAAAACTTGGAAAGTTAACTTGAGAGAAACCTTTTAGTTGCTCTACAACAGCCTCCTCATCAAGTAAATGTATTTCAGCATCAGGGATTAAAAAAAAAAAGTCTACTTTTGCAGGTCATCTTTTGGGATTCGTTAGGATTTGTTAGGTCACCTTTTGGAATTTGAGCATTTGTTAGAAAACAAATTCTCACCGCGAATCCTTGTGTCCTGCCCCCCCTATATACTTTAAGATATAAAAGAAGCATCAGAAATGGCCCTTCTTATAAAGAACCTGCTAAGATGTGAAAGGGCCAAGAAAGAGGATGAAGGAGAATGGTGAAAATGGCCATAGGGTGAATATTTCTGACAATAGCACTGTGAATAATAATAATTGTAACAGCACTAGCACACAGTTTGAAGGCTGTCTATGTTGCAAGTATTGCCCTTTATAGACATTTAATCCTATGGCAATCATATGAAATAGATAGTCTTACTGTAATGGTATCTTTCTTTACAGATGAGGAAATAGAGGCACCAGGAAGTCAAGATAAGGGCAGGGTTAAGACCAAGATGATTGTCCACATTGCTGGAACTTTTTTTGCATTTGGCTCCTGGGAAAATAGACTCCAAAAATTTACTTGGGTCTTTATTTAGCAAGAAATAGTATTGGTATTAAGATAGAATATTTAGATTTCCAAGAAAAAAACCAGAGTCAGAATAATCTTTTCCCTTGTAAATAAAAGAGAGAGAGAGAGAGAGAAGGAGTGAAGGGGTAACATTCCTCGGTGTGAAAAGCATAAAAGTGTCCCAGCGCTGGGCTGGCCTCCTGCTGCTGGGATGTCCCCCACCCCTGCGTTCTCCTTTCGGCCCAGCAGCCCAGCTGACATGTGATGGAGGCTCACAAAGGGAAGAATTCCACAGGCTGGGCTCTGAGCTTGTCCATAATTTGTTACATTGTTCCCCCACTTTGCTGCACGTATGAGATATGCAAGACCCCCGACAGCTCTGAGACCACTGCGGTGGCTGGGCACAATGGGGGGGCTCTGAAGCTGAATTGTGGCCATAACCTGGAGTTCCTTTGCCTTTGTGACTGCCAATAGGATGCTTTAAGTCATTGGGGTGGGCCTTTGTGAGTGCGATTACAAACCAGGAGAGGAAGGGTGAGGAAGCAGGGCTATCTGTGCACGCACGTGCAACAGTTACTAAGCTCGTGTTTCTGGGGCAGGCGGAATAGGAGCTGGGTGTTTATAACATGGTCATTCTCCTTTACAGAATCCTCTGTGAGCCGAGCTGCTAACCACTATGACAGGACTTTGTTTGGGGAGCGTGTTAAGTTAGCTTGGCTGTTTCCACCTGCTGCTCAGACCCACTGGTGACATCATGCTCGCAGGCTCACTGGCAGGCTGGAGGATTCTAGTTTCATGTCCAAAGAACAAGCAAAAATGGAGCCGATCCATGTGGGAATGGTGCCCACATCTGAGGCCTCAGTCACATGTGTCCTGAGAGCTCTGGTCAGTGTTCCCGCAGTCCATGTCCCAGATGGCCCTCTTTTGAGACTGACCCATGCCCCGGAGCCAGAGCTCTGGTTCCCTGGCAACCGTCCCTCCCTGCCTCTCCTCACCTCCCACCCTGTCCTTCTGTAGACACCTGCAGCTGGGCTGCAGCAGGCATGTAGCCATTTGGAGACTCAGTTTCCTTATCTTTAAAATGGGGGGAGCCTACAGCTCCCTAAAATTTAGGAGGAGAGGGCTAGGCCCAATCATTTCACACACTTGCTTTGTATCTCTCTGCTGCTTCCCTGTCCATTTAAAAAATTATAAAGCAGGTATTACATATTGTATACATGCAGTACCTCTGTAGGTGCTGAAGCATAATAAAAGGAAAAAAAATCATGCACTTGCCACTCAAATTAAGAAATAGAACATCGCCAATATGGTAGTGTTTTCTGTATGTTTCTCTTCTATCTCATTCCACTCTCATAAAATATGGGTCAGGTTCAGTGGCTCATGCCTGTAATCCCAGCACTTTGGGAGGCCAAGGCAGGTGAATCACTTGAGTCCAGGAGTTCAAGACCAGCCTGGCCAACATGGTGAAACCCTGTCTCTACTAAAAATACAAAAATCAGCCAGGTGTGGTGGCACACGCCTGTAGTCCCAGTTACTTGGGGGGCTGAGGCAGGAGAATCACTTAAACTAAGGAGGTGGAGGTGAGCTGAGTGCAGTGAACTGAGATTACACAACTGCACTCCAGCTTGGGCAACAGAGTGAGACTCTATCTCAAAAAAAATAATCAAAATATGTACATCCCTTCAGACACACACACACACACACACACTTAAAAATAAATAGAGATCATTTTAAATGTTGGGAAAGTTCAGGCCCATATGAAAGTAGAGAAAATATTTGATGGGTTCCCAAGTGTTCATCACCCAGCTTCAGCAGCTGGTAACTCCTGGCCACGTTTGTTTCATGCCTACTCTCCTACTTTCTTCCCCTTCATATTATTGTGAGACCAATCTCTTATGTCACTTCATTTCTTCTAATTTTGAAAAATAAATATTTTCTTTCTTTTTCTTTTTTTTTGAGACAGTCTCCCTCTGTTGTCTAGGCTGGAGTGCAGCAGCGTGAACATGGCTCACTACAGCATCGAACTCTCTGGCTCAAGTGATCCTCCCACCTCAGCCCCCTGAGTAGCTGGGACCATAGTTGCATGCCACCATGCCTAGCTATTTTATTTTTTATTTTTTTTGTGGCCTTCGTTGCCCAGGTGGGTCTTGAACTCCTGGGCTCCAGAGATCCTCTTGTCTCAGTCTCCCAAAGTGCTGGGATTACAGGTGTGAGACACTGTGCTCAGACTTGCTTTTCTTTATAGTTTTACTGCATGTGTATATATTTCAAAATTTATATATTTTTAGTTTTCCTTCTCTGTGTATTTTATAAAAGCAGGATTATTTCGTGTGTTTTCTTCTGCAATTTTTTAAAATTCAATTTTATGTCTGGAGTTCATCCTCCTTGGCATGTGTACCTGTAGCTTATTCACTCCTGCTACAGAGTAATATTTCATTTTATGAGCATTCATCATTTATTTAACCATCTGTGTATAGGCATTTAGATGAGTTCCCGTTTAAGCAATTTTAAACAAAGCTGTTGCAAATATTGATAGACATGTCCTGTGGATCATACATGCAACAATTTCTCTAAGTAGAGACCAAGAGATAAATTTTTAGGTCTTATCATATGACCCTTTCTAACTTTATACAATGATGCTAAATTGTGTTACTGAAGTAGTTATTTTAACATATAGTCCCATGCTGATATTTGAGTTCCTGCTGCTTTACATCCTCACCAAAACTTGACATTGCCAGATTTTATTAACATTTTGCCAATCTAGTGGTACAAAAATGAGTGATTTTCATGATGCTGATCATTTATCTTTCCCTTTTTCCCACTAGGGTTGAGCACTCATGGTAAACTTCTCTAGTTTTCAATCACATTTCCTTCTTGGTGAAGTTTCTATTTGTGTCACTTTGTCTTTTGCCAATTTTCTATTGAATTATTTTTATTTTATTTAATTAATTAATTTATTTATTTATTTTGAGACAGAGTCTCATACTGTTGCCAGGCTGGAGTGCAGTGGCATGATCTCGGCTCACTGCAACCTCCGCCTCCCGGGTTCAAGTGATTCTCCTGCCTCAGCCTCCTGAGTAGCTGGGATTACAGGTGAGTGCCACCACGCCCAGCTAATTTTTGTATTTTTAGTAGAGATGAGGTTTCACCATGTTGGCCACGATGGTTTCAATCTCTTGACCTCCTGATCTGCCCACCTCGGGCCTCCCAAAGTGCTGGGATTACAGGCGTAAGCCACCACTCCTGGCTGAATTATTTTTTAATATCTTAATTTTCAAGAGATCTGTAAGTATTCAAATAATTAAACTTTTATTGACTGATTATTGATTGATTGTCTGGAAATTATATTCTCCCAGTTTGTGGATTTTTTTTAACTCTTTTTTTTCTGATGAATGGGATTTCTTAATTTTAATGTAGTCAAGTTTGTTAATCTTTTACTCTGTAGTTATTTACTATTACCATTATTATTACTGGTCTTGCATAAGAAAATTGTTCCCACCCAGTAGTCATAAAGACATTTTTATGCATTTTCTCCAAAAAGCATTAATATTTTGCCTTTTATATTTAGCATGGTTAATCTGCCTGGGGATTTTGACATATAGTATGAGGCAGGGACCTAATTTTAATTTTTTTTTTCATGTAGGTAATGAATTTCCCCAGTCCAACTTATTGAATAATCATTGTCCTGAAGTAGTTAATGGATTTGAGTTACAGCTCGGCAAATTCCACAAAGAAAATAAAACAGCACAAGGTCCCCACAGAGCGACGGGAGGCAGGAAAGGGGAAGTCCATGCCACCAGAGGAATAGTTTCATTGAACGCTTGATCTTTGAGCCGAACTCAGAAGGAGCCACCCCTGTAAAGGTCTATAGGTAAAGATTTGCATGCACAGAAAACAGTGTGTGCAGAGACATGAGATGAGAATGAGCTTTGCAAATCTGAGGAACAGAAAGATTTGGAGGGAAGAATGTTGTGAGTGAAGAGAGCCTGGTGTAAGTTGAGTCAACGCTCAGAGATGGCATTTTACATAGAATATCATAGGCAATGAAAAAAATTGGGATTTTACACTAAGCATAGTGAAAAACATTTGGGAATTTTAATCAGGAGAATTGTGTGACTTAATTTATGTTTTTAAAAGATCACACGGGCTGGAAGGTGAAGAATGTACCATAAGGGCCAAAAGTGAAGAAAAAGTCCAAGCCAGAGAGGATGATGGTTAGGATGGGAAATTGAGGTGTGCTTCTGTGCATCAGCTCATCTGGCCAGCTCACACGCAGAGCACATTCCTGGGATCCCCAGAACTGGCCTTTTCTCTGCTTCTCCTGTGCTTTGATCACCAGTCCCTCTGCCTGGGAGTATCCTCCCTGAAACTGAACAGAATCCTGTCCATCCTTCAAGGCCTTGTTCACACGCTTGTTCTTCCCAGTAACCTCCTCCTTCTGAATGGAATAAATCTCTCCACCTTCTTGGCCTTGTTCTCATGTTCCTTCTCTGCCTGGTGGCTCTTTGCTCCTCCCACCTTGTTTTGGGGTTACTTATGTGCCTAAGTTCTAGTCTTTATCTTGTTGCCAGCAAGTTGAGTGACCATAGGCCAGTCTCTTTCTCTATCTGAGCCTCAGTTTCCCCATATCTAAACAAGCAGGTTTTGAGTAGATCTTCTCTGAGATCCTTTTCGGGCTGTAACACTCTGTATTACATATCTCCTGCCCCATTAGATTTAAGTATAGTGAGTTTAGGCAGCTTATTTTCATTTTTATCATTCTGTCCAGGCTCTTACTGAGTAAATATTGATTATTATTATAATGTATGTAATCATCATTTACCAATAAGCGTTCACTCTGAGCTCTAGATGATGTTTTATGTAGGTCGTAAAAAAGAAAAAAGGCAGAAATTTAAGAGTGTAGATTAGCATTCTGAGTTCCACTGCCTGCTTTGTTGAGTTTCTTCTCATGTATGGATTTGGGGTCCCTCCAGGATCTGATCATATGAGTGACTACAGACTTGCTTAACTCTCCTTTTTGGATGGTGGGAACAGGCATCTACATGAGGCTAGTATCTCTCTACCCAGATGTGTGCTGTTAAACTAACCTTGTCATTAGCTTGACTTGACAAGTGGCCTGGTGACTGGTTACTAATTATCTAGTCCTTTTTATATTGTTGTTACAGGCTGATTAAACTTGATGGGTTCTGGAGATGCCGAGGAAGAGAGGCAGCATCACCTACTTGCCTGGACTCTAGATGGGCAGCTGATCATCTTGGACAGACTGCTGGATGCTGTACCCAGGGTGGTCACTCCCAGACACCATAGAAAATGGTATGTGTCCTCCCTTCTCTCTGCAGGGGTCTCTGTGGGTCATGGAATGGCTTTCTTCGGTTCAGTATTTCATGGGCATCTGCATGTCTCTGCCAGTCTCACAGATACAAGCCATGATCTCTGCTTTCAGGAGCTTTCGAGAGAGAGGGTATTGGCCTGTGCCTAGAGCACTCTGATCTCAACTTGACAGGTGCCTCCACAGACATATACCAAGTTCTGTGTCAACACAGAGATCCACATGATGAAATCAGAGGTCTTTTCTGAAGAGGCAGCATAGAGAATGGCATTCCAGGGAGATGGAAGAGCACCTATACATATAAACACGTAAAGAATGTTTCTGACCAGGTACAGAGGCTCACACCTGTAATCCCATCACTTTGGAAATCTGAGGCAGGAGGATCACTTGAGTCCAGGAGTTTGAGAACAGCCTGAAAAACATGTCGAGAACCTGCCTCTACAAAGAAATGCAAAACATTAGCCAGACTTGGAGGCGTGCACCTGTAGTCCCAGCTACTTGGGAAGCTGAGACGGGAGAATCACCTGAGTCCAGGAAGTTGAGGCTATAGTGTGCCATGATAACACCACTGCACTCCACCCTGGATGACAGAGTAAGACCCTGTCTCAAAAAAAATAATAATCATAATAATGTTTTATACAAAGCAAGGACTTCAGTGAACCTAGAAGCATGAGGTGTGTTAGGGATGGGAGAGAGGCCAGAAAGTGTGAGTGATGCTCAGATTTGAAGCTTACCCAGTGGGCAGTGGTGACCCAGCCGAAATTTCTAGGCAGGGGGCTTTAGGGGCCTTAGTGTGGGTGGCAATGCCAAGGAGAGTCCTGGGAGAGGCTGGAGCAGGAAGATATCGTGGGAAATTTCAGGTGAGAAAGAACCAGGGCACGGGGGTTAAAATGAAAGGGGATAATTTGGGAGCCATTTAAAGGGAGGGCATAAGCAAGGCTTGTTGACCACTCCGATGAAAGAGAGGGAACTAAGGTTCAAGGTTGGGCAACTGGGTGAATAGAGATGCCAACTGAGACAGTGATCCTGCAACTCCCTGCCCAAGACCCCCCATGGCTTCCCATAGGCCTAGAATAGAAGCCAAATTCCTCACTGGGGCCTCCCCATTCCATCCTGATGTGGTCCCTGCTTTCAGGCCTCATCTCCTGCCAATGTTCCCCGGCAGGAGAACATTACCTTCAACCAAGGTTGACTCATTACCTTCAACCAAGGCCTCTCCAGTCTGTTTCTCTACCAATCAGGCTTCTTGCCACCTTCCAGATATTGCACCTGTAGATTTCTCTGTGGCAAATGCTCTGCCTGATCTTCACATGACTGACTCCTTGTCATGATTCAGGTCTGTTCTGGTCATTTCTTCAAACACGTTTTTCCTTCTCTGGCTCCCCCACCCCCATCTAATGTGCCCCAATGCTCTCTACTTACCCCTTTATTTTCTGCATAATGCTTATCACTATCTGAAAAGATTGTTTCTTCTTATTATACACACACTTATTTCCTATATTCCCATCTAGAAGTTATGCTCCATGAGAAGGGTCAGTATGTTGTGCAATTCCAAGGACACTAATCACAAAGAACACAATGCAATTGCTGCCTCCTGCATTGTATAATCTGGTAATCTTGTCTGTAAGAGCAGTGACCTCCTCTGTACTGTTCACCTCCATGGCCCCGTGCCTAGAATGGTACATGGCACATAGAAAGGCACTAAGGAAATATTTACTGGATGAATAGGGAAGACAGGAAGTAACACAGCTTTTGAGTTTTGCAGGAACAAAAAAATACAATTGAATTTTGTTTTGGGCATGCTGAGTTTGAATCGCCCAAACAACTTCCAGGTTGATATGTGTAGGAAGAGACGGAAGATATGAGTCCAAGAAAAGACATGTCAACCTATACATGAAGGCCTGACCTTCAGAAACATTCTCAGAGACCTAGAGTCTATTATTTCAAGTAAGAATGTAATTTTCATGGATGGGCGTTTATTTGTCACTTGTCTTAGGTGATTTTTCTTGCCTCATCCATCAGATATTCAATTACAGACTTCGCTTGAAACTTCTCAGTTTGGGAAGTTATGAGACACATTCAAGCGCGTTTGTAGATTATTAGGGAAGTAAGAGATAGTTACGGTGCTTTATGCTGGGGCATAGAGAGAGCAGTGACCCAGCTCTCTCACCCTCATTCTTTTAGTGACATTGCCAAAGTGAATCATAGATGGTCTGGACATTGGTCAAAAGAAAACTTTGTGTTTTTATGAGCTGCAAATACATAATGCCACCACTTTTATATCCTTTGTCCTATGCCCACACAAATCAATCTCAGGTATTTTTTTTAATTAGCTCATAGGAGCCTACAATTCCTCAACACATCACTTCAGGCAGATACAACTAATCTCTCAGAGTTGGCACTGGGATTGAAACCTACTAGTTATACTTGTCACATAATGAGACTTACTTCTAGTTTCTACTTAGAAAAGCACAGAAATATTAACAACATCAATGAAACTTCCTCTCTGGTGGGTCTTGCACCACTCAGCCTGTCTATCAACTGAGAAAACTCTTTTCTCTCAGAAATGGCTCAAGCATAGTCCTGCCTAAGAGTGGGAGAACAGACATGACAAGATCCTTTCCAATCCTGGGATCCGTTGATACTAAATTGGAAGATAGGGAGAAGCAAGGACTGCAAATACAGAAATCAAGCATGAGTAGAGACTGGGAAAAGTTTACTCTCTCATTTCATAAATATTTATTGAGAATTTACTATGGGTCAGACACTTCCAGGCATTGAGAATACAGCAGTGGGCGAGACAAGAACACAGGCCCAACATTGTATTCATGAAACTTGATTTTTAGTTTTGGGAAAAATATGCATACATGCACATGTATATTATGTGCATGTGTATACATACATACGTACATGTATGTACATATACGTGTCTGTGTATATACACATATAACAAGGCCACAATGTCAAGCAGGGATTATTGACATAAAACTAGAAATAAGATAGAGGGATGTAAGGGGTGACAATATTAAATCAAGTGGTCAGGGACCGGGTGTGGTGGCTCATGCCTGCAATCTCAACACTTCAGGAGGCTGAGGCAGGAGGATCGTTTGAGCCCATGAGTTTGAGACCAGCCTGGGCAACATAGTGAGACCTCATCTCTACAAAAATAAACTTGGGTCAATAAATCAATAAATCAGGTGGTCAGAGAAGGCCTCACAGAGGCGGCACTGAGTGAGATCTAAATGACAGAAAGAAATGAGCAGTGCAGGCTCTCGGTTCAGTACATCCTGGCAGGTGGAACAGCAAGCACAAAGGTCTTGAGGCAGGATGGAGCTGCTGGGTCTGAAGAACTGGGGAGAAGCCAGTGTGGCCACCAGGTTAGGCAAAGGAAAGTCAGTGATGTGGCAGGGGCCAGATTACTTGGAGCTTCATAGACCACAGTAAGGAGTTGGGATGTGATTCTAATTGTGATAAGAAACCCTCAGAAGTTCTAGGCAATGCAGAAATAGGATTTTGTTTTTGTTTTTTTAAAGATCTTCATGGCTGCTGTATGGAATGTTGATCACAAAAGAGCGAGGATGGAAGGGGAATGTCCAGGTAGGGGAGGAAAAGAACGTTTGCCATAGGAAAATGTTCCAAGTCTTTCAGACTGCTCTAACTGTATCCATATACCATGGAGGGGTGGCTGTGGTCCCGCTGCCTGCCTGTGTGCTCTCACCACAGTTGCCTGTGTGCTCTGTTTTGTGTGTTTGGCTTCCAGGTCTGCTGCATTTGACTCTTTGTTGTCAGTGTAGTAGGTGGCTTTTTGTGATTTCTGGGAGTGTGGCTCCCCGTTCATATTTTATCTTGATTTTGGCCAGTCTTCTCTTATGGTTAATGTAACATTAATGTTCTTATTTGCTGTGATAAATTGGGTCTTTTGCTTATACCAGTAGAAAAAGCCTTCAGGTCTCAAGTGGAATCACGCCATTACCCCAATTCTTTGTCCCCAGAGAGTTCAGTGATATTAAGTCCCCACCCAAACCTCATCTTGAATTGTAATCCCCATGTGTTGAGGGAGGGAAGTGATTGGATTATGGGGGTGGTCTCCCCATGCTGTTCTCATGATAGTGAGTGAATTCTCAGGGTATCTGATGGTTTTATAAAAGGTAGTATTTCTAGCACTCTCACATGCTCTTCTCTCTCCTGCCGCCATGTGAAGAAGGTTCTTGCTGCCCCTTTGCCTTCCATCATGATTGTAAATTTCCTGAGGCCTCCCCAACCATGTGGAACTGTGAGTCAATTAAACCTGTTTTCTTTATAAATTACACAGTCTTGGGTATGTATTTACAGCGTGTGAAAATGGACTAATACATTCAGCAAGACTTGTTCAGTCTGAATAGTGTGTTTTTAGCTATGAATGTTTGATAACAGTGGCTACTTTTTGTGTGGCACTGTACAAGTTGCCATAAAAATCTGTGTATATTTTGCAAGTATCATATCATTGGGTCCCCAGGTAGATGGAAAAGTTGTTAATATTATCCCATTTGACGGATGAAGAAACAGATTCAGAGAGGTTAGACAGATTTTTTAGAAATGCTTTGTACGTGATTAATTATTGCTCTTAATTTTAAGCTTTTCTTCTTAAGTATTCAGATTTTTACAAATAATAATTTTTCAAATATTCATTATCTGTTATCTCCTGAGGACAGTTCCGTAGCATAAGTTACAACTTCCTCTGTGGGCTGTGTTTATATAGAGACCAATATTCTCCTTAAGTGCCTAAACTGTCTGCATAAATTTCCAAACACAATGCACTCCCATATGTGCCATTCACTGTGCTGAGAGCTGCAGGAACGATATCAATGAATGAGCCACACCTTCTGCCCTTAAAGAACAAGCAACTGGTGGCAGGGAATTGGGATGATTCTCCAGTGGTCAACACTGCCTGTTAATAGAAGCCCAACTCAAAGCAGTTTAGGAAAAATGGCAAAGTATTGGCTCATGTAACTGGAAGTCCTAAGGTGCCTCTGACTGAGCATGGCTGGACCCAAGGGGCTTAAATGATGTCAACAGGACTCCTTTTTGCTTCTCATCTTTCTCTAACTGTAACATCTTCTCTTCTATATACTGTCTTCATTTTCAGCTAGATTCTTCCCTCATAGTGGAAAAGATACTCCTCACAAATGTCAAGCATATGTCACAGCTAGGAACCAGCTAGGAACACAGGTCACACTTTCCTTTCTTCCAAAAAGAGTATTCCAGGGAAGTGCAAAGAATGATGGTAAATTCATCCAACACTAGTCACATGCCCATCCCTCAACCAAATACGTTATCCAGACACATAATAGACACTCAGTGATTGCAATGCCCTGTTGGAGTTAAGAAGACAGTAATGGTGCTTAAATAATATTAATATGTCCAGCATTGTATTTTACAAGCATCATGATATCTAGTGCTCATAACATTTTATGAGGTAGTATATCAGTCACTTTAGGCTAAGTTATGCTTCTGTAACAAACATTCCCAAATGTCAGTGGCTTATAACAACAGAAATTTATTTTTTGCTCACGTTAATGCTCATAACAGGTCAGCCTCAACTGTGCTCCATGTTATCATCATCTGGAAACCCAGGCTGAAGGAGAAGCCCCTATCTGAGGATTGGGTGTCTCCTGGGAGAGGGGAAAGATAAGATGACAGAACCACATGAGGCTCTTAAAACTTCTCCTTGGAAGTGGCACATCTCACTTTCACCAACATTTCATTGGCAAAAGCAAAAAATATAGCTAAGTATGAAATCTAATAGGCAAGAGTGTATCATCCTGTCAAGAAGGAGAACAAAAGTATTGAGGAATAACATGATCTCCCAAAGGCAGGAAATGTGATTATCCCATGCGTTTGTCTCCTAGGCCTGCCATAACAAATTACTGCAAACCAGCTGGCTCAGAGCAACAGCAGTTTATTCTTTCACTCTTCAGGAGTCAGAAATCAAGGTGTGGGGCCCTACTCTCTATAACTTTTTCTTTTGCCCTGTTCTAGCTTTCAGTGTTTGTTGGCAGACCTTGGCATTGCTTGGCTTGCAGCTGAATCATTCCAGTCTCTGCCTCCATCATCACCTGGCCTCCTCTCCTCTGCCTGTGTATTTTCTGGAAGTCTCCTCTCTGTATGTCTGGGTACAAAACTACCTCTTTTTTTTTTTTTTTTTTTTTTTTGAGATGGAGTTTTGCTCTGTTGCCCAGGCTGGAGTGCAGTGGCACGATCTTGGCTCACTGCAACCTCTGCCTCCCAGGTTCAAGCAATTCCCTGCCTCAGCCTCCCGAGTAGCTGGGATTACAGGCGCCCACCACCACGCCCAGTTAATTTTTTGTATTTTTAGTAGAGACGGGGTTTCACTGTCTTGGCCAGGCTGGTCTTGAACTCCTGACCTCTTGATCCACCTGCCTCGGCCTCCCAAAGTGCTGGGATTACAGGCGTGAGCCACCGCGCCCGGCCAAAACTACCTCTTTTTATAAGCATGTCATCATTGGGTTAAGATCTACCGTAATGCAGCATGACCTCATCTTAACTTGATTTCATCTACAAAGACCCTACTTTCAAATAAGGTCACATTCACAGATAGCTCATGTCAGGACTTGAACACATCTTTTGGAGGAACACAATTTAACCTGCAACATCCCATTTTTAAAATGAGGAAACTGAATCACAAAGCAGCTAAATACTTTGCTTGTGAACACACAACTTACCAGTGTGGGGCGATGTTAGAATCACACCTAAGTGGCTTGGCTCAGAGCCTGTGCTCCTAACCAGTCAAATATGCTAGATAAAAATTTCAGGCAGGGTTCTGTGGCTCATGCCTGGAATCCCAGCACTTGCAGAGGCCAAGGCATGTGGATCACTTGAGACCAGGAGTTCAAGACCAGCCTGGGCAACATAGTGAAACCCCGTCTTCACACATACACACACACACACACACACACACACTAGCCAGGAGTAGTGGTACACCTCTGTAGTCCCAGTTACTCAGGAGAGTGAGGTGGGAAGGTCACTTGAGCTCGGGAGTTTGAGGCTGCAGTTAGCTATGATCATCCCACTGCACCCTAGCCTGGGTGACAGAGCAAGACACTGTCTTAAAAAAAAAAAAAAAAAAACAAAACAAAATTCAGAATCTTGGGTTCTTCTTGGGTTCTTGTTTCAGCTATGCCTCTCACTAATTACAACCATGGAGAGGACCTCAGTGGTGATGTTTCTCAAATGGGCATGAATTACTGACCTTGTCTTTCAGGATTGCTCCAAGTTTAAAGCAACATGAGAGACTAGAAAGCCTTTAGAAAAAGTAAATACAAACTACCATCAGAGAATACTACAAACACCTCTACGCAAATAAACTAGAAAATCTAGAAGAAATGGATAAATTCCTCGACACATACACCCTCCCAAGACTAAACCAGGAAGAAGTTGAATCTCTGAATAGACCCATAACAGGCTCTGAAATTGTGGCAATAATCAATAGCTTACTAACCAAAAAGAGTCCAGGACCAGATGGATTCACAGCTGAATTCTACCAGAGGTACAAGGAGGAACTGGTACCATTCCTTCTGAAACTATTCCCATCAATAGAAAAAGAGGGAATCCTCCCTAACTCATTTTATGAGGCCAGCATCATCCTGATACCAAAGCCAGGCAGAGACACAACCAAAAAAGAGAATTTTAGACCAATATCCCTGATGAACATTAATGCAAAAGTCCTCAATAAAATACTGGCAAACGGAGTCCAGCAGCACATCAAAAAGCTTATCCACCATGATCAAGTGGGCTTCATCCCTGGGATGCAAGACTGGTTCAATATACGCAAATCAATAAATGTAATCCAGCATATAAACAGAACCAATGACAAAAATCACATGATTATCTCAATAGATGCAGAAAAGGCCTTTGACAGAATTCAACAACCTTTCATGCTAAAAACTCTCAATAAATTAGGTATTGATGGGACGTATTTCAAAATAATAAGAGCTATCTATGACAAACCCACAGCCAATATCATACGGAATGGGCAAAAACTGCAAGCATTCCCTTTGAAAACTGGCACAAGACAGGGATGCCCTCTCTCACCACTCCTATTCAACATAGTGTTGGAAGTTCTGGCCAGGGCAATTAGGCAGGAGAAAGAAATAAAGGGTATTCAATTAGGAAAAGAGGAAGTCAAATTGTCCCTGTTTGCAGACGACATGATTGTATATCTAGAAAACCCCATTGTCTCAGCCCAAAATCTCCTTAAGCTGAAAAGCAACTTCAGCAAAGTCTCAGGATACAAAATCAATGTGCAAAAATCACAAGCATTCTTATACATCAAGAAGAGACAAACAGAGAGCCAAATCATGAGTGAACTCCCATTCACAATTGCTTCAAAGAGAATAAAATACCTAGGAATCCAACTTACAAGGGATGTGAAGGACCTCTTCAAGTAGAACTACAAACCACTCCTCAATGAAATAAAAAAGGACACAAACAAATGGAAGAACATTCCATGCTCATGGATGGGAAGAATCAATATCGTGAAAATGGCCATACTGCCCAAGGTAATTTATAGATTCAATGCCATCCCCATCAAGCTACCAATGACTTTCTTCACAGAATTGGAAAAAACTACTTTAAAGTTCATATGGCACCAAAAAAGAGCCCGCATTGCCAAGTCAATCCTAAGCCAAAAGAACAAACCTGGAGGCATCACGCTACCTGACTTCAAACTATATTACAAGGCTTACAGTAAACAAAACAGTGTGGTACTGGTACCAAAACAGAGATATAGATCAATGGAACAGGACAGAGCCCTCAGAAATAACACCGCATATCTACAACTATCTGATCTTTGACAAACCTGAGAAAAACAAGCAATGGGGAAAGGATTCCCTATTTAATAAATGGTGCTGGGAAAACTGGCTAGCCATATGTAGAAAGCTGAAACTGGATCCTTTCCTTATACCTTATACAAAAATTAATTCAAGATGGATTAAAGACTTAAACGTTAGACCTAAAACCATAAAAACCCTAGAAGAAAACCTAGGCATTACCATTCAGGACATAGGCATGGGCAAGGACTTCATGTCTAAAACACCAAAAGCAATGGCAACAAAAGTCAAAATTGACAAATGGGATCTCATTAAACTAAAGAGCTTCTGCACAGCAAAAGAAACTACCATCAGAGTGAACAGGCAACCTACAGAATGGGAGAAAATTTTCACATCCTACTCATCTGACAAAGGGCTAATATCCAGGATCTACAATGAACTCAAACAAATTTACAAGAAAAAAACAAACAACCCCATCAAAAAGTGGGCAGAGGACATGAACAGACACTTCTCAAAAGAAGACATTTATGCAGCCAAAAAACACATGAAAAAATGCTCATCATCACTGGCCATCAGAGAAATGCAAATCAAAACCACAATGAGATACCATCTCACACCAGTTAGAATGGCAATCATTAAAAAGTCAGGAAACAACAGGTGCTGGAGAGGATGTGGAGAAATAGGAACACTTTTACACTGTTGGTGGGACTGTAAACTAGTTCGACCATTGTGGAAGTCAGTGTGGCGATTCCTCAGGGATCTAGAACTAGAAATACCATTTGACCCAGCCATCCCATTACTGGGTATATACCCAAAGGACTATAAATCATGCTGCTATAAAGACACATGCACATGTATGTTTATTGTGGCACTATTCACAATAGCAAAGACTTGGAACCAACCCAAATGTCCAACAATGATAGACTGGATTAAGAAAATGTGGCACATATACACCATGCAATACTATGCAGCCATAAAAAATGATGAGTTCATGTCCTTTGTAGGGACATGGATGAAATTGGAAATCATCATTCTCAGTAAACTATCGCAAGAACAAAAAACCAAACACTGCATATTCTCACTCATAGATGGGAATTGAACAATGAGAACACGTGGACACAGGAAGGAGAACATCACACTCTGGGGACTGTTGTGGGGTGGGGGGAGTGGGGAGGGATAGCTTTAGGAGATATACCTAATGCTAAATGTCGAGTTAATGGGTGCAGCACACCAGCATGGCACATATGTACATATGTAACTAGCCTGCACATTGTGCACATGTACCCTAAAACTTAAAGTATAATAATAATAAATAAAATAAAACACAGAAAAAAAAGATATTACATGGAAAAAAAAAAAAAAAGAAAAAGTACTGAGTTCTTCACACATGGAAAGCAATGTGGTGAGTCACGGATCAAGAATGAGCTAGAGTCCTGAGATGTTTCCTACAGTTATTACCACAAACCTACTGCTTCTGAAGAGCAACAAGTGGCAATATTTGGTAAAGCAATCAAATTGGTCTCCAGCTTTCCTGCTCCAAGTTTCTCAGTAATAAGCATGAAACTGTAATATGCAGCAAAAGAGGCAGTTACATAAAAATATATGTATTTTTAACGTTTTAAGGATGTGGGTGGAACCAGAGGGTTGAATGGTACCCAGATGATGTGCGGGCAGGATGTGCTGGATAAAGCAGGGTTAGGATATCCCTAGACATTTTGGTTATTAGAGCAAATAGACTTCTAGTCCTTTGTGATAATACCAACTCTTTCTGACGGCTCTTGGTATCCATCATATATGTTGATCAAATAATCTATTGATGACTCTCCTCACTCTTAGATTACCCTTGCTCTTATACTTTCCCTGTACTCCCCCAAAGGGAACATTGTGCAATCATCTAACCTATGAGGTCTTCTTGTCCATCTACATTCATTCCGTTAGTGATGCTACTCACTGCTCTGGCTTCCGCAGTCACCTGAACATGAAACCCAAAAGTCAGAGCAGGTAAGCGGTGTCTAACTCAACAACAACCATGGGCAGCATTCCACTGGCTTGAGCCTATTGATTCTTTTCGGTTTCTCCCCCTCATCACTAGCCCTTGTCTCTAGAACCTAAGTGTGGATGATGAAGTATGATGGGGATGTCAGTCTGACATTGAAGTATGCAACTCTGCATGTTTTCCTCCTACATCCTCTCTCCCTAGCCAGAATTTAGTGGACTCTTTTCTCCACACCTCAGCTTCTTCTTTTATTATTGCTTCTTGAAAAATATAAAAGTTGTGGTTGAAAAATTAAAATAAGGCTAGGTGTAGTGGTTCACACCTGTAATCCTCCATTTTTGGAGGCCGAAGTAGGAGGATCACTTGAGGCCAGGAGTTCGAGACCAGCCTGGGCCACACAGTGAGACCTCCGTCTGTACAAAAAAAATGAAAAACTAGCCAGGTGTGGTGGTGCATGCCTGTGGTCTGAGCTACTCAGGACATTGAGCTGGGAGGATCACTTGAGTGCAAGAGTTTGAGGCTGCAGTGAGCTATGATCATACAACTGCACTCCGCCTGGGAAGTAGAGAAAGACCCTGTCTCAAAAAAAACAAAAAGCAAAAACAAAACAAAGCAAAAAGTTAAAATCATACCCCACCCCATGATCCAGATATAGCTCATGTTAAGGGTTTGTGTATATCCTTCTAGATCTTTGTCTGTGGACATGCACACACATGTTTCTGGACATTACACCACATCCCCAGCCTCTTTTTTTTTTTTTTTTTTTTGAGACAGGGTCTCACTCTGTTGCCCAGGCCAGAGTGCAGTGGCACAATCACAACTCACTGCAGACTTGACCTCCCATCTCAGCCTCCCAAGTAGCTGGGATCACAGGCACGTACCACCGTGCCCAGCCAATTTTTGTAGAGATTGAGTTTTGCCATGTTGCCCAGGCTGGTCTCAAACTCCTCGGCTAAGGCCATCTACCCACCTCGGCCTCTCAAATTCTAGGATTACAGGTGTGAGACACCATGCCCGGCCCCCAGCCTCTTATCTCCATGTCTTCTTTCTTTCTTATTTTTGCTTTCTACTGTTCTTATTCTCCCCATAACCCTTATGGCTTAGGCCTCTTGAATCAACCCATGAGGACAACACATTTACCTAACACCAGGGCTGCTGCATATGGTTGTGCACTGCACAACTCCAGGGGGCGCTGTAGACTTAAAGCCCTTGTGACTGCCTCTTCTTGGCATTCCTCCAGAATAATACATGTCAGTATTTGTCAGTCTTGCGTAGAGCACTTTATAGATTTCAGTTTACAAAACATTTTATTTGACCCTTATAGCAATCCTGGATGGAAGACCAAGCAAATAAAATGAGCTGTTTTCTCATGAGCCAGTGTGAAAGACTCAGGTCGAACCAACCGTAAGGAGTCATGGACATCTTGTGTGTCTCTTCTCAGACTGTTTTCCAATGGGGAAAAGGGTGGAGGGTGCTCAGTCTCAAACTAGCCTTGAAAGAAGATGAAAAGACGTGACCAAAGGTGACAAGAAGAACAAGAAAAGGTTGGTGAAAGAACCATAAAACTTCCCTAACATGAAGACATTAAGATGCTGCATGCAGAAGAGGTGGGGCTTGTAAAAGGTGAGAGTAAAGACAAATATATAAATGAAGATATTTGGAGGCGATGGTCAAGGCCAGAACTTCTCTGCCTAGATAAGGAGGACATCTCACCCCTCAGGCTGAGGTTGTTGCTGAGAGACAGAGTGGAATGGTATTTCCATTTTTCTAACTCTCAGAATCCAGCCCTCCAATCCAGCCCACAAATAATCTTGCCTAATTTTTTCATGCGAATAGAAATCTTGCATTTTTTGTGAACCTTGAAATACATTTGGTTCTCAAGTTCGGGGGATCATGTTATATTTTGAAATAAAAATTGTCGTAATTGGATTAGGCTCAATTGCAGTTGTAGTAAGACTGGCTTTGGGTATGGAATATAAATGAGGTCAGCTTAAAGGAAGTAATTCATTCCTCTAATGACAACATCTTGGTCTATGAAATGAAAAAAGATCAAAGCTCATTCAAAAATAAATGGATTTAATGGAACAGTAGTTAAAGAAGTCTGGAGAATTCATTTTATTTTCATTGTATAATATCTGTTTCTCATAGAGTTGTCTTGTTCTTTAGTACTTTTTATTCTTATGACTGTGCATGGGTTTGATTAGCTTAATTAGAGTTAATGTCTTGGGAGCAGAATGTGGGACTGTGAAAGTTTGGGTTCCTGAAGACTTTGAAAAGAGAACTGTTGGCCTCGTTCTACATAAATTCAGAATCGAAAATGTCTGATGGTTATTATCATCTTAAAGTAATTGAAGCACTGCTAAAAATAAAAACCAGAAGGAGAAAAATTGAACCCGAATAAAAGAAATGGAGTTATCCCAGATTTGGATACAATTCTCTCGGCAAATTGAGCTTAAATCTGAAGTCTTAGGAAATAGAATGAATGCCAAAAAATTATTTTTCCCCCTGTGTGCTGTTAACAAGGGCAGTCTCTTCGTTTTCACAGTATTTCCTTCTATTTTCCTCCTGTTGTCTGTGGCTCCACTTTAGGTTAGTAGGGACTTTAGAGGGAAATACCACTTCAGATTAAAGTCTTGTCAGATCTCATTTATTAACTGGCATGGGGTCTGGTGTCCTGGAGCGAGAAGGTCTCCTGAGGAAGCATTTGTTGTGAGCCTCTCTTGCAGGGACTGAGTTTGGAGCAGGACTTTCCAGGAGCCGTCCTGTGTTAGGAGGAGACGAAGTTCCACAAAACTAGGACCCAAGAGAGGATTAAGTATTTTGATCCTAAAAAGAAAAGGGTTGAGGGATGAGGTGGGGAGGGAGATGTTCCAAAATGTTTTACTTTGAGCTGGGCATGGTGGCGGGTGTCTGTAATCTCAGCTACTTGGGAGACTGAGGCAGGAGAATCACTTAAACCCGGGAGGTGGAGGTTGCAGTGAGCCAACATCACGCCACTGCACTCCAGCTGGGTGACAAGAGTGAAACTCCATCTCAAATAAATAAATAAATTAATTAAAATGTTTTACTTTGATAACCTGGCCTTTGCATTCTTTGCATTATGTGAAATAAGCTTTAATCAATGGTAATATATGAAATAACATTGCTTCGGTCATTCAATAAATATTTATAAGTTAAAAAAATATATATGTGTGTATTTGTTTGTAAGCCCACAATATAGAATGCCTGTACTCGGGGCTGGAGAAAAGTGGTGAATGGAACTTAACACATTGCTGTCTTTTTGGCAGTATTAGGGTGTCTCTGTGTGTGTGTGTGTGTGTGTGTGTGTGTGTGTGTGGTGAATGTGGTGAGTGTTAGAGAGTCAGAGAATCAACAAATAAAAAACAATTTCTAATAGTGATCTGTGCTAGAAAGGAAATAAACCAGTTAATAATATATAATTGGACTGTTCTTTCCATACCTTTTAATAACATGTTTAGCATTTGAAAAATTAACATGTTTAAGTAACTTTATAGATTTTTTCTTATCAATAATTATTAATTACCATCAGATATAATATACATTGATAGAATATTTGAGCAACTGGAAGTTTTTATTTCATGCCACTTCAAATATTTCTTCACAGTATCTATTGCTTTTCATGGCATTTCTGAACCAAAGAGGCTTTTATATTTTTCGGTCTCCTTTTAGTGTTAGATTTTTTTTCACCTGTTAATTCCTTGAAAATGGAGCAATCCATGTAGAGTCCATTCATTTGGTTATTCAGCGCACACTAATTCATACCTTCTCTGTGCTAAGCTGGGTGATGTGGGCTGTCTCCAGAGTTTGTGTGACAGCCTCTGTTAATCATAATGTAATTCCAGAACACTATTATTTCATTCAGCCGGGAGATGATAGACAATTTACTCATTTTTACAATTAATTTTCCTATCCAAATCCTTTTTCCAGACCAGATTGAAAGTTAGCATTCAGTCCAGCCCAGGCTCAGTTCCTGCCAGTTCCTCTTCATGGAGCTTTTGACCATTTGTTTTTTGTTCCAGTCACGGCAACCTGTAGAAAGGTGTGGACGGGGAAAGCCCTTCAGAAATACAGGAGCCCTGACATCTCCTTGTCCCTGGAGAGGACGCTTCAGGGGAGGAAAACATTTAGTAAATGACAAAGGATACTAACCTCTTGGAAAGAAAGTTAGGGTGGACGGAGACTTTAAATATATGCCTGGGGGAAAATTTTGAAATCTTTTAATGCAAAGAAGAAAACATTTCCAGCAATAAAATGTAAAATATAATGAAAAAGTCTAGAAGAAGCCCTTCCCTGCATAGTGTCCTGCCATTTACAGACCTTCTTCTGAGAGGAGAATATGGCTACCTTATCTCAGAGGAGCTGCTTTAGGTACCGAGACGGGGAGCCAAGGTTGGGGTACATGGACACTCTCTCTTCCCTCCCTGCTAGCTTTACTTAGGCATAACTGACAAATAAAAATTGTATATATTTAAGGTATACAATATGATGTGTTGATATATATATATGTTGTGAAATGATTACTACACTCAAGCTAATTAACATATTCATCACGTCACAGAGTTACCGTGTGTGTGTGTGTGTGTGTGTGTGTGTGTGTCTGTGTGTGTCTGTGTGTGTGTTTGAGAGAGAGAGAGAGAGATGGGATTACTTAAGGTTTGCTCTCTTAGCTAATTTCAAGTATACAATACAACATTATCAACTATAGTCACCACATTGTATATTAGGTCTCTGGAACATATTCTTCTTATAACTGAAAGTTTGTGCTCTTTGACCACTGTCTCCCCATTTTCCTCATCCCCCGAACCCCTGGTTACCATCCTTCTCTTTTGAAGCCAGGCATTGGTGGAATTTTATTAGGATCTTGAATTGTCTAATTTATCCCAAAGAATGGAAGTTCCAGTGATTCATACAGGTACTTATTATCAGTTTTTCATCTTTACAGTGTTTGTTAGGAGTCTGTTGTCTATCTCAATGTAACAAATTACCCCAAAATATTGTGTCTTCATGCAGCAAGCATTTATAACCTCACAATTGTGAGGTGGGGGCACCAAGAATCTGGACATACCTGAGCTTGAGTCTCTGCGTCAGGGTCTCAAAGTGGGACTGGGGGAAAATCCCCACAGGCAGGTCCCAGTCCTTGCTGGCTGTTGGTAGGGCTTTGGGATGTGGGCCTGACAGCATGGAGCTACTGACAACATGGCAACTTGCTTCTTTGAGGGCAAGAACTTTGAGAGAGAGAGAGTGTGAGACAGACAGAGATAGAGAGAAAGAGACCCAGAAAGAGACGTGAGAGCCCGATTCTTTTGTAACCCAATCTAAGTAACATCTCATCACTTTTGCTGTGTTTGTGTTCTTTCCTTTAGAAATGAATCACTAGATTCACGCCTCACCCGAGGGCAGAGGATTATACAGTAACAGGAGACCAGGCTCATTGGGGGCTCTTTCAGAGGCTGCATACCACAAAGTTTTCACTTTTCCTCTCTCTTTAGATATTTACTGTCCAGCTCATAAGAAATATAATAATGACCTTGGAGTTGGTGATGATGGTGGTGGGGAGGTATCATTTTCTCAGAAAAGCCTTCACTAGTTACACCCTGTGGCTAGAGTTTGTCTCTTCTAGGATAACTTGCACATCTCTATAAAACTAAACTTGCATTGTCCATTTTCTGTTTGTGTGAATCTACACACTGCAATAGGGTAGGCTTATTTAACCCTGCTTTCTCAATATTTCCACACTCTTTGGTATGCAGTCGGTGTTTAATCATTATTTGCTGAATTGAATGAAATGGTGAATGAATTATTAAATATGTAGAGAAAAAGGTCACGCTTTTTCACCTTCATGAACTTATGAACAACATCCCCTTTTAATAACTTTAACACCTCACACATCCTTTCTTTCACCTCCATTAGAATCTTCCCGGTTGGCAGGGAGGACGTCTCATTTCTCCATCAGTTAAGGGTATTTTCATAGTGTTTCTTTGTGTGTCTTCTAGGAAAACAAAATTCTTTCCTGCCTCTAGTATACAATTACAGCATTAAATATTCCCTTAAATATCCACTTCCATGATTCTGATATGTGCCCATCTCCCAGGGGGTGGTACCTTTCCTCCCCCAATTTCAGAATTACTGCTCCAGTTAATCTCTGAACCCTTTTACAACTCAAAATTCTGCAGGCCAATTCGTTGCCAACATTTGGTCAGGAGATGAGTGGAGAAGAGAGGGATTTAAAAAATATATTGGGCAGCTTTGTTCTTAAGCTGGTATTGGTGCCATTATGGATCTGGAGAGGTTTTGTAGTCAGATTTTGATTATTTGCTAGTTTTGGCAACTGTTGAGATGTTAGATCTCATATTGTTTCTATCATATTTTATAGTTTCTTGTTTAACTCTTTGCTGAACGTTTTAGACACACATCAAGACTCTCAAGCTTGATTTAAAACAGAATTGGCAATTGTGCCTCTCTTTTTACTTCAGGCTCTCCTGGCAGGACCTGACTCCAGGTTGTTGGGCAATGTTAAATCCCTATGCTGTGTTAGGGGATGGTAGTGCACTGAGTGGCCATCGTGATCTCAAACACAGGAAAAGACTTTACTGCATTTAAAGAAGGTAGTGCATTTAAAGAAGATTGGAATCCCCACAAGTGGGACCAATCAATCTGTATTGGCTTTATAAATTTATTCTTATTTGACACTTTGATACTTCTCTTTGAAATGCCTGACCCTACATGTTTCTTTTTAAATTATTACAGATTTCCCAAGATTGTTTACCATTCTGCTTTATGCCTTCCTTTGATACTGTCCTCTGGTCAAAGAAGCTCCATAACCCTCCCACCCCTGATGATCCCCACCACCATTGAGTTCAGTCTATGCATTTTAAAACTCCATCTTCAGGAACTTTTGAGGAAACTCTTACCTCCCCACACCCTCACTCCAAACAATAGTGCATTGGAGGTGATTTCAAATACAGTTCATTGAGGCTGAGGAAATGGACAAAAACTTCTGTGTGTTTGCCCTTAAAAAGAGAGGCTGCTTGCCTGGTTGAGTCTTTGACAACAGGCTGTGTTTCCTACCAGCTCTTAACTGTGGGCCCACACTGACATTTTTGTAGCCACATATTACATGATTGGTTTTTGATTTTTCAGTTCATAGCTTAAAATCACATTGATAAGAATATGACCTCCAAGCATTGGAAAATCAACTCCAGGTCCTGAATTCTCTGCATGCCAATGCTCTAAGTCACATGAGCAGAGTGCCGTGTTAGGTACATTACATAAACCATGCAGACTCTAGGTTAAATGGTTCTGGATTTTGTAATGTGAAAAGACCTCTGGTGACACAGCTGGGAATGTAGGTAATAGGTGTCACTTGACTATTATTGCTATATGCCTAAGAGCTGTTCGGAGGTAATCATGGTAGACATTAGCTTATTAGTTGCCACACCAGCAAACATTCTCTCTATCCCTCTTCACGTCATCCCTTGCACAAGTTAAGGTAGTACAATTTGCTTAACAGAGAAAAACCAACAGCTCAGCAGCTTGACATCACAGAGATCTCTTGCTTGGGTAAAATTCAATTGGAGGTGGAAGTTGAAGGGAGGCTCTGCTCCAGGCAGTCATTCAGGTATTGAAGTTATTCCATCTGTTATCCTATTCTCCACTAGGGTTTTAGAATCTTTTCCATTTATCCAGTGAATGGGGAAAAAGAGAGTGCAAAGAATTTTGTGGAAGATTTTCATGGGTCAGGGCAAGAAGTAGCCAACATTCACTAGCCATAACTCTATCACATGGCCCAAAGAGGTTAGGAAACGTGGTCTTGCTGTATGTATGTCTAGAATGAAAAAGCCCAGTGCTGTCCCTAGACCTGACACAAAAGGCCTCTGGCCTGTGCCCTCAGCTTGAGAGAGTTCTACAAATCACAAACATATGCATAAGAATACACTTATGACAGAATACATAGCTGCCTCTATCATGTGGATCTGGTGCTTAGCCCTGGCACAGCATGACCTAGTCTGCTTCTGTGGCTAATACAGTTCAGGCCCCAGGGAAATGCTTCTCCACCTCTCCAGTCATGTTTCCTCAAAACAACATGCAGATGGGCCTGAATGCCAGGAAGATCTGAGGGTGCCCCACTGTTGAAGTCAGAGAAAGACAGTGCTGTGGAGAGCAGGAAGAACTCAGCGATGGAAGCTTTTAGGTAACATAAAAGACAAATTACACACATCTTCTTCCCAGATAGGAAGAATGTGGTAGGTTTTGGCATAACAAAACATTATTCCCACGAACAAGGAGAACCCCTTCCCTGCTTCTCTTTGTGCTCTCCTGGGTGACATCAGAGGGACTCACAGGCAGCTTCACCCTTATTCTTCAATGTGTTGTAACTATGAAGGCATTTTTCAAGGTAGAAGTGGGGTTGCCAGATTAAGCAACTAAAAATTTAGGAAGTCTTTTTAATCTGGCAACCCAGGGCAGGTAGAACATATTTTATTAAACTGTTTGTTAGCTTGATTGATAACTTAAAAATCTTCATACATATGGAGGGTGGGCTTCTATTTATATTCTTTCCTGGGATCCCCACATATTTAGGGATGAGCCTGGGCCCAAGTTTTGTTTGGGAGCTTCACAACTTAGAGGCTATCACTTCCTTTCCTGGCTGTAGGAGTGGATCAAGTGACAATGCTAAACAAACCAGCACAGCCAACCTCCTGGTCCAGAGGATCACACGTGAATAAGCTGATCTGATATAAGTGATTCTTTGGACTTTTTCCTGGGAATTAAGGACAAAGTTATTCCTGGTTTTGCTGCTGGCTTTGATTAAAGAACGCATGGACTAAGGAGGTGCCAGCAGCCGTTTTAAACCACAAGAGGAGCCACTTACAAAGACTCCCTGTGACCCAACTTTAGTCAAGCTCCTCTGAGCTCTCTTTTCACCTAGGCCTTGACCTTGACCCCTGGCTTGTCTTTGGCCTGCCCAGCCGAGTTTTGGTAAGAATCCTGCTAAATTACTTCCCACCCTTGATATGGCATCACACTTGATATCAAGTTTCTCAACCCTCACTTTCCTGCAATTAGCAAGAATCTTGTTAGGCCAGTTTAGCAAGAATCCCCTACCCCTGATGTCTCTCCTCTTAGTAATTTCCAATCCACTGACACCCTCATCCTGTTCCTTGGCTATAAATCCCCACTTGTCCTTGTTGTACTCAAATTTGAGCCTGATCTCTCCCCACTACTGCAATACTCATGAATAAAGTCTTCTTTACTCCTTTAACTAGTTTTGCAATAATTTTTTTTCTTTCCCACCATCCTTAGGATTAAACTGACACCCAAGAAAGTAGAATAGAAAAAACAGAAACTAAGTTCTTGAAGCTGAGATTGAGCTGGCAAATCAAGTCTCATATGCATGAGTCTCAAATATGGACTGTTTGTTACAAAGCCAGAAAATGTTTTTATTGATCAAGCAAATTCGAATCATGTATTACGATACTTGCCATTGAAAGATTCTTGACAATGGGAATGATTAGGTAAAGAATATATACAGAGGACTTATAAACACAGCACCCTGCAGAGTGCAAAGAGGGTTTTACAAAAAGAGAAGCGAGATCCCAAGAAGAGGTCTCACAGGGAGACTGTTATGCTTACCAAATGAAAAAGCAAGGCAGATGACCTCTGCTGAGCAACTTCAGCACAAAAGAGCCATGGCTGAGGGAGTGGTGACAGTAATCACTATCCAATGTGTATTGAGAGCTGATTGTGCATTAGACACTGTTCTAAACATGCTCCATGTGTTATCTTACTTATTCTCTCAATAATCCAGTGTGGCAATTATTACTATCTTGGCTTCAAAGAGGAGAAGACTGAGATGCAGAAGGGCTAAGTAACTTTCTCAGCATCGCACAGTTAGACAGCAGTGGAGCTGAGATTTGAACCCAAGTAGAACATAGAGTACAGAGAGGCTTTGGCATTCAAAGCTAAGATGCATTGCACACACCAGCCCTAGAAACAGACAGGTACCAAGGAACCATCCTACTCTTCTTTAACATAAACACAGCCCGCATACCAGATGCTCCTGCCACAGCTGATTGGACCAGGAAGAACACTTATTTGAAGGGGAACCAATCCACTAGTTGGTCAGAGCTCTAGGACTTCTATGTTATGATAGCCAAGCCTGTGTCTTATTTAATACACTCTGGAAGCACAGCTCAGCAGCTTTGCTGCAAAAACTGTTGGAGCCACAGATTTGAAACTAACGAGGCATTTCCATCCCTTATACCTTTGTGTGGCTTCTTCCTCATTCACTGACTTTGGCTCCTCATTGTCACGTTTCCTGAGGCAGCTGTTACAGAGACTCTTTTCCTGTTCAAACATTGTGAATGGATACACTTAAGTGAAGTAACCACCCCTGAATTATGCAGCCTTGACAGTGACTGGGGTCTTGTAGGAAATTGGAAGCTCCTCCTTAGAGATGTGAATACATGTAGTGCTACTAGCATATATCACCACAAATGCCCACTACAGATAAAATAAATGCCTGTAAGTGAGATGGTGAGCAGGTGATTTGGAGATGGACCATCAAAGTATCAATGAGGCACTGAAACTGCCTTTGCAAAGATTATGACATGAGAGAAGTCGAGCATGGCTGAGTCTATCTTGCTTCTAGCCTCACAGGTTGGCTGTCCTCACTTGTTCCTGGGCATACCATGGGAGAAATTTAGTTTATAGTTTAACTTTGAAGCAGGGGTGATAACAGTCCCTCCCTAAAACTAACCCCCTCCTTGCTCAGGGACAGAAGTTATCTTTGTAAAACTAAAGAAGGCCATGAGATTAGGATTATGGGAGGAGCCTAAATTCTGCTAAAAATATAGGCATAGTTAAATGATAACCTGCCATTAGTCCCTGGTTTGCTTTTCCATAATTCCTTGGGGCTTGGGGGTCATGTGGCCAGGGTCACGAGGTTTCTGACCTCCCCAGTTGCTCCTATAGATAACATCACTATTGTAGAATCTGAGATTGGTCTTTTGAGGTGTTTTGCAGACTTTTGTGTTCTCGTAACCAACTCCACCTGGACCTTGACTCATGACTCAACCAGTCTTGTGGTCCCCAACCAGAGGCAGACTCCGCGCAGGAGGACCATTTTCCACACCTCTGCAATTTCATCCCCAACCAATCAGCATCCCCCTGCGTGCCAAATTATCCTTAAAAACCCTAGCCTCTGAGCTACTGGGGAGGCTGATTTGAGTAATAAACTCCTGTTTACTGCTAAGCTAGCTCTGTGTTTATTAAATTCTTTATTTGCTATAATGACTGCTGGTGTGGAAGTCCAAGGCATGCCCAAGAAAGCTGATATCTGAAGGTTTATGTACCTGGGTGCATGACTCTGAGTTGGAAGGGATTACTATCCAAAAATAAGACTAGAAAGATAAGACTGCAGAAAGCTTTCCTTGCTGGGAGAAGTAGTTTGGATTGTATCTTACAAATCACAGGAAGTCATTGAAGCCTGTTGGGCAGAGGTGGGCTAAGAGGAAGAAACTTTGCTGCCTTACGCTTGTTAGAGAGTGAGTGGTCTATTGGATTCTAGTCAGAAGAACCCTGAAAAAACACTGAAGGAGGAATCTAAGGCCCTGGGCTTAGAGTTTAGCTCTCCCAGTGTCTCTGGGCAATGTCTGTAATCCTATTTCTTCATTTGTAAATTGCAATTCTAATCTCTGCTCCTCCCACTTCACAAAGTAGTTTTGAGGGCCAAATGACATGATAGAGTACATGAAAGCACCTAGCCAAATATAAAGCACCATATAAACAGTAATTTGGGTTATTGTGTTATCACATCCAGCTGGCGCGCCAAACCCATATCTTACTGGTGAAATTCAGCTGTTTTCTTGTCATGAAAAGAAGGACCATTAAGATGATCAGACAGAGAGGGGAGAAAGAAAACCAACATTACTTAACTGAGGCTAGAATGCTCTCTTATTGAGAAAGTTACATCATTTTAGACTTCTATGGTAAAGTTTCAATGGTTGCTTTATTTATTAGACATTTACTGGATACTTCCTATGTGCCTGGGAATAAAAAAGTAACTATAATAAGATTCTTGCTATCAAGGAGCTTAGTGTCCAGTACAAGGAGATTGACAGGTAATCATATAAGTGCCCTAAAATGCCATAGGGTCAGTGAAAGGTTTTTGCATATGGTGGCCTCAAGTGCAAGCAATAAAATGGTCCATTCTACTTGGTGCCCAGAGGTGCTTTAGAATAGGAACTTCTACCTAAGCTCCTTTCCCTCCTTCATGCAATCTAAAAAACTCTTATTGAGTGTATAACTTGTGCCTGGCCCTGCATACTGGAAGTAAAGCAGCCAGTTAGATAGGCAGACAGAACCCCTGCCTTCAGGGACCTTATATTTCAGAAGGAGAAACAGAAACCTAAGAGCAAACAGATACATGAAGAACAGGATTTCAGATGGTGACAAGTAAAATAAGGTGATGAATGAGGGAGAAAGATTTAGAGAAATGGGAAAGGCCTTTAGAGTACCTACATTTACAAAAGCAGAAAGAAACAGGTGGAGTTCATTTTAAGAATATGCTTTATTTCAGCTAATGCAGTTTACCCTTGAACAGTGCAGAGATTAGGGATGCCAATACCCCACACAATCAAGAATCTGCCTATAACTTTTGACTCTGCCCAAACTTAACTACTGTCCAAAAATGTTAGCATACTGTTGATCAGAAGCCTTACTGATAGCAGAGTTGGTTAACACATATTTTGTATGTTATAAATATTATATACCACTGTATCCTTACAACAAAATAAGCTAGAGGAAAGAAAACGTTATTAAGAAAATCACAAGGAAGAGAAAATATATTTACTATTCATTAAGTGGAAGTAGATCATCATGAAGGTCTTGATCTTCATCATCTTCACGTTGAGCAGGTTGAGGAGGAGGAGGAGGAGGAGGAAGTGGAGGGTTGGTCTTGCTGTCTCAGGGGTGGCAGAGGCAGAAGAAATTTCACTTATAAGCAGACCTGTGCAGTTCAAACCCATACTGTTCAAAGGTCAACTTTATATCCAAAATGTTATCACTTCCACATGCAACCAATATAAAAATATTAATGAGACATTTTTTCTTCTTTTTTCATACTCAGTCTTTGAAATCCTGTGTGTATCTTGCACCTAGGGCACATCTCAATGTGTCCTTGCCACTGTGCAAGGGCTCAAAAGCCAGGTGTAGCCACTGGCCACTGTACCCAACAATGCAGCTCCAGCTTCTCCATTAGACCAGGCAAAGTCTCCTCCTTTCTTTATTGCATGGGTGTCTTGTCTCTATTCTTAAACCCCATAAAAGGAATTTTTAAATTTAAATGTAATCTACTAATGCCAACATTACCGGCAATGTGCTCTCATTAATTCCTGTAAGGAATATCCCAGAATTGACCTGTTGGGCATGTTGGAAGGACTGAGTCACAGTGTTGGTAAGCCATCCCTCACCAGGCAGTCCTTGGGGCAGGGACAGGTCAGGATGGGTCCAGCCTTTCAGAATGGGCACCAGGGAGCCAGCTGTGGGGATGGGCTGGGCTTGCTTTCTCTGTGAAGATCCCTCCTGGGCTGAGACTGGAAAAAAGGAGCTCATTTTTGTCCTGTAGTGGTTCTCACCCTGGCAAAGAGGAAAATGAAAACGAACACTTTGAAATGCTAATTATTTAATCTCTGCCAATGTTGGCTGCTTCCAGCGGAGCCTCATGCTCATTTGTAAAATGAAACCATTTTAGGAAATAATCCAGGTCGGGAACGTGTGGCCCGAAGGAGGGCCGAGGCAGCCTTCCCTGAACCCCTCAGCCTTCCAGCAGGCTTGCATGTCCTCCCTGTGGGATTAGGCTGCTCTCCTGGCTCCTGCTAAGCATCTCTCATGAAGCCTCTTTAGTTTAGAGAACTTTGCCAGCAGAATGCCATGGGGGTTGAGAGCTCTGATTTTAAGGGCAGAAAGACCTGACGACTTCTGCACTTCCTTCCTGAGAACCAAGCTGCAGTTTTCATGTCTCTAGAATTTTCCTCCCTAGATCTGTTTTGACAATCAGGTGACATCATTTATGTGGTGTGTGTGGCACTGCCGGTGTCCAATCTAGTCAGCACTCAGTACATTTTAGCCATTCTTAGTTTTATTGTCATTGTTAAAGAGGGTCTCAGTCAGTTTGAGCTGCTGTAACAGAGTACTATGGTACTCTGGGTGGCTTTCAAACAACAGATATTTATTCTCACAGTTTTGGAGGCTGGAAGTTTGAGACCAGGGTGCAAGCATGGTCAGCTTCTGGTGAGGGCTTGCTTCCAGGTTGCAGACAGTCAACTTCTCCTAGTTTCCACACATAGAGAAAAGAGAGTTAGCAGCTCTCCAGTCTCCTCTTAGAAGGGCACTAATTCCATTCATGTGGGCTCCACCCTTATGACCTAATTACCTCTCATGATTTAATTATCCCTCTAATTACCTTTAAATGTGATCACGTTGAGATTAGGGTTTCAACATATGAATGAGGGAGGGGGACAAACATTTAGTTCATTGAAGAGGATTGGCAATTGTGTGGTTATTTCTGACACACAATCATTTGTTTTGTTTTTGTTTAGTTTAAATTACTCCTAATTATAGAGAGAAAGAACTCTCGGACAAAATCTCTTCCTTTGGCCCATATAAGCCTGTATTATTCTGCTAGGTCTGCCATAACAAAATACCACATTCTGGGTGAATTAAACCACAGAAATTTATTTTCCCATAGTTCTGTGGGCTGGAAGTCCAAGATCAAGCTGTCTGCAGGGTTGATTTCTCCTGAAGCCTCTCTTCTTGGGTTGCAGATGGCTGCCTAGAATAGCCTAGTCCCTGTGTGCTCATATTCCTGGTATTTTTCTCCTTTTTCTTATAAGGACGGCAGTCCTACTGGATCAGAGCACTACCCTGATGACCTCATTTGACCTTAATTATCTCCTTAAAGGCCCTTTCTCCAAATGCAGTTATATTGGGGATTAGGGCTTCAACACAATGAATTTTGGTGGTGGTTGTGGGGATACAATTCAGTCACATAACAAAGCCTAATCCCAAGTCTCACATAAAAATTCAAAGTATGGGACAATGCTAACAGAGAATTAAAGAATGACATTGCATTCCTCAGTTCTTTGGAATACACACCTGAGATTTCTCCCCAAATCTAATCATGTATATAACAGTGTTTTTCAAACTTCAGGCATTTAACTACCATCTTCATGTTTTACCATACTCACAGTCCCCCACACAATAATTTATTTAGTATCTTTCTTGAAATTGACTTTATATTTAACTTAAATATATTTATTTTAAAAATAAACTTGGATCACTACCCAGAAATGAAAACTTCCTTGCTGTTCATAAATAAAGTGATGATCAACTAAATCAGCGAATAAAAGAAATGACACTGAATTCTTCCTACTGTGTTATTTGACAAACACAAAGCACTCACTAAATGCAGACACTATCTAAGCACTTTATAAACATAATACAGTGTATTCCTCTTCCCTTAAAAATAATAAGGTCACTCTCCTTTGCTTATTTTATCGAAGAAGAAAGTAAGGCACAGGGATGTTAAATAAGTGCCCAACGTCACACAGCTAGGAATCCAGACAGTCTGATTCCACAGCTCTTAACCATTAAATTGTATTTACTGAAAGGCTAATTTCTACAGATTTCATGGTGAAAACACCTGGAGATTATTCCTCTACATTCTCAGGATGAAAATTTCAAAGTCACATCAAATAAACTAAAAATAATCTTTGATTCCAAGACCAAATCTGAAGAGTCTGGCTAAGAGCTAGATGCCCTGAGTTCAGGAAAACCTTTCAACCGAGGCTTTTCTGACTAGGAAGTCCTTGGGGGATCCTTCACCCCAGGTGTCTTTTCCTATCAGGCTACAAGAGACACAAGACTGGAAAAGAGAAGCAATTCGGAGGTGGGGGTGGGGAGGCTCATTCATGGCTCTGTCTCTGGGGGCCACGAAAGCATCAATTTACCACATAGCTGAAACAAAACATGATTGAAGGATCCCTGGCAGAAGTCTCCACCTTGCAAAGCCCATTGAACCAATTACCAGAATCATCTTGAGTGCCTCTCTGACCACACTAGGCTCCTGGCAGAACTTTCCTTTCAGATAACTAATTTAGCACCAGATAGCTAATATTGTTCACTTGTGTTGACTTGCACATTCTCACACACACACACATACACACACACACATAAAATTCATATATTAATTTATCTTTACCACAGTGCTTGAGATTTTATATGTATACATATATGTGTATATATAATATGTATATGTGTGTATATACATATATATGTGTGTGTGTATATGTATCAAGCACTCCGGTAAAAATAAATTTACGGTGCCAAAATGAGATTATTTCTGTAATGTATGTCATTTTGGCGTTGTGAATTTATTTTTACCGGAGTGCTTGACAGGTTATATACATATACACATATATTATTATATGAGTAATATAAATACAATATAATATATCAAATACTTTTAGCCCTAACTCTATCCTAGGAGAAACAAGAAGATAGAATTTGATCTCCTTTCTTCTTTTAGCTCAGCTAAGTGCCCAAGCCAGGCTGTGGCAAAGGAAGTCGTCATTTTAAGGTGAAGACAGGTGAGCTCACCCCAGGCCATAGCCCAGCCAGCCCCACATTTGTCCCAGAATCCAGGGTGAGAAAAGCCAGCGATTGGCCATTCCTAGCGGCTCCCACCTGTTCCCAGTCCTGCCATCCGGCAGGTCAAACTAGCAAGATATGGCGGGCGTTTGACCCCTGAGCCCAGATAACTCTTTCAAACCCCGTGTTCCACGTTGCCACTCTGTCCCGGAAGGCTGCCTTGGAGGTCTGCCCTGGCATTCAGACGGCCATTTGTCCCCTAGCAGGCCTAGCCAGTCGCCTGTTGCTGTCAGCGGGGGACTCGGGCCTGGCAGTTTCATGTCTTAAAAGTAGTTTTGTGCAAATGAGCTCCTCCCAGCCCCCCTGGAGCCCCCACGGCCCACAGGATTTCCAGGCACCGGAGAAAAGAAGCTGGTTTGATTTAAGCACACAGAGAGTTTGGGAGCTGGGGGTGGGGGGGCGGTGTTTATATTTTCTGCCTCCATTAGGATGGGTGGCTGAGGGGTAGGGAAGGTGGGGGCCGAGCAGAGAGAAACTTCATTTATATGTTAATAGTTGCCAGCACCCGGGCTAAACTGACAGAACTATTTCATGGGAAACTGACAAATTTTGTCAGCCAGGCTGTGCGTCCACATCTCAATGGAGCAATAATCTTGATTAGCAAAACAATTGGGGGCCTCCGGGTTCTCTCTCAGGTTACACTTGGCCAATGTGAGGAAGGCTGGGCCTTCAAGCTTGAACACATTTTCAAAAGCCGCCGAGTTTAGGCAAATGAAGGGAACCGTTGGGGTGGGGGCGGGGGGAGGGAGGCAAAGGACAAAAGGGGTTAATTTGATTGACCGAATCTTCATAGTCTTATAACAGTCATTTACTTAGCAAGTAATTCTGCAAGAAACCAGTGGCGCCGACAGGAAATTGGAGTGCAGGATCTGTTTGCCCCAGATGTGTGGGAATTTTAGCTGCCTCCTCCCTCCACTTGCCAACCCTGGAAAAAAGATTCGCATCCCCCTTGGGGCCCTAATTACCACATGCAGAATAAGTCACTATCTAAAAATACACACATACACACACACACACGCACACGCACGCTCCACACCCACAGAGTCACTGCAGTTCACTGCCGTTACCTCATCTTGACTCAGGATTGGTCTTCATTTTTATTATTAGTTCATTGTATTGCTAATTAAATCTGGAACATGGTGACTTATTCCCCCTTCTAGGATAGGAACTCGGACCGCTTCAAAAGCTCCGGTTGCTTTATTTTCAGTCTGGCCAACTGGCCCTGTTTCTGTTTGTAAACATACACTCAGGAAGGGCTGCGGTTCCCCCATCTGCCTGGATACCAGGAGAATCCTTGAGAAGAGGCTGTCCCCACTTGGGCGGTGAGTGAGAGGAACACACACAGATTCCACACCTCCCCAGTGGGAAGCTCTTGCCCACTGTTAGACCAATCCTGCTATCATCCATTGCTGAGGCCTCCTGGAAAAGCAATGGTTCAATGCGATGTGATGAATTAATTTATTTTAAGCTTTTTACCTTGAAATAGTTGTAGGCTTACCAACATGGTACAATGAGGTCCTGTGTACCCATTACTCAGCTTCCCCTAAAGATGACATCTCAGGTAATTAGTGTGCATTACCAAAACCAGAAAATGTGTCGGCATAGTACAATTAACTAGACTACAGGCCTTACACAAATGTCCCTTTTTCTTTTGCATGCACTCATTTGTTTTTCTTTTGCTTATCTTTGTGTATCATTCTATGACTCATTTATTTTTTAATGTAGTCACTAAACCAGTCCTGGGATTTCAGAGATGGAAATGTCATGGTAATCACTTCATCCTACCCTTCTCTTCAATCCTCCCCCACCCTTCCAACAGTCACCTCCCTACCCCGCTCTAATCTTGAGTTCCCACAGGAAAACAAAAAAACAAAAAAACAGAAAAACCCCTTAAGAAATCATCAAGCTACTACTCACACACTTCAGACAGGAGACACATTACCTCTTGTGTGAAGCTGACTTTTCTTGTTTGACAGTTCACATGAAGACCCAAATTTTCCCTGTCTCTAGTGGCTCCTCAATGACTCAAACACTACCATGCAACTCTGAATTAAGTCAGTTGAATACAGTAGTCATCAACCTTGGTTGAACCTTCAAATTACCTGCAGAGTTTCTGAACACCCCAGTGACAGAGTGAAACCCAGACCACTTCTATCACAATTTCTGCAGGTGGGACCCAGGCCCCAGTATTGTTTCTAAAGCTTCCCAGTTGATCACTGTACCCAGTTGAGGACTGCTTCATGCCAATCCTTCAAGGAGTTGAAGGTATCCAACATCCCACATAAGTAGGGTTGCCCGATAAAATATAGGGCACCCAGTTAAATTTGAATTTCAGATTTAAAAAAAATCTGGCTGGGCATAGTGGCTCACACCTATAATCCTAGCACTTTGGGAGGCAGAGGTGGGTGGATCACCTGAGGTCAGGAGTTGAAGACCAGAATTACCAACATGATCAAACCCCATCTCTGCTAAAAATACAAAAATTAGCTGGGTGTGCAGTGTGTGCCCATATTCCCAGCTACTAGGGAGGCTGAGGAAGGATAATCACTTGAACCCAGGAGGCGGAGGTTGCAGTGAACCAAGATTGCACCACTGCACTCTAGTCTGGGTGACAGAGCAACTCTGTCTCAAAAAAAAAAAAAAAAATTCCAACATTTTAGTGTAAGTATATTCCAAATGTTGCACAAGACATATTTATACTAAAAGTATTCATTGTTTATCTGAAATTCAAATTTAACTGAGTGTCCCATATTTTTATTTGCTAAATTTGGCAACCCAACACACTAACCTTCTCCTCTCCAGGCTAAACATCCTTATTTTGGCATCTAACATGTTTCCAAAACACTTCACCAGTCTGTCACCCTCTAGAGTAATGAACTGGGGTTTTGCACTTGCTTTTTGAGAGTGGCTCCAGTGATTGGTTCCTTAGTTTTGGCCTCCTATATTAGCTCTTTGTACCTTGAGACTGGTGTGGGACTTTTCTGCACAATAGACTTCTGTGGGCTCTTTCTTTCCTTGGTCCTGGGTCTTTCTAGGCACCAAATGTGGGAGAGTGAGGAGTTACCCAGGCAGCTCCTTATTCCTTGGATAACCTGATCCACATCAGGGTACATGTTATAGCTTCTCAAAGTGTGATTCTTGGATAAGAAGTATCAGGATCACCTGGGAGCTTGTTAGTGTAGGGGAGGACAAATTTGCCCCCTACACTCTTCGGTTCAATTACTGGGGGCCTGTGAATTAAACAACAACAGACAGATAATATACAAGAGAAAATACACACATTTTGCTTAATTTAATTTAATTTTAATTGCTATTTATGTATTTATTTATTTATTTATTTATTTTGAGACAGGGTCTCACTCTGTCACCCAGGCTGGAGTGCAGTGGCACAATCATGGTGATAGGGAGAGGAGGCAGAGAAATTCTGGGCAGACAGGGGCAGGTCCCCGCTGAAGCCCCACCTTTGAGCCAAAGGCCTGAGACTGAGGCCCACAGTGAGAACTTATATCCCTGTTTTCCCGCTTAAATGTTGCCTTTTCCTAAGCCACACATGGCCCTACTCTGCCCCATCCTGTGCCTATAAAGACCCCAGCCTGAGCAGGCAGAGAGGAGAAGCAGCTGGATGTCAGAGACTATGGCTGGCCATTGGAGAGAAGCGGCTTGACTTCAGAGGGACAGCCTGATGGTGTAACTTTGCAGAAGAATCCAACTGGAGATGGCTGGACTTCAGGGGAAGACTACCTACCACCCCTCATCCTCTTTTCAGCTCTCCTTCCCACTAAGAGCCACTTTCCTCAGCAATAAAATCCCTCACATTTACCATCCTTCAATTCGCTCATGAGACCTCATTTTTCCTGGACGCTGGACTAGAGCTCAGGGGCCACAAGTGTGGATACAAAAGGCTGCCATACTGGCCCTTTGCCCTCACTGGCGGAGAGCAGCCGTGGGCCCACCAAGCTGTTAACACTTAAGCTGTCCGTGGATGGCAAAGCTAAAAAGAGCACTGTAACATACTCTCTGGGGCTTCAGGGGTCACAGGAACCCCACATGGATGCTGCCATGGGACATGCACAGTATTCACTCCTGCTGGCATCCAAAAGTGCTCACTCCATCTCCTGCACCTGCTCACCTGCACGCTTCCTCCCATGAAGGGTGGAATACAGCAGGTCTGAGTGGAGTTTGATCTGGCTGGTGCCAGTTCCCACCTAGTTTGCTCAAGTGCTCCTTCCCGCAAGGAGTTGACAGCAGTGGGCTGAGTGAATGAGGCACCCCATCACAAGTCTTGTGAAGGTGTCAGGGAAATATCCTGCTTCAATGGCTAACTGCAGCCTCAACCTCTTGGGCTCAGGTGATCTTCCCACCTTAGCCTCTGGAGTAGCTGGGACTGCAGTACAGGCAGACACCACCATGCCTGATTTTTGTATTTTTTGCAGAGATAGAGCTTCACAATATTGCTGAGGCTGTTCTCCAATTCCTGGCCTCAAGCAGTCCACCTGCCTTAGCCTCTCAAAGTGCTATGATTATAGGCATAAGCCACCAGGCCTGGCCTAGAAAATATACAAATGTTATTGACATGTGCAGAACATACACCTGGGAGAACTCAGTGATGAGAAACTCAAAGGAGTGGTTAGAATTTGGAGGTCTGTATACCTAAATTAGCAGGTCAAGGGAGAAGGGAGAAGGGGCATTTATGGAAAAGCAAGTGACTTTTTGGAAAGATAAATAGACCCTAAGGAGAATAAATGGGAGATATGACAGTCTTGTGGCAATGTCTGTTTGGGTGTGGTGCCAGCTTTTCCTCTCCAAGAAAAGAATATTAGAATTACTCCTAAGGGAGGGACTTATGACAATTAAGTTTTTTGGGAAAGGCTTTGCTTTTATACAGATAAGGAATTTCGGATCTAAAATGCCTTCAGCCCTAAAAGATTCTTATGCCAAAATAGCATATTTTGGGGTTGCATAGCTTGATCTTCTTCATTAAAAATGCAGAATAGCAGGCCCCACCCCAGACCCACTGAATCAGAATCTGCAGTTTATCTAGATCCTCAGGTGATCCTCATTCACATTAACCTTTGACAAGCACAGTCCTAACTACAGCTTTTGTAAATGCAGCTTGTAACACATAGTGACTCTTGTTATTTAAGAAAGTCTTGATTTGTCTTAAATATATGGGTTTTATGGGGTATATAGAACCTGTGGGTATGTGTAGGCTTCCTGCAAGAGGTGAGCATTCTTCACTGCACTCATCTGGGGAGAGGAAGCAGAAAACAGATGTCTTAGCCTGTCTCTGTTGCTATAACAAAATACCTTAGGCTGGGTAATGTATAAACAATAGAAACCTATTGCCTACAGTTCTGGAGGCTAGGAGGTTCAAGATCAAGGTGCCAGCAGATTCAATGTCTGGTAAAGGCTCTCTCTCTGCTTCCATGATGGCACCTGGTTGCTGCACCCTTTGGAGGGGACAAACATTGTGTCTTTACAAGGTAGAAGGGACAGAACGGCCAGGAGGCTCTTTGAAGCTTCCTTTATGAGAATATTAATCCCAACATGAGAGTGAAACCTTCATGACTTTATCATTTCCCAAAAGGCCCCATTCCTTAATACTTTTGTAGGACTTTCTCCTTAGTTTAGCTAAAAATGGGGTCCTAGTCCCATGACCATGAAAAATTAGGCTCATAGACACTTTGAGGTTTGAGAAGGGCAGGGTGCATTGGGTGAAAAGGAAAAAAAATGGGAAATGAGGACTCTCAGCAAAACCAGAGTCCTGCTAGTGGGCTTCCTGCCTCTCAGATTGAATCCCAGCTTCCACCCACAAACAGGAGAGGCCAGGCTCCTGCCCCCTACAAATGGTATGAACTTCCATGGCTCCACCCCAGTGCACACTACTCCCAGTGCACAGGCCAGTCAGAGGTTCTCCTGGGACCACTTTATACTTGGCTGTCTCAGTACCATCACCTTGGGGCTTATGTTCCAACAGATGAATTTTGGAGGGACACACATATTCAAACCACAGCAATAGGAATGCGAGAGATGGATCTTGGGTCAGCAGGAGCAGGAACTCCAGTCTATCTTTGGCCTTGATCTTGCATCCTTATGTGGTAGAAGGGAGCTCTGACAAGGTAGTCAATGGTATTTCCAGGGGATAAGGAACCAGGAGGAGCTGCTTACAATGAGAATTTGCCAATCTGAACAAGCCAGGTAGCCTTATTCCCTGGCTCTCTCTGTGTTTATTTTTCCCACCTCATCTTAGAGCTATGAGGAATTACAGGAAGGGTTTGTCTACAACTAGGAGACAGAAACAGTGGGCAGTAGCATCCCCTCTCACCTCAACCCAGGCCAGTGTGGAGTTTACAGAAACACTCAGGAATAACCACCAGAAAAAAGTAATGCTCAGGTATAAGAGTCCCAGCTGCAAAGCTTCGCCCTCCATCCTCATGTAGAGAGTCTCCCGTCACTTGCTAACATTGAAAAAACAGTTTTATTTTATGATGGAAGGTGGCAATTTTCTTAAGGTTCTTGAAAACTTTTACAGTTAACTCCTGGGAAATATAGACTTGGAGTCATCTTTTCTATTTCCTCAGAAGCTGAATTCGGTTCTAAGAAATAGGAAGGTCCCCAAAGTATACTTGCATGTAATTTGCATTTATATTCTCTACATCCTCTGGCTTTAAGGTGGAGGAAATAGCACATCACTCTTTCCAAAATTTATGCTTCATCTTTTTTAATTAATAAAGGCCAGCAGTCTTTATTGTTCAGCATTTGAGGCCAACACTCCAAATTGCAAATCGTCACATATCAGGTGGATGTATTAATTCAACCTAAGTTTTCCTTTCTTGTTTTCCCTTGTTTTCTACTTTATCAGATTCTAACATGCTAAAGTTTGAAGAGATCTTAGAAACCATTGAATTCAGGGGATGACAAAAAGATCTTCTTTTGATTCAACTGTGGTAGAATGAAGATTGTGTTAAGAGGAATTTCAGACTATGTCTCAGCTTAGCAGAATATTAAAAAATGCTGTGATTGATTAGTGATGTCTGCATGGGCAAGCAGTGTGGAAGTGGCAACTCCATGCCAGGCATTGACCAGTGCAAAGCGGGGCCCATCCCTCATTTTACAGATGAGGAACCTGAGTACTAGGGAATAGAAGTGATTTAAGCTCATATAGAAAGCCATTAGCACAGCCAAGATGTTGATCTCTTTACTTCAATCTATTTCCATTATGCAACTGTAGGCCTCTAGTATCCTGTTTGGTCATCTGCACTACAGGTTAATTGCTAAAACTCTTATTTTCTTGGTATCTTATAGATACAAAAATAAGCAGAGAGTAACCTCCAACTGTCAATCCACTGAGCACACATAGTAAAAACTCAAAACTTTTTGAATGGATTAGGAAAATGATCTTTGTACACATACTAATATCACAAAATAAGTGGGTCATGGGTTAAATTTTCAGAAACATGTTTATAATGGTGCTAATGATTTTAAAGGTACACATTTAAGAATGAATTATTTATCATTATTTTGCTTCATATACAGAAGAACACTCTGAATCCCAAACATCTGACTTAAAATTGCATGCCACTAATCACAAAGAAGAGTACCAGATGAGGAAATATAAATAAACAGTACAAATATTTCTCCACTTTTATGAAAACAGCTGAAAGAGCAGGCTGTAAGAGAGGCAGGTGAACAATGACTTGTTTGTTTGGTTTTTTTAATTTAAAGAAACAAGCTGCTGTTTTCATGTAACACAGAGCTGTGGATTTTGTAGGAAAGCATGATCAATATATAGTAATGTTGAGATTAATTAGTTAATTATTTTTATTATTTATTATGATGTATTCTACTCATTTTTCCCCTGGAAAGAGAACTTTTTTTTAACAAAGCTGGTTCTCCAAAGGCTGAAGGAACTTAACAGCCACTTTTGCACTGGGTTGGAAGCTATGGCAAGAATCAAACTTATCCTTCCAATATCCTTTTATAATAAGAAAAGTTTGATCTTGGCACATTGTTCCCCAGCCAAAAACTGCATTTCCCAATTCCCTTTGCTGCTAGTTGTGGCTATGCAGCCAGGTTCTGGTTGATGGGAAATGAGAACTGATGTGTGCAACTTATTCCTCACAACTTTAAAAGGGAAAGAGTGTGCTCTCTTTCCTCAAATTCCTTTCCCCCTTTCTCTCAGTGAAATGTAGATGTTGCAGGAAGAATTAGGATGGCAGCTATCTCAACCATCAAGAAGGAAGCTGCATGTCAGGTTGAGAGACAGTAGAATGAGTTTGTGTCCCTGACGTCATTGAGGTACCATAAGCCACTGGACCATTTGGAGGAAGAAACTATGATCTTGCATAAGCCACTGCATTTGGGAAGTTATTATTGGCAGAAGCTGAGCATGGATTGGTTACTACATCTGAGGAGCATTTATTGCACCATCTTGAATGCAGGTATTTTTTAAGGTCTCTTAATGTTAGAGTAAGCAGAGAGCCAGAAATGAGCAGGGAAGGGAGCCCCTGGGAACAGAAGTCCTGGAGATGATGCCCACCTACTGACAGCAAAAGACAGTGGCTACATTGGCTACTTCTGGCCTTGTGGTTGGGCTCCTCTGGCTCTAGAGGGGACTTATCAGGCCCTAGCCACAGACAACCATGCTAGGAATTTTCTCCGCTGATAAGCATGCATACTCCTCCAAAAACTCGCCCTAGAGCAGCCTTTTGCTCATTATAATAGTAAAAACTACACCCCTGGGTGGAGATTTTACATGCCAATGAGACATGTGTACTAGCAATGTATAATCACAGAGCACGCGCACCCAAAGGGACCTCCCAAAATATGGTTGCAAGTGACACCTCCTCCTGCCCCTTCATGAATAATCATGTAAGATTCTCCTAAAGAGAGGCCCCCAGCACTGATTGCTATTGGCTCATTCTTTCCAGTGGCCTGTGGTTCATTCTTTTGAGCAGCCTGCTCCACCTTGTCTTTCAGGGTGTACTGTCTTTTTAAATAAAACACTGCTACTATTATACTATTTTTCCAGCCAGAACAGTCCAAAGTTTTTTCCACTCCTCTCCAGGAATGTACTTTGTCTTCCTTCAATAAACTCTGCTACTTAACCATTGCTATGTGTCTCTTGGTTGAATTCTTTCTTCCAAATTAGACAAACACCAAGGATTCCCGCACTTCTTGGTAACATGTAGATACTCCTAACCCACGTTCATGTTTCCAATAATTTGGAAGCATCGGATCATGATCCACTATCTTCTAGGTACCTACACCATATGAGTTATATGTTGAAAATCTTCATTCATTGAAAATTTCTCAATAGGAGAAATTGAGAGGCAGCCCTTCACCGTCACTAATCAGTTCCTTTTATCCCCAGGTTGAAGGTTGTTAGTGATTTTCCATTGTGCTTAGACTGAAGTCCAATTCCTTACATGGCCTTGAAAGTTGTGATTTTGTCCCTCTCTACCTTCCCACCATCACCTCCTATCACTCCCCTCTTACCCATCCTCTCTGCTCCAATGCTGTGGCCTTTTTCATTTCATAAATGAGACTTGGCAGTTCCTTCAATGTGGCCTTCTATTCCCTAAGATCTCCCCATGGCTGGTTCTTTCTTCCCTTCAATGGCTGACTTAAAAGGTCAACTCTTCAGAGAGTGAACCTACGTGAAGTCCCATCTAAAATCCATCTGAAGTGCCCCTTCATTTCTCTTTCCTTCATTTTTTTTCCCCATTTTTACCGTAGAGTTAACACCAAGAAAAATTGTCTGATTGATTCATTTTCTTGGTGTCTTGTATTAGTCAGGGTTTTCCAGAGGGACAGAACAAATAGGATCTATGTATATATAAAAGGGGATTTATTATGGAGAATTTGCTCACATGATTACAAGACAAAGTCACATAATCGGCTGTCTAAAAGCTGGGGAAAGAGAAAAGCTGGTAGTGGCTTGGTACAAGACCAAGAGAATCAAAACCAATGAAGCCAGCAATGCAGCCTTCAGTCTGAGGCTAAAGGCCTGAGAGTCCCCAGCAAACCACTGGTGCAAGTACCAGAGTCCAAAGGCCAAAGAATCTGGAGTCTAATGACCAAGGGCAGGAGGAGCAGAAGCAAGCATCCAGCACAGGAAGAAGAGGAAGCCAGAAGACCCAGCAAGCAAGGACATGAAGAGGAAGCCAGAAGACCCAGCAAGCAAGGACATCCCACCTTTCTCCGCCTGCTTTGGTCTAGCTACACTGGCAGCTGATTGGATGGTGCCCACCCACATTGAGGGTGGGTCTACCTCTTCACTGACTCAAGTGCCAAACTCCTCTAGCAACAGCCTCCCAGACACACCCAGAAACAATACTTTGCCAGCCATATAGGCATTGTGCAATCCAATCCCATTGATCTATCACACATCTCTTTCTCCTATGGGAATGTCAGCTCTATAATAGTATGGCTTACTATCCCAGTGTCTATGAAAGTGCCAGCACATAGTAGGTGCTCAATAAATATTCATTGAATAATTACAGACTGAACCCTTATGAGGTATGTACCATTGTCCACAGTGGACAGTTGAAGATAGGAAGGGAGGTTCACAGAGCTCTCTCAGAGCCTGGCGTGAGAGCACTGACTCAATGTACTGCCCTGTTCTGTAGACACTAGGCTCTTTCCTTCTAGGAACTAATCTAGATTCCTTGAAATTATCTGTCAGTAGCTTGCCTATATTACAGTCTCCATGAATGTCAATTAATTTACAAGGTGAATCCACTAATGGGGCAGTCAGAGATCATAATACATTTACATATTCAAATATAAAGGCAGACAGCTGTGGCCAACTCTTTTTTCTGGCTGTTTTGCATCTGAGTGTGGAAAAAAAATATGTTTTTGAACTTGGCTTTTGAGTTAGACTTGGCTGCCGATGATAAATGGCAAAGCAATTCTGATCTTATCTGGACAGTTTTTCCATGAAATATAAAGGGAGAAAGAAGCCAGAATAAAGATCTGAAATAAATATATTGACAGAATTCAAAGAAAAGATAATAGATTTACTCATGTTCCTGGCATGATTGGTTAGTGGGAAAGGAGGCTGGCCTCGCCAGAACTGTGTTTGGTTATAGATTAATAATCCAAGGTACAAATGGTTCCGGACAATTTAGAGAAAACATAAACTACAATATTCAACAAACTGGAGTTCAAAGGTTTCTGGAATTTGCTAACTGTTCTAGGTCATACATTTTTCAAAAGTGATGACACAATATGGAGTTTTTGAACTTTGCAACACAAATAGCAAGTAGGTTTTTGCCTGAATCTCATTAAAGAATTGTGCAACCATTATTTAAAAAAAAAAAAAAAAAGAAAGAAAGAACGAAAGAAAAGGAAGGCAGGGAGGAGGAAGAAGAAAAGTGGAAAGGTTAGGAAATGCCAACTGTCAAGTTACTGAAAATCGAAGAATAATCTCATAATTCTACTGTAGGAAGTGTGCTTTTAGTTCATATTCTGTGTTGCATGGTGGTTGCAAGCATGGTTTCCGGGTCACTCTGCAGATCCCCATCTGCCTCTGATCCTTATTGGCTCTATAATCTGGGACAAGTGATGAAGCTCAGTTGATAGAAATATTGTTTATGTCCTATGAGCTATGCCAGGCACATTTAACTTTTTCCTGAATCCACTCTTACTGCTCCAGTCTGTTCTCTATGTTACAGTAAGAGAGTTACCTTTATAATACAGATAAAGTCATGCCTCGATGTCTTTGCATAAAGATGAAGACCACAGTTCTTACTCTTCCTCTGTCACAGTCTACTCAGGTACCTCCTTGTTCTCTGTGCTCCAGCCACACTGGGCCTCTCCAATTTCCTTCAGTATGCCATACTTCCTGCCTCAGGGTCTTGGCAACTGATCTTCCCTCTACCTAGAATTCTCTTTCTCATCCTTTTGATTCCAACTGAATTACAAAGTCTTCAGAGAATGGTCCTTCTCCATCTTTCTGACCTGCTCCTTTCTTGCATGTACACAGGTGAACTTTGACAGTGATTTGTCAAACCAGTGGGTATTGTCCACTCTCCAACTAGACTGGGGGACAGAAGTGGCTTCTGACTTGGTCACTACCTCCCTACCACTTAGCACAAAGCCTTGCACATTGACAAGCACTCAACAACCACTGCAAGATTGAAGAGAATGAATGCGTCATGGCCTCAGCTGGTCCAGGTCTTCATCTGTGAATGCTGGGAAGACATTACCTTTCGCATAGGTTCACAGAGAAGATTGAATGAGAGAAAAGTTTGCAAGGGCTTTGTAAACCATGAAGGGCAATACCTGAGTAAGGGATGACTACAATTTTTAGATATCTGCTGGTGACCATTTCAATTGCCAGTGATCCGAAATGTAACTCAAATTCATGGGTTTAGTCTGAAAAAGGGAATTCTTTGGCATACACAACTGATTAGACTGGACAAGAAAGGTAGGATTCAGGTGCTGAAGTGGCATCATCTGATTTCTCTCTCTCTCTCTTTCTCTCTCTCTCCTTTGTGCATTTCCCTCTCTGCTTTCCTACATTCAATCATTGGCCGGGCTTTCCCATTGTGATGATGACCAATAGATTCAGGTTACATTACGTTATACCAGCCCAGCACTCCCAGGGCAGAGAGAGAGCCCTTTTCTCTAAAGTTTCAGCAAAGATCTATGAAAAATTGTCTTTGGCTCACCTTAAGCACATGACCTCTCTGAGTTGGTCACTCTGGAGAGGGGGATGCACTGAGAGAAGGGCCAGGTCTAGGTTACACAACACCTTCAGATCTTGTGGATGGCATTAGTCACCAGGAACTCCATGGACTGAGAAAAGGAAAGTGCAAAAGAAAAGTGAATGTTTCTGCAAAAGAAAAGTGAGTTCTATTAACAAAAGCAGAAACAAATGCAGACTGGAGAAATCAACAAGCATCCTCTAGGGAGACTCACCAGTTCAAATGAAGGAATTTTTTTTTTTTGAGACTGAGTCTTACTCTGTCACCCAGGCTGGAGTCCAGTGGTGCAATCTCGGCTCACTGCAACCTCCACCTCCCAGGTTCAAGCGATTCTCCTGCCTCAGCCTCCAGTAGCTGAAATTAGTCACCATGCCTGGCTAATTTTTGTATTTTTAGTAGAGACGGGGTTTCACCATGTTGGCCAGGCTGGTCTTGAACTCCTGACCTCAAATGATCCACCCGTCTCGGCCTCCCAAAGTGCTGGGATTACAGGCATGAACCACAGTGCTGGCCAAATGAAGGAATTTTTGGCTCCCATCTCCTCACTCTAATCTTATTGTGTCAGTTGAGTTCTGTCTTTTCTCCCGCTTGATGGAAAGGCAATACAAATCATATTCCACAGCCATCTTCACATAAAAGCTTGGGGAGGTCTTGCTCTGAGTTGGGAAGAAGGAGGTAGGGGAGGTGTACAGGAGAAAGCAAGTGAAGTGATTCGGTCCTCTGTTCATTAAAGCGGGTAAGATCAGAGTAGTCACATTCATCTCATACATCTGAATCCCCATAAAAGATAAGGTAAACCCTGTAAGAAGAAAAATGCCCCAGGCCCTCAAGTTTGGGGTTCCTAGGAAACAAGCATATTAGGGAACTCACTGGTGTTAATGAAAGAAAGAAATACCACCAAGCATTTTTAGACAGTTGACTTTGTCATTCATTACCTGTGTGATACTGAATAAGTGTGGCACATGCTGATGGATAGCTGAGCCAATCCCTGTTCAACCTCCTTTTTCCAAGGGAGGAAGCTGTGGCCAATGAAATGTAGGAAAAAGTCACTGGGTGGGGCTTCTGGAGCTACAGCAACCATTTTGTAATAATGAAAGTGAACAGCATACACAAAGTCTTAATGTAAAATCAAGAGGGTTTTTTGTTCGTCTGTTTGTTTGTTTTGGGGTTTTAGTGTTTCCATGCTGGCTTAACTAGCTAGATAACGGCTATCAGTGTTACATATAATAACATTGATTTGCACACCACTTTCTGGTCGCTTTTCCATTTTCTCAAACTGGTGGGAGCTGTTTTTTGAGTGTGGAGTGATCATTTAAAACAAGCTTGTCCAACTCGGGACCTGTGAGCCACATGTGGCCCAGGATGGCTTTGAATGCAACTCAACACAAATTTGTAAATTTTCTTAAAACACTATGAGATTTTCTTGAAATTTGTTTCCTTTTTTGTTTAGTTCATCAGCTATCAGTACTGTTAGGGTATTTTATGTGTGGCCCAGGACAATTCTTCCTCTTCCAATATGGCCCAGGGGAGCCAAAATATTGGACACCCCTGATTTAAAATAAAGATCTTTGCTCCATTCAAATTCTAATTTTGTAATACATTTTAAAAAACTTATTATTACTGTTTGGGTCCTGAATCTTTTAAAAAATGTTTCATGGTAATTTGAGGAAACTTTCCTATGAAACTTTGCTACATTTCTTGAACATTCACTTTGTTTTGGAAGTTGCCAAATTGTATTACTGTCTATAAAGAAAAAAATGTCTAAGCTGGGTGCAGTGGCTCGCACCTGTAATCTTAACACTTTGGGAGGCTGAGGTGGGTGGATCATTTGAGCTCAGGAGTTTGAGACCAGCCTGGACAGCACAGTGAGACCCCAGCTTTCCAAAAAAAAAAATACAAAAATTAGCCAGGCATGGTGGTGTGTTCCTGTAGTCCAACTATTTGGGAGGCTGAGGTGGGATGATTGCTTCAGCCAAGAAGGTCAAGTCTGTAGTGAGCCATGAATGCACCACTGCACTCCAGCCTGAGTGACAGAGAGACCCTGTCTCAAAAAAAAAAAAAAAAAATCTCTGAAAAGATTATGCTTGGTGTTTTCCTTAGCAGTCACACAATTCCAGTTATCATGTTTTCATGGTGAAGTTAGAAAATAAAAGAGAGTTATATTTCTAGCTGTAGAAACTATATTTGTTTGTTGTCATTTAAGTGGCCTGTCTGGTACTCTACCATGACCGTACTTCATGAGAGTAACCAACAAAACCTGAATGTACTTAGTGTGTGGTAGGTGCTCATAGGCCTGAGAGACAGATGGCGGTTATGATGAAAGACAAGAAAGACATTGATCTTCTGCTTTTAATTTGTGAAACAGCAAGACATCCACCAAGACGACATTTTGAGGTGGAGGTGTTTCCTATGTTGTGTCAGCTATTCTTGTATTTTAACAGAATCATAGAATATTGATGGGAAGGGCATAATTACTAGGAAAAAAATCATAGAACATTGATGTTAAGGAACAATGTTAAGGTCTACCTAGTCCAAAGCCTTCCTTTTACAGAAACAGCCCCGGATGCCCAGTGAGGGAAAATGACCTGCCCAAGGTCACATGGCCAGTTAATGATAGAGCCAGGAGTAATGCTTGGGTCTCTGAGATTTGCTGTTATTTAATCCCATCTTAACGGCTATGATCAAAGGACATAGTTTCTCTCACACATAAAGAAATAACTTGACTTTTTTAAAAAGCTGGCTAGGTGACTAATGAACTATGTCTACCGTGAAGTGGGTATCCTTAGTCAACTGCCAAGGCCTGTTTGTGCATGTGCTTTTATTTCTGCGTGACAAGCCCTCATTTGGATGCACAGTGAACACACATACCCCTGTGGAAAGATCATTAACTGAGTTGTGGTGGGGCCCACCGGTGGTCAAACCACATGTTTGTGTGTGCACAGGTGGAAATGATGGTCATTCTGAAAGTGTTCACCTCCTACCACCTTGGGGCTGTGTCTCAAACATAGAAGTTCCCTCTCCTGGGTAGTAACCCTCTTGTCTTAATTAAAAAACAAAATCTATACTTGCAGATTGATATCTGCCTATCTATCATCTATCTTCCTCTGATATATGTGTTTGTGGGTGTGCTTGGTGTGTATGTTTGTGCATGTGCATGCACTTACATATATAAAATGACAAAGAGATACATATTTTCTTATCAGATGGCTTTGTCAGGGATCTTGTGAAAAAAAAATAGGCATACACATACAGTTTTTAACCCAGTTATGACCTTCTGCATCAAAATTGGGTTTTGTAGGGTTTGGTAAATTACATTGCAATCTACTACTCATTCTGACATTAAGTATAAATGAAATTAAACTGTAATGAACAGAAAACACAGCTTTAAAGAAAAAAGAAGACATTAAAAGAGAGGCTGCTGGACTATATGCCCTTTCTGAATACTGGGGCCTCAGATTTTGTTTCTTTTTAATTTATGTTTGTGCCATTTGAACCCCCCTCCACAAGCCCCTCCTGGAGCAGCCTGGACAGCCCTTATGAGGTGAGACATCAAGCCCTTCTGATTCACAGCACTGTAGGGCAGTACTACTGCCACAGATAAGTTGAGCCTAAGCCACATAATTTTAGGATCTACTTTAAAATGAGAGCCCGGGCTTAGAATTTTTCTCCAAATTCTGAACATTATAAGCCAACAATGAGAACAACAACAACAGCAACAACAACAGAAATAACCCAAAGCAAATGCCCCCCAGTTCTTTTTGCCCTAATTTTTCACCAATATCAAACTCTTAACTTTCTGAATGTACAAAGAGATTCTTATTTTAAATCCAAGAAAGAAATGACCTCTTCAAATTCATAATGAGGTATGCATTGAACGGAACACAGCCCAAGGTGAGTCATTCATTAATCATAAACAAAACAGCCCCTGATCAAGGACACATAAGCACACACTGTAAAAAGAGGCCAGGTTACCCAATCCCTTTATTTAATATTAACTACATTATGTTTTTCATGTGAGTTCTGAGAAGGTGATTTTCTCACTTTATTTGTAGCCAGCTCAGTGTGAATGGATAATTACTTCCCTTAATGCTGTTTCCCCTGAAGGTTAACCCTGTTCAACAAGACACGATTGAATCTTGCCTCTCACGGTTGGGTGGGGCTGGAGTGGGGGGAAGGGTCTGCATCCGTAGCTAAAGACTTTTAGCTGGAATTCTTCAAGGATGAAAACATCCGCCAACAGGAATATTTCAAATGACATGAATAATATTTGTGATTAATAACAGCTAACCAGAGAAGTACAATCCAAGAAATACATGATTAGCTTATTACAGACATCTGATGTGCTAATTATCTTCAAAAATTTCATTGCTGATGACTGTTTTGGCAGAAATTTGAGCAAGGGAAGAGGAAATTTAAACTTTTATGTAAGTTGGAAACAAAGCATTTGGGCAATTGGACTTTAGAAGACCTGGGAATGGTATTTGGTATTTAATTCTGTCTGATGAGGAGGAAATTAAATAATGAGAATAGAAATCAGTGTGAAGATTGAAACTTGAGTCAACGAGAACTTGGCCGTCATTGTCAGAAGCTCTTCCTTACCTTCCTTGACAAAAGGCTCCTGGCCCTGAAATGAACGGGTAACATGATGCGGTTTGGCAAGACTTGCCTGGGTGCCAGTCATGGGTGTGTATCACTGCTTGTGGAAGACCAACAGTTCCCTAAGGATTTGCTTCTCATTCCCAGTGGAGACCTCTGCAGCACCAGCTACTTTCACTGAAGCATCACAGAATATCCTAACACATGGTAGGGGACCCAGGAGAAAGCCATACAGCTACTTCTGGGAGGAGCCTGGAGTACACACTCTCATTTTACTGATAGAAAAGCTGACTCCCAGAAAGGATGAGCAAGTTAGCAAAGATTTCAAAAGGATGATTGAATTCAGGCCACAGATAGCCAGCCATCTGCTGTGGGAATAGTGAACTGATATCACAGGGCCATTTGCGTAACCACACATGTTCTCTGTCTCACTTTCCAGAAGTTTACAATCAAGAAAGACATTTTGATGTTGATGGCAAACAAAGTAGGCTTAAAACACTCCTCAATTCAACTGCAAAGAAGGAGAGGCAGACTCTCCAGCAGGGAGACTCCCCATCTCCAGCCCTCCTTTCTGTAGCTTCATTGCCAAGGTGCTCCTTCTTTTGTTTCTTTCTCTACCATCCCCTAAGCGGATTGGGGTATCTTTGTATTCTATTAAGTAGGTGCAAAAGTAATGCAGGTTATGCCATTATTTTCAATGGCAAAAACTGCAATTACTTTTGCATCAACCTAATACATTCTGGAAGAAAAGAAGCAGGGGTCACAGCAGGCAACTGCCCGGGGTAGTGATCAAGACCAACGTGCACCTCCCAGCCTGGACAGGAGTAGTCAGATTTATGATTCTGATCCCCAGAAAACCAGATAATCCGCATTAAGCAAAGGTCCGCAAAACAATGAGTTTATCAGAGCAAACCAAGAGTTAAAGCAGAATGCTCCACTGAATGCAACTTAAGCCTCATGAGGACTGAGACCTGTGCTACCTTATTTACTGCTCTATCCCCCTTCAGACCCCTCACCCACTGATCTAGAACTGGTCTGACCCAGATTAGGCACTTATTTCTAGAAAGAACAACTGATTTGAACATTTTGAGCACCTACGTGGTGCCAGGCTGCTAGGCAACTATAAAAGAGACAAAACCACTGCCCTCAATGAGTTCTCAGTGAATGCAAACAGAAGAGAAGGTGATGAACCCAGTGGACTAGTGGCCAAGGGAGTGGACTCCTGGTGGCCAGATTAGTTCCTTAACTCTGCCATTTATTGGCTGTGTGACTTTTGACAAGCTAGTTACCATCTCTGATCTTCCATTTTCTCAAATGGAAAAAGTGGAGAGTAATAATCCTAACATATATAGAGGATTCTGTGAAGGCTATGAAATCACAGACGTACAGATTCAGCACAGAGGGGTAACTAGAAACAGAGAAGAAGTCAGCTAAATGACTACTTCAGTTGTCGCCAAAGCTGCAATTGCAGTTGCCTTGTGTGTTGCAGGCAGCTTTGATTGAAAAGTTAATCAGTAGGCTTGAGTCTCTATCAATAAAAAGGAGAGAGATTGATTTAAATACTTGATGATTCTTTTTAAAAAAGCCCTAAACCCCAAACACCTTAAAACATAAGTGATAGTGAATCAAGAGACAATGAAAGATGAATAATGGCATATTTTCATCAGAAAAATACAATTTTCAAGAAGAAAGTGGCCTCAGGGACCAGCCACGGTGGCTTATGCCTGTAATCCCAGCACTTTGGGAGGCCAAAGTGGGAGGGATAATTTGAGCTCAGGAGTTCGAGACCAGCCTGGGCAACACGTCAAAAGCCTCTGTCTATTGAAAATGCAAAAAATTAGCCAGGTGTAGTGGTATGCACCTGTAATCCCAGCTGCTAGGGAGATTGAGGTGAAAGGGTCACCTGAGGCTGCAGTGAGCCATGATTGTGTCATTATACTCTAGCATGGGTGACAGATGAGACCCTGTCTAAAGAAAATGGCTTCAGGAGTGAAAATTCAGTCTTGATGTGGAACTCTGAGAAGGAAGATGGGTATGAAAGATAGGAGAGTGGCTGATAACTGGTTGGGTGGGTGTTTATGGGTGCAGGATGAGCCAGTGCCTGCCAGAGCTCCCTGATATCATGTTCACCTCCATCCCACACACCCTACTCTGCCCCAAGGTACTCTGAGGGCTCAGAGGGTGTAGATGAGATACTCTTCTCCTTGGCCCAATCACATAATGGTGAACAGCTTAAGATGAGCAACAGCTAAGCATTCAGTAGAGAGGAAGAGCTTTGTAGGTGGAAGAGAACTGGCAAGGCTTCCTGGAGGAGGGGTATTTGCATGGGGTAGTGAAAAATGGGCATTTCAAAGCGAGAAGTATATTGAAGTCATCAAGTTCTTTTTTTTGAAGTCATCAAGTTCAACCTTTTAGCTGATAATTTGAAAAAAGGATCAACACATCAGGTGGTAAAAAACAGGCAAAGAAATGCAGTGTTATCTCTCAGTTTCCAGTAGGTTCTCAGGATAGCTTCATTGGCCTTCAGTAAACTGCTGGTGGTGGAATGGTAATAATAATTAGCAGTTAGTAAGTGTTTACCATGGCCAGGCTCCATACCAGGTGCTTTTCAGGTAGTCTCTTATTTACTTTTCTCAATCACCTTGGGAAGGCACTAATTTAACTGCATCTCTCATTTTATAGATGAGGAAACTGAGCTTCGAGAAGGGAGAGTAACTAGTCCTGAGTCACACAGTTGGTGAAATGTGGAGCTGTCTTGAAAGTTCATGGGTTCACCTACTGCACTGCTTGAAGAATATTTCGGTGTATTACAAATCTGTTCAGAAGCAGAACAGAGAAAACAAAAATCTCCAACAGCGTACACAGCTTATTTGCTAGCAATGTACATGCACATCAAGTGCTTAACACAGTGCCTGACATGGTAAGTCCTTTCTACATCTTAACAGAGATTTGCTTTTATTAATGAGTTATTTACTTCAGAGTCAAGAAGACAACCGGTACTCAGTAAATGGCAGGTGTTGCCATAATGACTGATACGATCAACATATGAGCCCTATTCCCTATCACCTTCCCCTATATAATCAAAGTCCTTGCCACTTTTGGTTTTTCCCTACCATTTCTAGTACAAAATGCATTTTGGGAGACTCTGTTCCCTTGATTATGCTGTTCTCTTAGCTGGAAGTGTCATTTCTTCATTCTTTGCCCATCTCATTCTGCAATGCCCAGCTCAAGAACTGTTATTCTGTGGTGTTTGTCCAGACCTCTTTAATTTCCTTGCCTAATCCTATAAACAGAATGTCTTTATTTCTCCTTCATGAAGGCTCCAGGCTTTCATTACACCTAGATAAGCACTTATTAATTTTTCTTGCATTATTCTGAGATGTAAACATGACCATTTCCCCCAACTCCACTCTGATGTCCTTGAAGTCTGGATGTTATTTGTTAATATTTACTCTCTTTTCATTCTTCATCCTGCCAGCAGCCTCTAGAACTGGGCTCAGCACCTAGTAGGCACTCAATAGTTGACTTCAATTACAGAGAATTTGGGGGAATCCCACTTTAAAACCCATGTGCTTTTTTCAGATGCATTGCTCAATACACTGTTAGCAGATATTGAGTCCTTACCAGAAATATACTGTACTCAGAGATCTCAGTCTGCTGTGTAGAGAACAGAGTTTTGATGGTACAGAATAGGCATCAGATAAGTCTTGAACAGGAATGATTGGCAGGAAGAGAACAAAGAAAACCAACACTGTTTGGGGATTAAAAGCCATGCTGCAGATACCTGCAAATAGGATTGTTGCAATATTGGCCCCCAAACCACCATTACCATAGAAACTAGAACTAGGGCTGGGTAGGCATTTCCCAACTTGCTGCATGGTGATCCTGAGTAGGTTTGGGCGGGGCACCTGTTTGGCACCCTCTGAGAACATGCTGTGGTAAACACCGTCCTCATCCCCAGGGAACCTGTCAGTGTCACACATTCTATCAGGCACTTAAGCAACCCCCAAATCACTACTTTACAAAAGCATCTTTTGATTGATTCATCAGCTACCAAACAGGAAAGACACAGCTGTCACAGTATGGGGAGCAGTAATTAGCAATGGAAGAAACTCACAGGTTGGAGTTTTGAGATTTGGCATGGAAGATAAAGCCAAAAAAGAGATCTTGGCCAGGCGTGGTGGATCACACCTGTAATCCCAGCACTTTGGGAGGCTGAGGAGGGTGGACCATGAGGTCACGAGTTCGAGACCAGCCTGACCAACATGGTGAAACCCCGTCTCTATTAAAATTACAAAATTAGCTGGGCATGGCGGCACACGCCTGTAACCCCAGCTACTCAGGAGGCTGAGGCAGGAGAATCGCTTAAACTCGGGAGGCGGAGGTTGCAGTGAGCTGAGATTGCGCCATTGCACTCCAGCCTGGGCAACAGAGCGATACCCTGTCTCAAAAAAAAAAAAAAAAAATCTTCATCCAAACACCCCAAAAAGCCTGGCCCATTACCTGACTCACAGATAGGAATAAAATGGAGTGTGAGAACAACATATTAGAATAGTAATATTCATAGTGTAATTAACAGATGCTGATTGAGCACTTATTGGTGTTAGGTGTTTTATGTATATCATTGAATGCTCAAAACAGTCCTATGGAAGAGGAATATTTTTTCCATTTTACAGATGAGGAAATAGGAGTTCAGAGACATTAAACACTTCGCTCAAAGTCAAACAGCAAAGAAGTGACACAGGGCTTTAGAAACAGGTCTTTCTGAACCCGATACATGAGTATCTAAACATTTTGATTTGCTCTGTTGGGAGGTGGCCGTAGTCCAGGATTTGGTTGTACAAAGTGGAACTTAAGTTTGAGGAGAGATTAAAACTTACTTGGTAAATCCCTGCTTCAAAGTACAACCTTTTCCTTTTTTCCTTCTCAAGAGTACCTGCTCCTCTCTCCATAGTTAAGCATGCAAATGCATAACATTCTGTCTCAAACTGTTAGGCACTAGGGAATTACAGTTTACCCACTGGCCATATTTAATTTTTTCAATGTGTTTTTATTTATTTCTCTGCTTCCGGGATCTTTTTTAGAGTTTTTTTTTCCAAAATGGGAAAATTCTTAGTTATTAATCCAGCTAACCTTAGTCAATTATTATTATTGATATGATTATTCTTAATTAGAAACAGGTTTTAGCAGGGTTAAGGGAAATTTTGAATAAAAAATGAATAGAGCACATAATCTACCAGCTTGATATAACTTTATTAATGTCTTGTATTTTATTGTGAACAATTAGATCACAGAACTGTATTTTCACATAGGTGTTATGTACACAAACATTCTCATATATTTTTCATAGATTTATATAATTTTAATTTTTTTTAAATCAAAACAAAACTTCCGTTTCACTGACTTTCCTAATTTCCCAAATGATTCTCCATGTCTTTGGATATTTAGGTTGGGTCTACTTTTCCAACATTGTGTTGCTAACAGTGATAAATCTTGCACAAACACTTTTCTTCCATTTCCTAAGGCAGTAATTTATTTTCCCAGACTACTTTGATGTGTCCTTCCTACCTAATTTTAAAGAGTTGACAAAGGACACTTTAATTTACTGACTTCAACTATTTTTAACCATCCTTTGATTCTTTTTACTAAGCCAAACACCACTGGGCACCAAGATGGCGTGATCCTCAAGTCACCATGACTCTTATCCAAGTAGTGGTGAAAAGCTGCAAAAGGCAAGCATCCCTGCTGGGATTCCTGGGTTTCCGTCATGAACCCAGCTTGCCTGTGAGACCATGTGAGAGCAGGGTGAGCGCAGTGTGTGTATTAACTGTGGCTTGTGCCACATACTCATGCTACACCAGGTACTGTGCCAAATGGTTTATATGCACCAGCGCCTAGCACAGTGCTCTACACATGTCAGTCCTTTGGCCAGTGTGTGCTGAATATTTGCTGTACGATTGCGTTCTCAGAATACCTTCAGAAGTCATTCCCATGATTAGTCCCATTTGAACGGCTGAGTAACTTGTACAGTCACATAGTGTCTGCGAGTAGTGGCTCACGCCTGTAATCCCAGTACTTTGAGAGGCCAAGGCAGGTGGATCATTTGAGGTCAGGAGTTCAAGAACAGCCTTACCAACATGGTGAAACCCCATCTCTACTAAAAATACAAAAATTAGTGGGGCGGTAGTGGTGTGCTCCTATAATCCCAGCTACTCTGGAGGCTAAGGCAGGGGAATTGCTTGAGCCTGGGCGGCGGAGATTGCAGTGAGCCGAGATTGCACTACTGCACTCCAGTCTGGGTGACAGAGTAAGACCTTGTCTCAAAAAAAAAAAAAAACAAAAAAAAGAAAGAAAAGAAAAAGAAAAAACTCACATAAAGTCACACAGTTAGTAAATGTTGAAGCTAATGGGATGCAGTTCTGCCTAAACCCAGAGTCCATCACCTTTCTGCGTTTTTTTTTTTTTTGAAAAAAAAAGGGTTAAAGCCTCCTGTCTTTACCATGTCACTGTGTTGCTCGTGGGTGGAAATGCATCTGCTTATTTATTTTCTTCTCTTTTATCTGATCTAATTTCTGGGAATCCTTAGGAGACCTAAAATAACCTCAAACTCAAGATTTTATTCTAGTTTTGTCTCAAGTTTTTATTTATTTTTGTTTTTTATTTTTATGTTTTGAGACAGAGTCTTGCTCTGTTGCTCAGGCTGGAGTGCAGTGGCACAATCTCTGCTCACTGCATGCTGGGTTCAAGGGATTCTCCTGCCTCAGCCTTTTGAGCAGCTGGGAATACAGGTGTGAGCCACTATGCCTGACTAATTTTTTATTTTTAGTAGAGATGGGGTTTCACCATGTTGGCCAGGCTAGTCTTGAACTCCCGACCTCAAGTGATCCACCTGCCTTGGCCTCTAAAATGCTGGGATTACAGATGTGAGCCACCATGCCTGGCCTCAAGTTTTTAAAGAGACAGTGGGACCAGAGGAACAGGTATATTAAAGTCCTTGATGTGTCTCACCAATATCCTAGAGGCAAGCCCAGTACAAATTTGCTCATTTAACAGATGCTTTGGAAGCTGCCATCTGTGCCAGGCATGGAGGTATCAGGATACGTGCACGTGAGAAACCTCCCATTAATATCTCCTATTAAGGCAGAGCAGAACTGTGCACATAATGAGTTCACAATAATTACTGAGCATGAGGGGTTCGCCCAAGAAAATAAACAAGGTGCTGAGATATGGATAGCAGGATGGGATGAGGGGGACCTAACTTCCATAGGTTGATCGGTCACTGCTTGCTATCCTGTGGAGCGTAGGGTGTGCAGCAGTACCCCTAGTCTCTACTCAGGAGTTGCCAGAAGTCTCTGTCCCCTCGGTATGACAATGGAAAATGTTTCTAGACATTGCCAAACGTGCTTCAGGAGCAAAACTGCCCCGGTTGAGAGCCACTTCTCTAGACTTGTAGATCATAACATTTTTGATGTCATGAATAATTTCCAGAATCTGATAAAATCCAGGAAATGTATAAAAATAATAACTATTATGGAGTGCTATGTGTCAGGCATTCTGTTCAATGTTTTTCACACATGATCTCATTTAATTTTCATAGCAGTCATATGAGGAAGGTATTGATTTTTGCTACTTTCTTAAGGGCTAAGATCACACGGCTGAGCCTGGGGTTGAACTTGTGTCACTGTAATCCACAGACATGGATCTCTAGAGAGCTGTGACTCTCTAGAGCCAGGAACAGGCATGGATTGTCCTCATGGCATCATCAAAATCAGCATATCTCACACTTTAAAGTGCACGTGAATCACCCAGGGAGCTTGCTGAAACATCAGTGTTAATTCTGCAGGTCTAGGGGGGAGCCCGAGATTCTGCGTTTCCGTAAGCTCTCAGGTGATGCCTATGCTGCTGGTCCATGGACCACACATTGAGCACCCAGGGCCTGGAGCAGCAGTTCTTACTTAAGCCTTTCTGGGTTACAGATGCAGCCAAGAATCTGGTAAGTTATGGAACTCTGCCCAGAAAACTGCAATTATGCACATACATCTCCTAAAAGCCCAGGTTAGATCGCAAGCTCTCTCTGGAATCATACATTAGCCCTTGCCAAACAGATGGATCTCACCTGTTCCCGCAGATTTCTGATAAAGCAGAATTCCTAATGCCACCTTGGCTTACCCCATTCCATCATCTGGAACACTGGCAGTCCTGGGGTCTTTGCAGTGCCTAACTGGGGCCTTTTTTGTTGTACTACAAGTCCATTACTTCCATCATTTTCCTAAGCAGAAGTAAACAGCAGCCCGTCAATAAAGAGCATTGGCCTCAAATCCAACCCACCACTTTCTTATCTTGCCTAAGCTTAGAAAATTCTTCAAGTCCTGTATGGTATCTTTCCATAATAGTACTTCTTCCTACCCACTCCCCTCTTCCATGAACAATCATCTACGTAATGCATATGCCATGTGATACAGTTATCAGAAAGCGATGTTACCTGAACATACACATACAAAACAATATGAGAAGATACTTTGCTAAAATAACAGATAACCTTAAACATTAATAAGTGGAAAATCTGTGAAATCAAAGCATTTTTTTCTTTTTTATATAATAGCCTTTCATTCTTTTTATGATTTTGTCTTTGAAAGCTTTTTCTGCAGATGACAGATGATATTGTTCTTCCATCCTGCTTCAGACAGAATTAAGGGAGGAAGGGGGAAAAAACTATTGTAGAGCCGCTCTGCTCTGCAACATGATTTTTATAATTAATATATACAACTGAGCAGAGAAAGGTACGTTATAATGAAATGCAATTAAGAGGTGTTTGTTCTTTTCCCACACATGATGACTATAATTTCCTTGGCTGTTTAGAAGTCAACCATTATCATTACATTTTGCACATATCTTTTCTATTTTTTTCTTTTGCTCCCGAATTTGTTTATTTTTCAATAAAAAACAAACATGGATTTAGAGCATTTGATATTCAGATAACATCATCTTTTAATTATAGTCCTTGGTGATCATTAAATCTAACACCTTTTATGGGATTTCTTGCATTGGCATGACTTCCAATTTTTAATTAATGGACCTTTAAAAATAGCTCCAAATAAAACCGTAATTTCAATTTACAAAAAAGCTTGGGTTGGGCGACAACATTATGTTTTCCTTCCATGTGGAAAGGAACCAATCTGATTTTATAGTTATCTGTCATCTTGGACTTTAATTATAACTCTCCCGTACAACCTGACATTTAGTCATGCATGCTGGGCTGCCCTCTCTTCAGGCTCCCCCGTTTTCTTTCCCTTTTTTCCTGATCCTCCCCAACTTGAATGGAAGAATAAAGGTTGGGAGGATCCACCAGTCACTTGTTAGGGGAGGCTGTGTATGATGGGGTGAAAACAGGCACCTATTCAGATCCTGCTTCTCATTTTCCCTGGCTGTTTTCATAGCTGGAAGTGTCTGGCAAGTCAGAATCAGCCCAACGGGTGTAACTCATTTGGAATCTCTAAGCTCAAGTGCTGCGAAACTCGCCTTTGACAGCAGAGACCCACCAACCTGGGAATGTAGAACCATCACCTTGCATACGGGATGCTTAATACAAAGCTGTGGCTGAAAAGAATCCAGGAACTTTATAGGAATGAACAGAAATAGATACAAATGTTAGGGAATTAAACGACACTAAATGTTAGGGTATAGTTTTTATTCAACATCTTATAAGTATTTTGAGACTTTAACAGTTCTGGTGGCATTTACTCTTCTTTACTTTCTTTCTTTCTTTTTTTTTTTTTTAATTTTTATTTTTTGAGATGAAGTCTCGCTCTGCTGCCACGCTGGAGTGCAGTGGTGCAATCTCAGCTCACTGCAACCTCTGACTCCCTGGTTCAGGTGATTCTCCTGCCTCAGCCTCCCAAGTAGCTGGGACTACAGGCATGCGCCACCATGCCCAGATAATTTTTGTATTTTTAGTAGAGACAGAGTTTTACCATGTTGGCCAGGTTGGTCTCGATCTCCTGACCTTATGATCTGCCCACCTTGGCCTCCCAAAGTGCTTGGATTACAGGCATGAGCCACCACGCCTGGCCTTCTTTACTGTATTTCATTTTAAGGGATTATTTAAAACACACATTGCAAAGAATGATTATGGCCTCTAAAGAGCTATGCTTAATATTTCAGAAGTTGTCGGGTGTGGTGGCTCATGCCTGTAATCCCAGCACTTTGGGAAGCCATGGTGGGAGCATCGCTTGAGCCAAGGAGGTTGAGGCTGCAGTGAGCGGTGCACTCCAGCGTCAGTGGCAGAGTGAGACTGTCTCAAAATAAAAACGTATTTCAGAAGCTACTATCAGTGAAGGATACTGCTGGTCCATCTATGAGTATGTCTCTCCTCCCAGGCATGCACAATCAGGAGATACAGGAAGAACACATAAAGCAAATATTTCTTTCTTTTATATATTGTGTAAAGTTTTATTAAAGTGGCAATGTTACTAAATATCTTAAATAGCTCTCTCAGCCTGTTAGTAGGAATCAAAATATATAGAGAATAAGATGTAAAGGAAAACACTTGGATCCCAAATAAGCACCTTCCTCTACAAACCCAGCTGTTGCCAGTTCAACTTACTGAGCCTCCTATGTGCCAGATAAAGCACTAAAGGGACACCACGACAAATAAAACAATAATTCCGGTTTTTGAGAAGCACTTTGGGATTGACAGAGACAGCCAAAGCAGACAGATGTTCTAGCAAAGTAGTGGGAAAGATTTCTCACACCTGGTAGGTGCTGAAATGCTGGGCTCTCTGGCCAATCTTCTGGTTTCAGACTTGCCTCTGAAAAGCTCCTTCCTTCTTCATGCTAAGGCTGAGTCAGCATTGCCTTGGTTCTGAGTGATCAGCAGTTCCATTTATGAAAGAGCTGCTGGTGAATCCTAGGGTGAGGGGATCCTAGGCTCCTTTTCCTTATACCCTCTTATTTCCTGATATTTCCCATCAGGGCAAAAAATGGGGAAGAAATGTTAAAATAAGCTGGACCACATTCCCCTGCTCTGAAAACTTTTGCTTCCAATTGTAGGAACAATTTCCTTTCAACCAGGAGTAAAGCCTTCTTAGCAACTAAGTTATGATTTAATTAACTTTTCCTTTACACTTTTACAACCTGCTTCAGCCAGGTCTTTTTTTTTTTTTTTCTGGCTATTGCAAAACACTGTTTGAAACTAAAAAGATTTTACAGGTATTTGTGTGGTGGGCTGTTCCCTTAGGCTTTTCCATTTGTTTCTCCTAGGGGTCTGTCTGCCTGGCTCAGCACCTACCCTGCCAGGAGGTGTCGGGCATGTGACCTACTGATGTCCTGCCAGCCTTGGTCCTCAGCTGCGTGGCTGTATGAGCACTGAAGGGTGTTTGGGGCCATTCCCTTTCTTCTTTCCTTTGTTCAATTAGGGAGCCATGAGCAGGGGTTATGTTTGGACTTGATTTTCCTAGTAATTTTCCAAGTAACTTTCAGAGTGCCTTGACCTCTCTTCCCTTGATTGTCAAATGAGACAGGTGAGAAAAAGAAAAAGTCAGTGAGACAATGCATTCCAAAGAAGGGAGTGTGGCCTCCTGGTTAAGAATCCAGGTCAGTCCAGGCACGGTAGCTCACGCCTGTAATCCCAGCGCTTTGGAAGGTCGAGGTGAGCAAATCAGTTGAGGTCAGGAGTTTGAGGCCAGCCTGGCCAACATGGTGAAACCCCATCTCTACTAAAAATACAAAAATTAGCAGGGCATGGTAGTGGGTGCCTCTAATCCCAGCTACTCGGGAGCCTGAGGCGGGAGAATGGCTTGAATCTGGGGGTGGAGATTGCAGTGAGCTGAGACTGCACCATTGCACTCCAGGCTGGGCAACAAAGTGAGACTCCATCTTAAAAAAAAAAAAAAAAAAAGGAAAAAAAATCCAAGTTAGAACTCAGAATTCAGACTCTGTCCGTGCAGTAGTTATAGACCCTTGAGTGTGATAGCTAATCCCATGAAGCCTCATCTCCCTTAGCTTTAAAATTGGGATAATATGGAAAATAGTATGGAGATTTCTCAAGGAACTAAACATAGAACTACCATTCAACCGAGCAGTACTATTACTGGGAATCTATCCAAAGAAAAAGAAATCATTATTGTATTAGTCCATTTCACACTATGGATAAAGACATACCAAGACTGGGAGGTGAGATTTTGTTGGACTTACAGTTCCACATGGCTGGGGAGGCCTCAGAATCATGGTGGGAGGCGAAAGGCACTTCTTACATGGGGGTGGCAAGAGAAAATGAGAAGGATGCAAAAGCGGAAACCCCTGATAAAGCCATCAGATCTCGTGAGACTTATTCCCTACAACAAGAACAATATGGGGGGGATCTGCTCCTGTGATTCAAATTATCTCCCACCAGATCCCTCCCACAACAGGTGAGAATTATGGGAGTACAATTCAAGATGAGATCTGGATGGAGACACAGAGCCAAACCATCTCATTCTGCCCCTGGCCCCTCTAAATCTCATGTCCTCACATTTCAAAACCAGTCATGCCTTCCCAACAGTCCCCCAAAGTCTTAACTCATTTCAGCATTAACCCAAAAGTCCACAGTCCAAAGTCTCATCTGAGACAAGGCAAAAAATCACAAGCAAGCTGGTTAATTCCTAGATAAAATGGGGGCACAGGTATTGGATAAATACAGCCTTTCCAAAGGGGAGAAACTGGCCAAAACAAAAGGGTTACAGGGCCTATGCAAGTCTGAAATCCAGCGGGGCGGTCAAATTTTAAAACTCCAAAATGATCTCCTTTGACTCCAGGTCTCACATCCAGGTCACACTGATGCAAGAGGTGGGTTTCCATGGCCTTGGGCAACTCCATCCCTGTGGCTTTGTAGGTATAGCCCCCCCGCCCCCCAGCTGCTTTCATGGGCTGGCATTGAGTGTCTGCAGCTTTTCCAGATGCACAGTGCAAGCTGTCAGTGGTCTACCATTCTGGGGTCTGGAGGATGGTGGCCTTCTTCTCGCGGCTCCACTAGGCAGTGCCCCACTAGGGACTCTGTGTGGGGGCTCCAACCCCACATTTCCCCTCTGCACTGCCTTAGCAGAGATTCTCCATGTAGGCCCTGCCCCTGCAGCAAACTTCTGCCTGGGTATCCAGGTGCTTCTGTACATCTTCTGAAATCTAGGCAGAGGTTCCCAAACCTCAACTCTTGACTTCTGTGCACTCACAGACTCAACACCATGTCGAAGCTGCCAAGGCTTGGGGCTTCCATCCTCTGAAGCCACAGCCCGAGCTGTACCTTGGCTCCTTTTAGTCGTGGCTGGAGAGGCTGGGACTCAGGACACCAAGTCCCTAGGCTGCACACAGCAAGGGGACCCTGGGCCCAGCCCACAAAACCACTTTCTCCTCAATAGGCCTCTGGGCCTGTGCTGGGAGGGCCTGCTGTGAAGACCTCTGACATGCCCTGGAGACACTTTCCCCATTGTCCTGGGGATTAATATTGGGCTTCTTGTGCAAATTTCTGCAGCTGGCTTGAATTTCTCCTCAGAAAATGGGTTTTTCTTTTCTATCACATTGTCAGGCTGCAAATTTTCTGAACTTTTATGCTCTGCTTCCCTTTTAAAATTGAAGGTCTTTAACCGCACCCAAATCACCTCTCGAATGCTTTGCTGCTTAGAAATTTCTTTTGTCAGATACCCTAAATCATCTCTATCAAGTTCAAAGTTCCACAAATCTCTAGGGCAGGGGCAAAATGCCTCCAGTCTCTTTCCTAAAACATAACAAGAGTCACCTTTGCTCCAGTTCCCAACAAGTTCCTCATCTCCATCTGAGACCACATCAGCCGGGATTTCATTGTCCGTATCATTATCAGTGTTTTTGTCAAAGCCATTCAACAAGTCTCTAGGAAGTTCCAAACTTTCCCACATTTTCCTGTCTTTTTCTGAGCCCTCCAAACTGTTCCAACATATGCCTGTCACCAATTCCAAGGTCGCTTCCACATTTTGGGGTATCTTTTCAACAGCGTCCCACTCTACTGGTACCAATTTACTGTATTAGTCTGTTTTCACACTGCTGATAAAGACATACCCGAGACTGGGAAAAAAAAGAGGTTTAATTGGACTTACAGTTCCACATGACTGGGAGGCCTCAGAATCATGGTGGGAGGTGAAAGGCACTTCTTACAGGGCGGCAGCAAGAGAAAATGAGAAAGATGCAAAAGTGGAAACCCCTGATAAAAACATCAGATCTCGTGAGACTTATTCACTACCACAAGAATAATATGGGGGAAACCAACCCCATGATTCAAATAATCTCCCATGAGGTCCTTTCCATAACATGTGGGAATTATGGGAGTGCAATTCAAGATGAGATTTGGGTGGGGACACAGAGCCAAACCATATCAATTATATAAAATAGACACCTGTACCCTCATATTCATCGCAGCACTATTCACAATAGCAGTCATGGAATCAACCTAAGTATCCATCAGCGGTGAACTGCATAAAGAAAATATGGTACATATACACCATGGAATACTCTGCAGTCATAAAAATAATGAAATCATGTCCTTTGCAGCAACATGGATGGAGCTGGAGGCCATTATCCTGAGTGAAATAATTCAGAAAGAGAAACTCAAATACTACGTGTTCTCACTTATAAGTGGGAGCTAAACAATGGATTTACATGGACATAAGGATGAAAATAATAGACACTGGGGACCCCAAAAGGAGGAAATGTGGTGAGGAGCAAGGGTTGAAAAATTACCTGTTTGGTACAGCGTTCACTATTTGGGTGATGGGTACACTAGAAGCCCAAACTTCACCATTATGCGATATATCCCTGTAACAAACCTGTAGATGTATCCCCTGAATCTAAAATTTGAAAAATAAAGGTAATAATATTTCATTCTTTATAGAGTCATTATGAAGCTCAAATAAAAGCTTTTAATACCAAACCTACCACACAGTAAGTACTCAGCAAATATTGGCAATTATTTGGGGTGTGCGTGTGTGTGTGTGTGTGTGTGTGTGTGTGTGTGTGTGAAATAGGAAGCTTGACTAGGATCAGGTGATTTCTGTATTAAATGCTGTCGAGCACTGACAGGTAATATAACCTTTTACAAGCCAAACCATTGGGCTCAAGTACCCAAATTCAGAGCTTCTTCCCCTCAACAGATTTTTTTTCTTTTATTGATCAACATATTGTTATTATAAAAGCCCATTTTGACTTTTCCTTACCAGTTGTTCCAATAACAGCTACAGGGTCTCTTTCTGTTTTGAACAAGTCCCCATATCTCCTAGTGCTCCTGATCTCAGTGACCATCTGACAGGGATTTACTCTGATCACAGATGGCTTCATAGGCAAGTGACCCACATCGCTTTATGAAGTCCTGCTCTCAAAAGGGCCTTGCATTTGGCTTAATGCCCTGTTGTTGACACCTTATCTTGAAATTCTTTTTGTATGTTTGGAGGTGTGGGGGAGACGGGGTCTCCATCTGTCACCCAGGCTAGAGTGCAGTGGTACAATCATAGCTTACTGCAGCCTTAATCTCCCAGGCCCAAGTGATCCTCCCACTTCAGCCTCCTAAGTAGCTGGGACTATAGGTGCATGCCACCATACCCAGGTAATTTTAAAAAGTTTTTTTTTTATAGAGATGGGGTCTCAGTATGTTACCGAGGTTGGTCTTGAACTCCTGAGCGCAAGCAATTCTCCTGCTTCTGCTTCCCAAAGTGTTATGATTATGGGTGTAAGCCACCGCACCTGGCCCTTGAAGTGTTTAATAATTTTTAAACAAGGGGCTCTGTGTTTTCATCTTGCTCTGGGACCTGCAACTGATGTTGCTGCTCCTGTATCAGACTTTGGTTTCTGATGCGGTATACTCTTGTTCTCTGAGCCTCCTTAAATCCCACTCCTGGAGTAGGTGTTTGCTTTCCAATCAAGTTAGAAAATTGTTGTGTGATCTCTTTTCTGAATCCTGTGGGAGAATCGCTTTACTATTTTATTCCTATGGGAAAGGCCTAGTGTCCATTTCATTAACCCAACTCTACACACTCTTCACCTCAATCATCTTTGCTGTCTGATATCAAAACCCATTGATGAGACAGATGGTGCAACCTAGTTGTGGGTGATTTGATTAATGTTGTTGTTCATGGTCACATGGGCTGCAGGCACTTAGTGTGCTTTCAGACACTTGGGATCAATTGCCCTGTAGTTAAAACATCAGCCTTGAGACAGTTGTCTGGGAGCCCCAGAAATCATAGCCCTGTCACCTTTGTTGACCTGCCTATGGTGATATGGTTGCCAAACCCTCTCAGGAACTCAAACATCCCTCTACCAGCTCCTACGCACCATCAGAATGCCCTTTGCCAGTTTTTTTTTGTTGGTTTTTTTTTTTTTTTGAGACGGAGTCTCACTCTGTTGCCCAGGCTGGAGTGCAATGGCATGATCTCTGCTCACTGCAAGCTCTGCCTCCTGGGTTCATGCCATTCTCCTGCCTCAGCCTCCCAAGTAGCTGGGACTACAGGTGCCCACCACCACACCTGGCTATTTTTTGTATTTTTAATAGAGATGGGGTTTCACTGTGTTAGCCAGGATGGCCTCGATCTCCTGACCTCATGATCCGCCTGCCTCGGCCCCCCAAAGTGCTGGGATTACAGGCGTGAGCCACCGCACCTGGCCCCTTTGCCAGTTTTATATCTGCCCTGCGTCGTTTTGGTTTCCCTTCTATTTCTCCTTGTAATGTCAGGCTATGCCCAGTGATTGACAATTATAATTATTCCTCAGAGAGCCTCATATTAACAACAGCCACTGATCTAAGTAAGATCATTCCAAACATCTTTATTTCCTATCCTCAAGTAGGACTTTAGCTCCTCCAAGCTTGAATTCTATACTTGCAAAGGAGAATTAAGACGAGGTTTCAAAATAATAGGTAAACTTCCTCTCTGTATCAGCCCGAAAGCAGAGCCCCCTCTCCTCAGTAGATTTTTTTTTCTCTTCTTGATCAACATATTATTATTTTAAAAAATCCATTTTGACTTTCCCTTGCCAGAAAAGGCTCTCCAGCCTCCCTGCTGCACAGCAGGAAACTCTTTCAGACTTGCTCAGATTGGTGGGTGGAGGAGACCACAATTATACCCCCTTTCAATGACATGTCTGGGGTTGCAGTGACTCCAGACAAAGAAGCTGAAATGTATGAAAGTTTCCGTGTCTTCAAGACAGAACCTAAAAATACCTGCCTAAGATGCAGGTTGGGAGCTATTTCCAACAACAGGGCTCCAAGGTTTTCCCGCTGAGAGCTTGAGAGGCTCTGAATTCTTTTCAGCAGGCTGTCTAAGCTACCTGGTGATCAGGGGAGTGATGGACAAAGACCAACACGAAGGTTTAGAAGGCTCCCCTAGAAGCACCTTGGCCCCCTGTTTTCACCCTGCTGTGATTGGCGACAGATTTCCTCACGTCTACTCTATGCTATTGTAAATAGCTAAGGACACAGCCCATGCAGAGGGCTGGGTCTTTAGGGATCAGTGTTGATGCCATTGGTCCTATTTCAAAGAGACTTCTCTGTCATAGGGAGAATAAAGAAGAGAGAAATGTGAGTGTGTAGTAAGGGATCTTGGAGATTCTTCAAGTCACTCTTTCACCTGATGCTTGAATTATCTCTAAGGTGGTTCCTCACCCAATCGTCATACAGCCTTTGTTTTCATACTTCCTTTGATGGAGAGCTTACTACCGATGGAGGCATCACATTATTCTATCTTTGGCCACTCCCCTTTAAAACACTCTTCCTTGTTCTTGAGTCAAAATTGACCTGTCTCTAACATGTAATTAGGGGCATGGATAATTCATCTCACTCCTATTCTACAGTTTAATATGTAGGGACTTGGAAACTTTGCTCACATGTTCCACAAATCTTGTCTGCTGTAGGCCAGTGTCTGTTTCCTTCAAGCTTTCTTTCTGTTACCTTGAGTCTAACCTCATGAGGTCTAACTCTTCTGGAAAATCCACCCAAGACCTTCTCAACTGTGGCACAAAGGTCATACCTTCTGATATGGGCATGTGAGAGGATATTCTGGGAACATTTTAACAGTGCAAATGAGGATGAGGTTTTGCCATGAGACTCAGGGATGAACCCTGTCAACCTGAATTCTTTGAGGCATCCAGAGGTCAGCTGGGCTAACTGAATCTGGTGTTGAAATGCTGAATCTGAAATCCATATCTGGACTGTGCTCAGGAGTGTCTCTTAGCATTTTGTGATGTGCAAGGTCAGCTCCTGGTTCCAGGAAAACTCTTTGTGTGACGGTGGTAGTGCTCTTCTTCCAGAAGGGTGAGGGAGAGTCTCCTGATTGGCTGAGCAACTTGAGAGAACAGAAACATTTGTTAAAGGGAGAGCGGAGAGAATCATAGTTGTGGAGGGCTCTTTCTTTCTTTCTCTCTTTCTTTTTTTCTTTCTTTGTGTCATCATATTATTATCTGTCTGTCTGTCTTTCTTTTCCTTCCTTCCTCCCTCTCTCTCTTTCTTTATTTGTCTGCCTGCCTTTCTTTTCCTTCCTTCCATCCTTCCTTTCTCTTTCTTTCTTTCTTTTCTTTTTCCCATTTTTTCTTTGTTTCTTTTCTTTCTTTCTTTCTTGACAGAGTCTCCAAGGCTGAAGAGGCTCAATCTTGACTCACTGCAGCCTCAACCTCCCTAGGCTCAGTTGATCCTCCCACCTCAGCCTTCTGAGTAGCTGGGACTACAGGCATGCGCCACCATGCCCAGCTAATTATTGTATTTTTTGTAGAGACAGGATTTTGCCATGTTGCCCAGGCTGGTCTCTATCTCTTGGGCTCAAGTGATTTTCCCACCTAGGTGTCTCAAAGTGTTGGGATTACAGGCATGAGCCTCTGTGCCCAGCCTGCCTGCTGCTTGATTGCCTGCTTGCTTGCTTTCTTTTTTCTTTCTTTCTTTCTTTCTTTTTCTTTCTTTCTTTCTCTTTCTTTCTTTCTTTCTTTCTTTCTTTCTTTCTTTCTTTTCTTCCTTTCCTTCCTTCCTTCCTTCTTTCTTTCCCTCCCTCCCTCTCCTTCCTTCCTTCCTTCCTTTCCTTCTTTCCTTCCTTCCTTCCTTCCTTCCTTTCTTTCTTTCTTTCTTTCTTTCTTTCTTTCTTTCTTTCTTTCTTTCTTTCTTTCTTTCTCTTTTTTCTTTCCTTCTTTCTTTCTTTCTGACAGAGTCTCACTCTACCACCCAGGCTGGAGTACAGTGGTGTGATCTTGGCTCACTGCAGCCTCTGCCTCCCAGGTTCAACAATTCTCCTGCCTCAGCCTCCCGAGTAGCTGGGATTACAGGGGTGCACCACCATGCCTGGCTAATTTTTGTATTTTTAGTAGAGATGGGGTTTCATCATATTGGCCAGGCTGGTCTCGAACTCCTGACCTCAGGTGATACACCAGCCTCAGCCTCCCAAAGTGCTGACATTACGGGCATGAGCCACTGCGTCCAGGGCCTTCATTATTTCTTGAAAAGGATATAAAATACCTGCATGAGCCACATTGTAAAGAAGGGGAAATAATTGCACCAAAAACCTGGACTAAAGAAAACCATGTAGTTTTGCATAAGAATAATTTCCTTTTTTATTTTTTTGTGAACTTTTCTTTTTAAAAAATACTTTTTAATTCAAAAGTTTTCAAATCCACAGTAAGGTTGAAAACGTAATATAATAAATGACCATATATCTTCATCTAGATTCACCAGTTGTTACCATCTTACTATAAACTACATCTCTTCTATACATACACACACTCTCTCTCTTTCTGTCTCCAAAAATAATTAGTAGGCATCATGATATGTCCCTCCCATTAAATACTTTATCTGGCATCACCCAAGGAGAAGGACATTCTCCTCCTCAACCAGAACACCATTATCAAAGCTAAGAAAATCATTAATTCAATAATGTCATCAACATACATTCCTTATTCAAGTTTCAACATTTTCAAAAGAAAGTTGTTTGGGTTTTTTTTTAATCCTGGTTTAATCAAATTCCTTGCATTTCATTGATTGTTACGTGTTTTTGTTTCTCCCAATCCAGACAAATCCCACCACTTCCCTTTGGTTTTCAGCACATTGTGTCCTTTGAAAAGCCCTTGCCAGGGTTTTGCAGAACAAGCCACATTCTGGATTTGTCTGGCCATTTTCTCCCAGTTAGATTCAGGTTAAACATTTCTTTTGCAAGAACACAGTTCCCTCCCACAGCATCACACCAGGAATGTTATTGGTTTCCTTTTTTTAAGAACCTCTTAATGCCTGCTCTTCCCTGTCCCACCAGCACAACAGCAGCAATGACCACGACACCCACAACACAGCACCCATTTAGAAGATGAGAGAAGATGGTTCTTTGTGGGCAATCCCAATAGAATTGAGAAGATTTTGAAAAGGTGGTAAATAAGGTGACTCTAAATGGGTTGTAAAAAGCATGCATTTACCGACAGAGTAGCTCCAAATTATCTGATCTGATTTTTAGTTACACTTAAGGGTAAAAAAAGAATGGACTTGGGTATTTTACATGTAACATCAGATGTCTTGTAAAAATCTAATGTCTTAGAGATTTTGAGTAAAACTGAAATGTCCTTATGATTAATGAACTGTCCATATGACTGTGGCAACTGGTTGCCATCAGCTCCTCAGTCTTCCTCAACATCTCCCCAGCTGTTCTGGAGACTCTTAGGGCAGGTGGTGTCTACCAGGTGATTTAGAATGACTCTACTCATGGGCTTTCACTCTGAACCTCTTGTCAAACCTTGGCCACAGCTGCCCCTACAAGGACCCCACTGCCCGAGCTTCCTGCCCTCAGTCGTGCACTCTGCAATCTGTTCTCTGAATCAACCCAGTCAATGATGGACCTTTCAAAGTCTCTCAGGAGTATAGTTCTTTTTTTTTTTGAGATAGAGTCTCACTTTGTTGCCCAGGCTGGAGTGCAGTGGCACAATCTCGGCTCACTGCAACCTCTGCTTCCCGGGTTCAAGTAATTCCCCTCCCTCAGCCTCCCAAATAGCTGGGACTACAGGCGCCTGCCACCACGTCCAGCTAATTTTTGTATTTTTAGTAGAGACAAGGCTTTACCATATTGTTCAGGCTGGTCTCGAACTCCTGATTTAAGGTGATCCACCCACCTCGGCCTCCTGAAGTGCTGGGATTATAGGCATGAGCCACCGCACCTGGTCAGGAATATAGTTCTTGTTTTTAACCATCCTGCTCAAAATTAGGGTTCAAAATCAGCTCTTAACCCTCAGGGCTCAAAATCAGCTCTTTGGGGCATATAAGTATGGGAGGAGGGTGAGGCTGGTGTTATAAATTCAGAAGTCTTGCTGTCTTTCTCCACTTTCATTGTGTTCCCGTTTTCATTAATTCCTGTACCCAGAGTTTCTCTTTCCTCCAATAGCACATTATCTTCTCCCCATTAAAGCCTCTCATAGACATCACAAACAGTAGCTACTTGGAGGGCAGGGTCTTACTCACCTGTGGCCTAAGCTCACCTTCAATACAACCAACACAATCTAATCAAGACCAGTATTCTGTTATGTGTGTTTTATTAGAAACCATTTCTTCAGGATATATATATCCATTTCTCTATAGATATAGACATAGTTATTACATAGGTGTAAATTAAAAGATATATTTAAAATACAAATACATGTTTTAGAATTTTATGGCCAAATATATTTGGGCATCATTGTGTTAAACACAATTGAATACATTTTTCTGTTGTTGCAGATGCTTTAACAGAATAGTGTGCATTGTGATTCTCCAAGAAAGGGTTATTGTTGCAGCATTTCTCTACTTACTGGAACAAGAACCCTTATTTCTTGGAGGAGCTTATAGAACTACTGTCACTCCAAACCTGCTTGGGAGCATGACTTGCTTTAGGAGTTGTACTTATAGAGGATTTCTTTAACGAGGTCAAGCTGGGACTAGGTATGTTTTAGTGTCTTGTGCCAACTGGCTGATTTTGGAAGCTAAAAGAAGAATTAGCAGGAGGGTGAATTGTCTTTTATTTAGAGTTTAAAAACAGCTCCAGGGCATGTTTACCCAATAGGTTCTGCCCTACTAGTCATTAGGAAAGAAAACTTCTTGTACTTTGTGTGTTTTTATTTTGTGATCTTTCCCTAAAGAGCCAAGAGAGATCTCTGTCATTCTATCAAAGATATGATAAAGTCTCTCTCGATTTCACCCCTTGGTTCACCATTCCTTATGGGCATCATCTATGTGAGAGACACTAAGCCCAGTTCTACGGAGGTTATGAAGGGAACAAGTCTTGTTTTCTTCTCGCAATGTTGTAATTGAAGTATAAATAGAAGCATAATTTGGGAATTACTACTTGTCCTTTCTCATCAATCACCACTCTTTAAGCGTGCCACTGGGATAATTCTAAAAGTGCTAAGTCCTTCCTCTCAATTCCTTCCCTGACAATATCTGAAAGGGTTTTAGGAAGTATAGTAATATTTGAGTTGTATGCAAATTTCCTCTGCAGGAAAACATGGAGACGGTGGCTGGGGTATCGGTTGCACACAGTCTAAACATTCCCTGCAGTCTTAATTAACCACATTTGCTTTCCTCTTGCTTCAGGCTGAGTCAGCCCAACCACCACTGAAGCCAGTTACCAGCCTGTGTGATCACGTGATGTGTGACTACATCTTGGCCTGTGATAAACGATCGTGTCTCTTGACCCACAGGAGTTTGTAACATTCTTTTAGTGTATACCGAGTCATTACTATTGCACTGAACCAAAGTAAATGAATGTCTACTGCCATTGTCATAGAAAAAGAGGAAAGAAGGAAGGAAGGAAGGAAGGAAGGAAGGAAGGAAGGAAGGTAGGATCATCTGCTCTATATAAACTCCCCTGATCCTCCCAGGCGCAACTGAAGGATTTGTGCTTTCACAAAGCTTTGCGTAGACCTGCGCCTGGTTGTGCATTCTTTTCAGTCAGTCACTGTGGTAAGGTAGTAATTGCATGCCTGGGTTTAAATAATGATTCAACCCTTATCAATTGGCCATGTGAATCCAGGCAAACTATTTAAACTTTGTAAACTTCTCTTGCTAAGCCCTTAACTTTGTACTGGCCTAGCCCTAACTACTCTACACATATTAACTCATTGTTTCCTTTTGACAATGTTATAGGATGGTACTTCATTAACCCCAATTTACAACCAAGGCCAAGTAACGTCTCCAGGGTTGATGGGTGCATTTCCTTGTGAGGGTGAAATGAGATAGATAATCAGTGTAAAACCCTTCTTAGCACAGTGCTTGGTCCATAGTTAGCACATCAAATTATAATTTTCATTCATTAGTTTTTAAGATAAAGTTTACATAATATTATAATGTGTTAGGCATTATTCTAAATGTTTTAGACATATCATCTCATTCAACTCTATGAAGTAGGTATAGTTTTCATGTCCATTTCATAGATGAGGAAAGTGAGGCACAGACAGGTAAGAGATCTGCCCAAGGTCACACAGCTGTTTAGTGGTGGAGACTAAATTGCATCTCAGAAAGCCTGGCTCAGAGATCGCACTCTTAGTCTTTATAATAAACGATCACTAATATTGTTGTTTGTTTAAGTGTCTGTAGGCACCCATTTGCCCATGACTTTGGACAGGGACTGTTTCACAGTTTGTAATTTCTGTAAGCCTATAGCCCCACCCAATCCCTGCCACCTCCCACTACCTTCACACACAGAACTGGGAGGTTCTGGGTGAATTTGTTGTCGAATACATACACATGCTAATAGTAACATATGATTTGATGAAGAAATTATTAGAAAACTCGTAGAGGTGGTAAATGTGAAATTTGTGCTTGAAATGAGAAAGCAAGTTAAGGAGGTACTGCTAAGCACAATTTCAGTGAAATGCATGCAGGAATTCCTGGGCAAGAAAATCACCGACTCCTGCTGAATCTTGGATAGAATGTTTTCTCCAGTGCATAGGAGAAACTGAGTAAGTTTAGTTCCTTTATTACATGACCTGCTCATGTGTATCTACACTGACAACAAACACTTGAGCTCTTACCATTAGCCAGATGCTAAGTTAAACCCCTTACTTGCTTTCATAGATACTGTAAGTATCTAATTTAATCCTTTTGACAGTCAGAGGAAGGAGGTCCTAACAGTATCCCTATTTTACAGATAAGTAAACTGAGTCATGGGGCCAATAGACTGAAGGTCACTTACTAGTTAGGTTTTTTTTTTTTTTTTTTTTTTGAGACAGAGTTTTGCTCTGTCACCCAGGCTGGAGTGCAGTGGCATGATCTCAGCTCACTGTAACATCTTTCTCCCAGGTTCAAGTGATTCTCCTGCCTCAGCCTCCTGAGTAGCTGGGACTGCAGGTGCATGCCACCACACCCGGCTAATTTTTTACATTTTTGGTAGAGATGGGGTTTCGCCATGTTGGCCAGGCTGGTCTTGTCTTGAACTCCTGACGTCAAGTGATCCGCCTGCCTCAGCCTCCCAAAGTGCTGGGGTGACAGGCGTTGAGCCACGGTGCCCGGCCAATTAGGATTTGAATCTACATCTTCAGTAGTAGAGCTCCTCTTACTGTTAAAATGGGAGCAATTCCAGGGGTCAGTGAAGTGAGGGACAAATTTGTGATAGTTTTGGTGAGTCCTAGAGTCTTGCTGGGTGTGCATCTCTTCTTGTCAATGTTTCTCAGTTGTTGACGTCCAGCCCTCTGGTCTATGGAGTGCAGCCAAGAAAAGGAACTCAGGGTAGAGAGAGAGCCCTAATGGCAAGGTACTGTTTGCTTCTGAAAGCTGTTACTAAATACAATAGCTATTGAATGCACAGAACATCTTTGGTGTAAATACTGACTGAGACTGAGAAAGATGTCTAAATTTACAGTACCCAAATCAGTTGTATGGCTTTACTCTAAAATCCTCCATATTATAATTTTTCTTAGTTTCTCCTTGGATTTTAATGCTCAGAAATCTACCATCATGTTGAGATAGTGGTACAGACCATGCCATAAAAATTGTCTTTGATGCCAACGGCAGACAAATATGACTGTTTTTATTGGAGGGGGAGGGAAAATTGGCATCAGTTAGGAAGTCACTGTGTGTTCACTATCAATGACTTCAGTTCCCTCTGGTTGGCTGCTTCACAAATCCCCAAGCTCCATGAAACAACATAAAAAACAATAAAAGGAAAAAAAAGCAAGCACAGGGTGATAAAAAGGCATCCAGAAAGATTTTCATAAATGCAACAGTACTTTAACAAAAAAAGCAATTTCATGTCTACTCCAGGTAGACACATAAAATCTTATGAACAAGTACAAAGTCTCATTCATGCGGCTTTCTTGAAGATTCTTTTAAAAATTTTAAAGGAAAGGAGTTGGATTGGAGGAAAGGGGGAGAAAATGACTTTTGGGGCCATATGAGTTTGGAAATCAGGGAAAAGATTCTTTACATCTTCCCTCTTTAAAGTGTTGTGAGTCTTGAAGCTCCCAACATTAGTGGTGTCTAGACGGAGGTTGCCTTGTCACGGGGCTCATTAGTATTCATCATTAATTCATATTTTCAAAGCAACAAAGGAGAAAACAGTAGTAGGAAGAATAAGAAAATGTCAAATCCTGGGAGTAACATTTCAGTGCAGTGTTGCAACTACGGTTAGCGGAGGTTGTGCTGTTTAAAAAGTCAATCCAAACACAGGGAACAGAAGCAAGCACACTCTCTCTTTCCCACTTAATGCCAAATGCATTCTCCTAGGTCCCAGCCTGTCTCTTCCTATCGGGAAGCTTCCTTGCATCCCAACCTCACCAACCAAGTCTCTGAGTCCCCGTTGAGAAGCCTCATTTGGTAGTCATGACTGCATACATTTATGAAGTGTACGTTTGTGCCAGGTGCAGTGCTTAGGGATTTACGAGGATTATCTCATTTCACTTCACAACAACCCTATGAGGTCATGGCCACATTATCCCTTATTTTACAGGCAAGGTAACTGAAGACAAAAAGGGGACGTGCCTGGCCTGGGGTCACCCAGCTGGTAAATGTCATGGCTGAGACTCAAACCCAGGTAATCTGGCTCTAGAGGCTGTGTGCATTAGTGGGGGACATCTACCCTAAAGAGGACATTGCTCCTCCGGCCCCAGAGACTTCCCTTCTGAAGGCTCATTCACACCCACCCTCTTCTCCTGCTTGACATGAGCTGGTTTGGATTTTTGGTTATCAGAGTGTAGATTGAAAAAAGACCATATATTTAGCATCATGTTTCATGGAGCCTCCTATCCACACCATGGAGGTGGAAAATAACTTAGCCCAGTGAGGTTTTTCCTCCTACAAATATGATAATTCTCTACTTTCCTTGATGAGTGGCTATATGTAAGCTTAATATTAATATATAAGAAGCTGTATTTTCAACTACCTTTTTATAAAGTATACATATTAGTAGGACATATGTGTTCTCTATTTTTTTTTTGTCAATTCTTATACTAGTATATATTTCCACTACTCCTAACACCATTACTCGTAACAGTTTTTCTTTACTTTTCCCATTCTCTTATTCTTCATTTTAGCAAGTGCCAAAAAACTTTCCTTGGGTGCTTATAACATGTTACGCTCCAGGCTAAGAACTGAGAGTACAAGGATAAAAAGGGTAAGATCCATGTATTCAGTGGGGGTTTCCCAGACATGGGAATTGAAAGTTATCATAGAAAATAATAGCTAACATGTATTGACACTATTTGCCATTCTGACATGTACTGCATATGTGTCTGTTCTTAATCTTTGGTTAGTTACTACTATGTCCATTTTACAGATGAAAAAACCAAGGAATAGAGAGGCTAAATCACTTGCCTGCAGACTCGTAGCTAGCAAGAAGGCAGCTAGTATTGTAGACTGAGGAATCTTGCTACAGGGTCTGGGCTCCTAACCGGTCTGCTTCAAAAGTAAATTACACAGACTGGGTATGGTGGCTTACATCTGTAATCCCAGCACTTTTGGAGGCCAAGGTGGGAAGATCACTTGAGGTCAGGAATTCAAGACCAGCCTGGCCAACATGGTGAAACCCCATTTCTACTAAAAATACAGAAATTAGCTGGGTGTGGTGGTGCACACCTGTAACCCCAGCTACTCAGGAGGCTGAGGCATGAGAGTCGCTTGAACCCAGGAGACAGAAGTGGGAGCGAGCTGAGATCTCACCACTGCACTTCAGCCTGGGGGACAGAGTGATTTCCTGTATCCAAAAAAAAAAAAAAAAGTAAACTACACAATTATATTTAGCGAAGAGATCACTGGACTCTGCCTGCATGGCCCAGGCACAGATGGAGGTTGATATGTGAACTGGGGCTTGAGGGATAAAGGATAAGTAGAAGTTAACCAGGAAGGCTGGATGCGGTGGCTCATGCCTGTAATTCCAGCACTTTGGGAGGCCAAGGCAGGCAGATCACCTAAGGTCAGGAGTTTGAGACCAGCCTGGCCAACCAACGTGGTGAAACCTCATCTCTACTAAAACTACAAAATTAGCCCGGTGTGGTGGTGTGCACCTGTAGTCCGTGCTACTCGGGAGGCTGAGGGGGAAGAATTGCTTGAATCCAGGAGACAGAGGTTGCAGTAAGCCAAGATTGTGCCACTGTACTCCAGCCTGGGTGGCAGAGCAAGACTCCTTCACAAAAAAAAAAAAAAGAGTTAACCAGGCAGAGAAAATAGCATATTGCCTGGCAGGGAATACAGTCCCTGCAAGGGCACAGGGGTCTGAGAAAACAATGTAGGTAAATAATTTACAGAGGTTGAATATAGAATGAGGAGAGTGTGGAGGCGTAAGACTGCATGAGGTAAGGATAGACAAAGCATGTTGTCATTTACATAGAAAAGTGACTGGACTATTTTGTGGGTAAAGGGAGTTATAGAAGGCCCTATGCAGGAATGTGCACTCACTCAATTCTGATTAGAACATAATCTCCATGGTTCAAAATGCAAATGAAATCAGGGATGTCAATCCTTTCAGGAAATCTTTTCTGGTATTAGTTTTTATTCTTTGAGTATATTTTTTCTTTACTTATTTTGGGAAATGTCTGAGTCTATAAGAAGTAGAGTATAGTTGAGAAATACAAATCTGCTTTAGGTTGTCAGTCTAAACAACATTTTGTACTGTCCAAGCCTGTAGGAATTAGTGCAGATGGAATAAGAGATGAGGTTAGTTGTGACCTGAGTACAGAAAACAGCCTGGAAGGTTATAGGTCCCAATAATCCCTTGAAATGTGCTTTTAAAGAAAATAATGTGTATCTCTTTCTCTTACAGATAAAGTGTAGCCAAAAGACAAACAAACCTGCTTAACTGAAGATGATCAGTTAGGATACAGGTAATTGAGGCCACACTGGACATACTGGTGGTGAAACAATTTATCCTGTTGTTTTAAGGTCCTTGATTTGATCTCCATGTGGATCTGTTAGTTTCAGCTAAGACTTTTCATCTGTTGAGCCAACTCTGATTGATTTGTAGTATGTGTTTTGAGAAGTCTTCTGAGGCTTTGCCTAGGGTCAATGAGGAAGACTGCTGTAATCCACTAGTGATGTCTGCAGAGGTCATAGGCAGGGTTAGTGGTAGCACATTTGCTAAGTGATTTGTATCCCTGGTCAAAAAGAACTCTGATGCAAGGTTATAGATATTTGGTGTCCTATTTTAACAGTGACCTCAAAATTTGGAGTTGGTAGAGGGGGAAAAGTAATGATGCTGCATGGATGGTTCCCTAACACTGCCTCAGTACAGGGAACCAAACCAATGTCCATGTTCAACCCACGGTAGCACAATATGTCCACACTCATAGACAACCATGCACTGTATAATGATATTTTGGTCAATGATGGACCAAATATATGGTGGTGGTCCCATAAGATTATAATTCTGTATTTTTACTGTACCTTTTCTACGTTTAGATGTGTTTAGAGTGACAAATACTATTGTGTTACAACTTCCTACAGTATTCAGCACAGTAACATGCTGTACAGGTTTGCAGCCTAGGAGCAATAGGCTATAATATATAGCTTAGGTGTGTAATAGGCTATAACATTTAGGTTTGTGTAAGTGCACTCTACAACGTTTGCAGATGAGAGAGCCTAACAGCACATTTCTCAGAACGTATTCCCACCCCCCGTAGTTAAGCAATGCATGATTGTAATTGTACAACAGATACTAGTATTGTGAGTTAACAGCCCCCGCATGTATAAATACAGAGGGACATGGTTAAAACAATTCTGTTCAGTTAGCACAATTTGCTGAACTAGACTTTAAAACAAAATCTAATTTTAAACAGTACTCCAGTTTTCAGGATATAGCCTATTTGTTCTATGTAGCTTAAGAGGCTTACAATGTGTTTGCATCTGAAACAGGTGAAATTACTATGGGAAATTTCCTTATGGCTGTTACATAACCAGGGTCCTACTGTCAAAAGGCTGCATGGATGGCCTCTGAGTAGCAGAGCTGAAATAAAACATTTTATAATTAGTGCATGATTCTAACAAAGGTAGACGTTAAGAATATGCTTGCGTGTTAAGGGGAAAATGATTTTTTTTTCTAGTTTATTTTGTAATTCCTAGGTTCACTCTAAGCTTTAGGTCTAAGCGAATGAAGGACAAATTCTTAAAACATAACATTTGCCTGTATTATTGCTGATTTTATCACCAGACTATAAGCTTTTCTTCTGAGAGATTTTGATTTATACACCCACCTGAATGGCATGTAATATGATTACTACCACATCACATACAATTTTCTTGCAATTTCATATTAGGGTGGTGACAAGAAAATCAAACCTACAAACAAATGGAAAACGCTTTGCCTTCTGAGAAGTTTCAGGCAGGAGCAGAGGAGAGATTTAGTGGGAAAACGAACCTAGCAAAACACATTTTAAAATAGAATGATAGGCAAGTTTATCAATTCAATTTACTTTGAGTCTAATTTTTTTGTGTTGGCAAAAATCCTGCCCAAGGCAATGTAAGAAAGAAGAGAGGGGGAGAGAGAGAGTAAGAGAGAGGGAAAGAAAGAGAAGGGAGGAAGGAAAGGCGGAAGAGAGAAAAAGAAAAAAGAGGGAGGAAGGAAGGAAGAAAGGAAGGAAAGAAGGAAGAGAGGATGGAAGGAAGGGAGGGAGGGAAGTCCAAATGGGAAATATCAGATTGAATGTAATAAAGCTGTCAATATTTGACAGATTTTGACCTACAAAAAGACATCTTCATATGTTTCAGCCTAACAGTACTTAGTGACTTCCAAGCAGTTGGATTTAGGACATTTGCACGGACCCATCTGTGTTAACTGGCTCGGAGTCCAAGCCATGTGCAGACCGGTCTTTCCCTAATTGCATAAAGATTTTTGTATTGAGCACCTTTGAAAATAGCTCTGGCTTCCCAAGGGGCATCTTTTCTTGGTGCCTGTGACCTCTAAAGAGAAACACAAATCACAGGCAGAGAAGTAGCTGTTTAAACATCCTTTGATTTCCCCTCGTCATTTAGTAAATGCATTTAAATTAAGCTGCAGATGTTTTGCTGTCAACACAACGCTGTATTATGGTGTGTTATTTTCCTGATAGAAACATTTTATATACTGTAAATAAACACAGTTTTGTTAATTAGTTAATGAATTATTTTTTAATGCTCCATTACGCTTTAGGGAAAAAATAGCTCAAGCTATTGAAAGTTCTCATTTTTAATAAACAGACCTTGTGGTAAATATAGAATGCCTAATATCTGGCGAAATGGTAGCACTTGCAGGAATAACTATGGCACCAGCTCTCAGTTTTAAGTTATTATGTGCTGCTTAGAGTATTTTAGGCTTGGATTAAGGTTTGTTAGAAATGCCCAGGATTTACCATAAAATCTTGAAGGGAGGGAGACACTAGGGGTGTGCTTATTTATTTTATATTTTATTTTTCTTGCAACAGGGAGGTGTTTTAAACAAATGGCAGACAAACTGAGAAATCTGCACTTCAAGTCCAACTCATCCTGAGAAATGCCAGAATTTTAGCAACAAAACAAACCCGCAAGTCTTCTTCGTTCTTGAGAGTCATGCCGTTTTCCTCCAAACAAGGACGAAAGGCTCTTTGCTTGTGGAGTGTCTCAGTCTAGCAGTAGATTGGAAAAATGTCCAAGCAGGGGACTCGAGTTCTCTCCCGGATGAGTTCATTTCAATAGTCACTGTGTTTCATCGGATGCAGCTGGTTACATTTTTAATAGGCAGATGGCTAATTTTACAGTTCCAAGCCAATCTCTCATTGGACAACATCCAGAAAGCCCGTGGTAGGGTGATGCCCAGCAGAAAGTTCAACAGGACACTTGGGGGGAACATATGCTAATGTCAGCCCTTTTACTTAAATGTCTTTAAAAAGAATATTCAGTGCTAAGCTGAGGGATTTTCACAGACTCAAGCCTAACACCAGATGGGTGGCCAGCTATGAAGTCCTTAGGGCCTGAGCAAATGCTCTTAATCTGGCTTGGATGGTCGGAGAATCAAATAGCACCAAACCAGTAATCTCTGAGTGATTTTTAAAAATGACAAAGGTGTATGCACTTGCAGAAATGACCAGGCTAACTAGAGAAGCGAGTTTCTCTTAATAGAAGTCCATGGCGTTACTAAAGCCCTGTGGTCCTATGATTACCTCGGCATCCCGACCTCCGTTTTGGGTGCCCCTCCCCATCTGACCTTTATGGAGTTACAGGAATGAATGTCCGTTTACCTCCCCCCAGGTGACAGCCCCTCGCCTCCAGGGTCAGAGAGGGCGGAATGTCTGTTGCAGTTAAGCATCCTTATTTTTAAACTGTTTGGAAATCTCTCTCTCCAAGGAGATGGCTATTTAGACATCTTAATTAAAAGGGAATTTGGAAATATCTCCCGTTTTGCAGCGCATGTAATCAAGCATTTCTTTTTCTCTGCAGAAGGACTTTGGTTGCCTCTTCACAAAAGGCTTTGAAATGTCCTAAAACAATCCCCCGCAGCTCGGGGTGGGGGTAGGGACGAGAGAGAGAGAGAGAGAGAGAGAGAGAGAGAGAGAGAGAGAGAGAGAGAGAAAACCAAAGCAAAAAACAACAAACATTTTCTGGGAGGTGATAAAAGTCTTGGATGCAAAGTATCCTTATTTTATCCCATGTGATGAATTGCCATAGGGTGGCTGGAAAACTCTTTAAGAACCCCAAGGGCAAATGCCGTTGTTTAAATGAGGCAAATGTTGTTTACCTCTAAGCAAAATAAAAGCTAAGGATCAGAAGAAAGAGGGGATCAAAAGATCTTTCTCCAAACAGATTTATAAAAGAGAGTGATTTTTAAATGATTTCAACTCCTACTTTATAAAAATATTTTATGAGGCACTTTTCTGAAAATAACATGCTTCTGAAGAGTTTTCCTCCCCAAATCGCTTCCTGAAAATGGTGGCATTACTTTCATGCAGTACAATTGCCTACACAAGACCTTATTTAAAACAATGCAAAAGAAATTTGACAAAGCTAGTAACTCTGCACAAGGAAACTGGGCATTTTTTTTTTTTTTTTTTTTTTTTTGCCGGGAAAATAACCTTCAAACCTCAAACTAAATCTGTAACTGCTTCTATCAAATTTTTCTTTCAAGAACCTGGAAAGCGGTTCATTTTGTTTTATCGAGCAGATTGTGAAAAGAGTTTTCTTGCAGAGTTTTTGTTTTATAATCAAAATAATTCGAGGGAAGTGACACGACTTTTCTTTTGAGATTTTTTTTTTTTTCTGGACAAAATCTAATAGAGGGAGAGAGAGAAAAAAATCTAACCAAAGCCAAGACTTGCAGACAAAAGTTACACACAATCAGAAAACCCTCAAAGATAGGTATAAATTATTCTGTCACTAAATTAAAGTATTGGTAGAAGAAAAGTCTTAAAAATGTAAAATGAGTACTAGCCAAATACCTTCACAGTTAATGGAATTATGGAAACTTCTCTCTGGTGTGAATACCCCCAAACACATTTTAGATTTATTTTTAAAGTGTAGTTTAAAGAAACTTTATACCATTTAAAAAAAAAAATAACTTTGAAAGGAAAAGAGCCAAAAGAAAAGCAGAAATTAGGGCAGTTTTTAAACTACAAGCCAACTGTTTGCTCTACTTTGCTTTATTTATTAGTTCTCAAGGTATTTAAAACTTGAGCATTAAAACTGCAGAATAATTTGCAAATGAATGCAGTTGCAGTTGTGAAAATATAACTCACAGCTGAATGTGGGTTATTCAGACAAATGGCTGCTTTGTTCGAGGAGGGGAAGTAAAGTTCTGTGTTAATTTATTACAAACTGCAGCATTTCATCCCTGATGTCCAGGCAACAATGTTTTTTATTTCAAGTAATTTATAAGCACTTCCCAGAGCACTTAGCGGTGATGTCCTTGGCTGTTTTGCTCCCAGAGACGGAGTGTATATGTATTTACTGTGGGAATTTGTTTTTAATAAAACTGTTGTAAGGCATTTTTATTCCTTTGCTTTGTTACATTAAAAACATTCACTGCATAAGTAATGTATTTTATTCCAAGTTGAAAGGCAACAGATCACAGCCGGCAACTGTATTGGGGGGTAGAGAATAATGACGAGAAAAGTAATGTTTAAAGTGAACCAGACCCTTTTCTGAGTTGCTCTAGGTGTCTCTTTGCCTCTGCATTTAAGGGAAGCAGCAATTAGATGACCAAGGGCCCAGGAAAAGTATCTAGGAGGTCCCAGGATGCAGGCAATCGGAGAATGGAGAATCAAATAGAGAAGGGCAGACTAAGGTGCAGCGAATGTGTGTTTGTGTGCTCCCGTGCATGTGTGCATAAACATGCACACGTGTGTGTGATCAATGTTACCAATTCTGATAAGTTTTCATGATTCCCCTGTATCTCCCAGAGTCAGTTCACGACCCTAGATAATCCAAAATTGGCCTTTATTTCAATGTTTAAGGAAAACAGATGCCTTTGTAAGTACACATAGACAATTTTAAAAATCAGATTCTGTGTGGTAGGAAGAAATTGTGGCAAGTTTTCAACTTCAAAGAGAGAATTGTGGAGTGATCTAAAAGTTTCAAGGGTCCTGTCCCAAGGGTAGCTGTTCTGCTGATGCCAAGAGTCTTTCTGGGGATCCCAGCATTTCAGTGGCCTTTAACCATTTTTCTTTATCAAGGGGGATGAGTTGGTTAAAGTCATAGCTCATTTGTCAACCTATTTTATTGATCTATCGTCTATCTATCTATCTATCTAATCTCTCAAGCAGCTTTATCATCCTTAAAACTTAGGGAGAAGATAATTTGTGCTGGTCCTAACAGCTGATGCTATAGGAAGTTGATAGATAATTTCCATATGGATGTGTTTGCAAAAACAGAAATGTACTATCTTTTACCAGCAAAATGTACCAGCAAAAACAGAAATGTACTATCTTTAACACGCATCACACAGTGCTTTACACGTGAACACAGTTGATGCAATCTTGTGCTCCAATGGCAAAGATTGTAACAGGCCTTGCAGCCTACTGAAGTATTAGGAGTTATATAAAATAGAGCCTCATAATTATCTAGACACATTTGAGAAGTTCCTTATAATTTGAAAATTGCTTTGACTTTTAAAAAGAAATTTGATGAGCAATTACTCTATAATAATAGATTTTTAAACTTATTATTAAAAAAAATAACGAGAGAACTGTTTGAACACATTACCTTTAAGAGAATGTAGCTTTTTGTTGTTGTTCCTCTGGCCACTAACTTTTCCAGAAGTGAGAAGTAAATTAAAATACAGATTGCTGTGTTAATTAACCATAAAAATAATATTTATTATTTGTAAAAGGGCCATGAAAATAAGCACTGGCCTGTGAGCCAGGGAATCGAAAGAAATTAGGAAGCAGATCTAATAAGAATCAGACCTTTGTGTTTAACAGAGTATTTCTCTTCTCATCCAGTAACAATCCCTAATGGAGAAGAATTGATAAATACTTTCTCCTGTTTCTTTATTTAAAAATCAACTTTTTTTTTTTTTTTAAGACCAGCTCTATGAAGCTTTCCTGACTGTATTCATCTTTTCTGACTCCTAGGCTGGGGAGCATATGTGTGCATATATGTAAACTTTCAGGGCTGGGAAGGCCTTTAAGGATCACAAGGCAGTCCTTCCTCTAGGCCTTGATTGTCTCATGTGAAAGTGGGTAGGTTACCTTGGGAAGAAGGAGGAATGGGCATTGGGAATTCTCGCAGAACATGAGTGTGGAATAGAGCTGGGCTGGGCTCAGGAGATAGATCCAGGCTAGATGGAGATCTGCACATCCTGAGGTTCTTGCAGGGCCCATCCCACAGCCTTGCCTCTGGAGCTTCTAATAGCTTGGGTCCCTTGGATAAAATGGGAGTCATGTGTTTTTCCCTTAGTGAAGAAATCAACTTAAGAACTGGTAATATGAAAATAATGTGCACAGTTTTTTTAAAAAAATGAGAGAGAGAAGCCGGGCACAGTGGCTTATGCCTATAATCCCAGTCCTTTGGGAGGCTGAGGTGAGAGAATTGCTTGAGCCCAGGAGTTTGAGACTAGCCTGGGCAACACAGTGAGACTCCATCTCTATTAAAAAAATAAAATAAACATTTTTTTTAAATGAGAGAGAAAGAAAACAGAAAAAGATAACACATCTACTCGAGAATTGGCAGCGACAGTTGAGCATATTCAGCTGACGTTGGAAACAATTATCTATCAATCAAATGATCCTCAATTTAAAATTTGTCCAAACAAATATTTACCGTGTATGATGAATCTTAGTGCTTCTGGAAGGAATCTGTTCATTCAGTTTCTAAATGAACAAATTTCAAATATTACTTGTCACTGCTGAGATAATTTTTTAACCCCCTTTTAAGCATGTCTTTAATAAGCTATGATGGTTAATTCATATACCATAGAATCTTTGAGCAGAAAACAGCCTTAGTCCCTACAAATCGAAGCCCAGAGTAACTAAGAGACCAATATACTGCTTCTCAGTTGAGCAGTCATTTCACAGCACAACTCTGCCTACTAAATACTAGTTAGCAAGGAAAAGAGAAACTCATGAAGTTAAAGGGGCTTTCCTTCAGAGCATGGAAACCCTGACTCTCTCAACCATGTGTTCTAATGCAGATCCTCTGCAGTAGGGGTAGAGTCCTCTGTGTACAAGTGGCAAGCTCTGCAGGTTGACCACCTCGGCTCCCAGCCTCCGATCTGCCCCCTACCAGCTGGGTGACATTGGGCTGATGACTTTACCGTCTTTGTGCTTCAGTTTTCTTATTTGCAAAATTGGGATGATAATAATAATAACATCTACCTTATAGGGATGTTATAAGACTTAAATATGTTATAAGGTATTTTCTGTGTCAACAAAGCTTGGCGTATTGGACATGCCTTAGTGTTACGAAACACTATTATTTCAAGGCAGAATCTAGGTTAACACGTGTCATTTAATTGAGTAACACCCATATGGAAACTTGACTTGGAATTTTGCTCAGTAATAGGACACTTTGCTGCCCCCTTTTCTCTTTTCTAAAGTGTTTTCTTCACCAACCATGGTGGCCAAGCTCTTTTTTTTTTTTTTTCATTCTATGTCTCCCTAGGACTTTTGTTTTCTCACTTTGTATCTTCCTCTTCCTGAACAGGTCTCTGTAACTTTGAGTTATCTCTAGACATCCTCATTCCAGCCCTATCTGACTCATTTGCATATGTCATTAGCATGTATTTTGTGTGTCCCTCTCTTAACAAATCTTAGAAAGGGGATAATGGTGCTACAGAAGTCACTAAGGCAGAACTGGGAGGTATTAAAAGGGGTACAGGAAGGTATTTAGTCTTTTCCAAGTCACTCTGGAGGAAACAGACTTTCAAGTTTCAGAGCACAGAAGCAGACCCTGTTAGCTTCTTGACAAGTTCAGGGTACTCAATGTTGCCCAAAGGGTCAGAAGAAAAATGTTCCTTAGGTGGCTGATCCTTCTGCCTCGATCAAACTCTGGAGTGGCAGTTGCTGTGATGAGGGGTAAATGTGGACCAGGAGCAGATACTCGGGCACCTGAATCACCAAGTTTGTTCTTTTTGGGCCTCTCCTCTTAGTTTCTCTGGGTCTTATTACAGTTTTTCTCTTCTCCACCATTAGGGACACCTGTCAAATACATTTACATGCTGGTGCAAAGAGCTGATCCAGTGTGATTTGGTGTCTCTCTGAAGGATTTGGGTTTCAACAAGGTGCAATGATTGCCTCTAGATTACAGGACCAGGGTCAAGAACTGGCAGAGTATATGACATGTTTGACCCTTACATGTCTTTGGTTCAGTCCATATTGTAACACCAAAAGACAAACTGATACTAACCATTGGTACAGTTCCCATGAATGTCTGGATGTCTGGTCTCCCTTGAAGAATCCAGGCCTGCCTTTCTTCGTTTTTCCTTTCCCTGCATCCATATGAAACACTGAGCTGGAATTTTGCTCAGTAGTAGGACACTTTCCTGCTCACTTTCTGCCCAGGCCTTGGTTTGCAGACCCTCTTGGTTATCACATTTTCATTTTCAAATGTCTGCCATCTAAGCCCAAAGGCACAGAGGCCCGCCACTATCCTAGATACTGGGGATCTCCATAAAGAGGCTGGCTGGCCCAAAGCGACCCACTAAGATATGATGTTAATATGTTTGGACTTTTTACTTTCTATTTTTGGTGTTTATTATAAAATGTGTATTGCATATTTAATGCACATAATGTTTATGTAAACACATCTATATTGGCATGCATGTTCACACACTTCTGATGGACGATGTGCATGATCTAACATGGAGACCCTTGCTGCTACACTACCGTGTACTTTGGAGCAGTTGTTAAAAGGTGAATGCATGCAAACACAGGTTAATTCATGAATAACAAATGAGCCAGATGGAGCTGTACCAAGGATGCCAAGAGATACATAGCTCAAAGAAGCAGAGCCAAGCACCAGGAGAGAGAGAGAAGAGAAGAGAAGAGAGGAGAGGAGAGGAGAGGAGAGGAGAGGAGAGGAGAGGAGAGGAGAGGAGAAGAGAAGAGAAGATAAGGGAAGAGAAGAGGAGTCCAAGTAATCGTAAATATGATCCTTAAAAAATCCAGATTCTTTATAACCAATTCTCTTAGCCATGGAAGTAGCACCACATGGGTAATATTGAACTCCCATTTTATAACACACATAGAATTCTTGATCAATCAATGTGAAAGTGGAGAAAGCTTAAAGAACATCTATTCCTATAGGACATTTTATGCAGTGGGAAAATCAGTCTTTGAGAGCTTAAGCAATTTATCCAGGGTCATCAGTGAGCCTTCTTTGATGATAAACATGTTTATTTTAAGTTTCTGGGAAGTGACCAGTTATTGCTGCATCTAGAAAAAGACGGTGCAGTTCTTAAAGACCACCAATAAAAAAAAAATATGAAAAAGTTTTCCAGGCCGGCTGGCTCATGCTTGTCATCCTCAGCATTTTGGGAGGCCAAGGAGGACAGATGGCTTGAGCCCAGGAGTTCAAGACCAGCCTAGGCAACATAGTGAAATCCTGTCTTTATAAAAAATATAAAAATTAGTTGGGCTCGGTGGCACATGCCTGTAGTCCCAGCTACCCAGGAGGCTATGGTGGGAAGATCACCTTTGCCTAGGAGGTCGAGGCTGAAGTGAACCATGATCACACCCTCTGAACTCCAGCCTGGGTGACACAGCAAGACCCTGCTTCAAAAAATAAAGTAAATAAATAAATAAATAAATAAATAAAGTTTTATTTTTCTGTTCATAATCCTGGAATGTACCGCTTATTAGGAACCCATTCTCAGTATTTCTACAAAAATTAAATCATGTTCCTTGCTCATGTGCCTGATGAGTCCAGGTCATCACCCATCTGGTTGGTTGTTTTCAGGAAAGAAATGTTGAGCAGCACAAAATTCTAGGAAGGGCACAGTGGATAAGGACAAGGCTTTAAGGTCAAATGAACCTGGGGTCAACTTCTAGGTCTGCTTGTTACTCAGGGTGTGACCTCAGTTAAGTCGGTTTTTCCATCTATAAGATAGAGATAATGATACTGCTTATCTCATCAGGCTTTCAGGAAGATTAAATGAGTTGCTATAGGTAAAATGTACAGTAGAGGGTCTAGCACATTGAAAGGCTCAATAACTCGTAGATATTTTGAGATGCAAATTAGCTTCATGATGTCAACTCTCTGTTGAATCACTTCTTGGGAATTAATGGCAGGGAAAGCTTCCCCAGTATGTCTTCTGCAGTTTCTGATGAGCTAAGGTTGCCCTTCTTCATTGACAAGAGCAACATACTCAAGGCACTCTGTCTTTTACAAATGAGTAAAATCACAGTTTGACAAGTTGAGGTCCAGGAAAAGAGTCCGGTCTCCTGGAAGAAAGACTAATGACCAGAGATTAACTGAGCAGGGCTACTGCTCATAAATGAGCCTAACCACAGCATAGGTCTATAGACCTTGAATTATCCATACATTCATTAATAAAGAAGTTTTGCTTTCTTTCAGAAAGAGAAATTGGGTGTTCTATGGGATATAGTATGCTCTCAGTTCCGGCCAGAGCAGCTAGCCTTTGGTTTACAAGAACCTTTTAGGCAGCAAATAACTGATTTGAGTTTTGGTGTAAAAAAGCTTCTTGTTGGGAGGCTGGGGCAGGAGAATCGCTTGAAACCAGGAGGCGGAAGTTGAAAAAAAAAAAGGGCTTCTTGCCTTTTTTAAATTTCCATCTCCTGTCTTTTCCCCAATTCCTCTTCCCTCTGTCCCCAGGAAGTGTGTTAGGACAGGTGAAGGCCTCCGAATATGGTCCTGAACCCACATAAAAGGATGGGCCAGAGCACTGCCTCTGAGACACCACCTCACCTTCTGCTGTTGCAGCTCCTACTTCCTCTGTGGCTTCACCCTTGGGTGCCACCCCTGTAGAGGGACAGACTGGGAGCACCCTCCCCCAATCACCTCCCCCTCATCTTTGAACAAAGCTGCCACCCCCATGCTCCAACTCAGGTCCCAGGGCTCCAAAGCAGCTCCCTCCTTTTCATGAGGAGCCACCCCTGCTGTTTGGCTGGCTCTTGTGCCTGGTTTATTCCATACTTGCTCTTGGGCAAGGGTATGAGCTCAAAGGCTGGTGGTGAAGGAGGTCTGGTGGGAAGGGCATGTTATCTCCCAGGTCAAACACCCCTGGAGGGAAAGAGGGTTTGGTACTGGGCTACTGACTGTGGTGGGCACCCCACTTGAAAAGCCAATGCTGGGCCAGGGAGATCCTGAACCTGGTGCCACCACGTGCTTTCCCCGATGCTGGGGCTTCTTTCCTGATGCCATTCCGGGTTGGGCGCCCGGCTTCTTTTCCTCAACGTGGCTTCTCTTATCAGTCTGGAATAAAAACTTCTAAAACCCCATTAACTAGTAATCACTCAGGGCCAGTGAGGGCGCCTCCACCACCCCAGGAATATCCAATTAGCAAATCATGATCCGGCCCTCCAGTGAAAGAAGTCAGACCCATTATCTGTGATGTCCCCAATTAGAGTGTTTATTCATGAAAGACTGAACTGAGCTGGCCAGGCCTCGCGGCTCCTTCCTTCCCAAAGACTCGCCAGATTAAGCATCACTTCCCACCCCCACCCCTGCCCCCCAGGCCTCCCCCACAGTCTGCCCAAATCACGAGGAATTCGGCTAGCAGCAGGATGGAAGAGTCAAATTTTTCAGGTTTGGTCATGCCTGACTTGAGTTCCATGTTTTGTGTGCCTTTTGTGGGGGTGAGAAAATAAATGAGTTGCGCCCTGAGTGTGGCTGTGATTTAGTTAGTATTTATCAATCGCATTTTAGCAGTAAGTCTGGCATTTATCAGACACTGACAATGCCCCAGGTGCCGGGGTCTCACTCCTTTCCCTTCCTGCTTTCTCTTCTCACTTGCAATTGGTTACGTTTTAACTTCATAAAAACGTGGAACAAAAATTCACCTGCTTTTAGGGCTAAAATGATCCTTAGTGGTTTGGTGGTTTAGCAACACCTTCCCTTCCTTTTACAAATGATGAAACATAATATTATTAGGTTTGGTTGTTTTATAAACTTCTCCATTTGTATATATCCAGTAATATTTTAATATGGCCATGAAAAAAAATGCTCATCTAATACAGATATCATGAAATAAAAAAATCAAGCAACATAGTTTTTGCTAGGAAGATGATTTTAGTAAAGTCTCCTCATTCTGGAAAAACTGATCAAGGAAAAGAAATATTCCGATGCATTCAAAAGAACAGCAAATTACTTTCTGCTTGCTGATGAGATAATATCTCAGGCCCCAAAGCATTCTGAGCAGGACATTTTAGTATTCGCCATAGTGTGCATTTCATTCCAATATCAGGCCTCTGAAGCCAAATCCTTTTCCCACTAGAAGGGAAATTATATTCCTCACTATCTTTCCTGCTCAGGCAAGTTGCTTGGGGGAATTAGGGAGCCTTGCTCTCGACCAAAACTTGTGTCAGGCTGCTGCGAAAACACAATCTGTCTGTTTATATTTCTAGAGCCAAACACGGTGTTTTCTATAATTCTGATTAGCATCTACTTGGCCCCTTCCTTGAAGTATTCTCCGTGGAAATGTTCCAGATACAAATCTGTACGCTCCTACAGTCAGTGGTATGCTAGAGCCAGCCTGTACGAGCTGTACGAGCTTAAGAGAGCTGATGGATCAAAATTACAGGAAATTTGCAAACTGATTTTTAAACATAACAATTATTAAAATTTATATAAACTTACCATTACATGAACGATGTGAAAAACAAAGGCAATGATACTCAAAACTTATCTCTTCTTGATTATTTTACTACTTTTTACTGGTTATACTGTATATGTTCTTGAAGTTTTTGTATCTATTGGGCCTATGTAGAGGAAATACTATAGAATGGTGTGGTGCTGTAACTGAGAATCTCTTCCCCACTAGCAATGTCTCATTGGTAACTTGAAAGCAGCCGTGGAGGGATTATTTACATCATGGAAATCAGAAACTCTGCAAGTCAGCACTCACCCCAACTATCCCCAGAGCCAGTTGTTAAACATTTACCAGCAGATTATTGGATGCAATACTGTCTCTTGAGTGGAGCCTGTAAACATCAGAAGAACCCCCAGTGTGGCCAGTGTGATGGTTCACTCTGTACCTTTCACTCACCTGGCAGTGTTGGGCAGGTACTGTACAAGTGAATTTTATATGCAGCTGAACCGTATCTATTTAGTATCAAGTTCTTTATTACTGTACTTCGATTATTTTTAGTGGACATTTTTTTCCAAATCATATCACATAATTTGCTGCCTTTCAAACAGAAATTTTGACAATATTTTAATACGTCTTGAGCTATGAGGTGTGTAAGTACCACCATGGCTTAGTGCTGTATTGTAATGATATCCTCACGTACATGAAGATATGTTTATTCACTATGCTAAATGACCTAGACAGCTATGAATTCTTAGTTGTTCTTTCCACTTTGATTGGTTTTTAAAACATTCTTCTGGGTTAGTGGAAAGATGTCAGCTGTCACTCATCCTTTTAATTACACAAATAATATATGAATCCACATTTATAGTGAACAACTTGAGCAATACATTGATTAAAAAGAGAAAGTCCTTCTGAAACTATTTTCTATTCTCTGCCCAGAAATAATCCCTATTACATTTTGATGTGTTTCCTTCGTGATCTTTACAAGCATAGATGTTATTATATATAATACATTTTTATATTATATATGCATGACTATAACATACATGGAAATAATAATCACATATTCTGTGGCAAGAGTTTTTTCACTTACATATTGAATTTTTTCCATGATAGTATATGTGTTGATTTCTGTCATTCTTTATAATAACTTCAGGATCTCAAAACCTTTAGTGAACCATTCACCTATTGAGGGGCACTTATGCGGTTTCCATTTTTTGTTTGTTGCAAACAAAGCAACATTTAATATCCTTGTTCATATATCTTTGGAAACATGTGTATGTATTTATGTAGGATAACTTTCAAGTAGAATTTGTGAGTCATAGCTCCTTTCATTTGTTCTTGTGACCTCAATAAAGTTTACTAATATTGCATCAATATAGTTTAATATTATACCTATGAGTAAAAAGGCTCTGAATAAAGCTCTGATATGAATAAGTAATTACTGTTAATAATAAGATACAAAGGTCGGACACGTGGTGGGAACCTGTAATCTCAAGTTCTCAGGAGGCTGAGGTGGGAGGATTACTTGAGGCCAGAAGTTTGAGACCAGCTTGGGCAGTATAGTGAGACCCTGTCTCTACCAAAAAAAAGAAAAAAAAAATTAGCCTGGTGTGGTGGCACACACCTGTTGTCCCAGCTACTTGAGAGGCTGAGGTGGAAGGATGGCTTGAGGCTGGGAATTTGAGGCTGTAGTGTACTATGATTGTGCCTGTGAATAGCCATTGCACTTCAGCCTGGGCAATATAGAGAGATCCTATCTCTAATAAATAAACACAAAAATTTTCGTGGATATTAGAGGCTGTTCACCAGCTCTCCTCTGGATAAGTGAGTTGGTGCAGAACATATTTGTTTGAAGGTGAGGAGGCAGATTTCCAGGATCTTACCCTTCTAGCATGCTCCAGCTGCCTTCCACCTGTCCTTCTCCACTTCTCCATGCCTGAGGGCTTTCTCCGATATCTCAGAAAGCCATTTTGCCTAGGAAGAGTAAGCCCAAAGTCCTGGGGTATTAACAGCCCCTTGAAGCAGGTCTCAAACAATGGCTGAAGTTGGTGTATAAACACCCCAGCTCACTCACTGCGAAGGTGGCTCATTCTGAGGCCTGAGCTTTACACCATTCTTTGGAGTTTCCCCACAGGATTGAGCTCCAGTTGCTCACAATGTTAGCTAGTTCTATAAGAAGCTACCTGCTGGCCACCTTCCCTTCCCTGGATCATTTCCCTACTCCTCCACAGGGACCTTCTGCAGCTCCCAGATAAATTATCTGCACTTGAACCCTTGTCTTTGGGTTGCTTCTGGAGGAAACCAAACTAGAATGGCCTGTCTTCCCAGTATGGTGATTATGGCAGTCTCAGCCCCCAAAATGAGATGTTGCTAAGCAAACATAATGCTTTATCTCACTTGTTGCAAGAGACAAGTACTCTCTTTATGAACCAATCAAGTTACGTTTGGCTGCCCTTGTACAAAACTTTGGGACATGATTTGACCGGCAGGGTGTGCTGATTAGGATAATAATGTGTTGCATTTTAATAGACATTCTCTCATGGAAGAAAGACAAATAGCCTCACACTGTCTTTCTTCCCAATGCACTTGATAGAGAAAGCTCACGGTCCCTTGAGAGTACTGGGCCTACATTCAGAGCTGGGGGAACTTGGGTGAAACTGAATCAGCTTCTCAAAAGAATGGGAAGCCTTGAGGCTTTGTTGACCAGTAAGCCAAAATCCAGGCAGCATGGACTTCCTCATAAGTCAGTGTTCCCCTGCTTGAGTCTGAAGCCTGGCACAGAGACACATCACATCATCCCTGGGCCAAGGTCAAAATGCCCCAGAGCACTTTGCTTTTAAGAGATATTTAAGGGAAGGCTTGGAAGTTGTTTAAAACTTGTCAGAAAAGCTTGTACCTTCTCTGAGCTGACAGGGCCTTTGGTTAAAACTGTTCCTTTTTCCCTCCTGAGCTGGGGGCTTTGACCAGCTGCTAGTGACTATCAACTTCTCTATCATTTCACTTGGGATTCTTTTTCTCATCTACATCCATTTATTTTCCTTGCTTTAAACAGCACTTAGATGTTCCTGATGAATGGACCCTAAAATAATAATCACAATCATAGTAAATCTTTATTAAATGAGGTACCAGGCATTAAGTTTTGTGATTCACATGCATTAACTCATTGAGTCCTTGAAATAACACTCAGATAAGACAAATAAGATGATTATTATTTCCTTCCAGATGAGGAAACTGAGGCACAGTGAGGTTTAGTAAGAGGCCTAAGGCCGCAAAATTAGGAAGTGACAGAGCTGGAATTTCATCACGGGTGGTCTAAGTTCACAGCCCAAGCTGTTAACCCCTCTAGGTGCATAAACTGGGCGAATCAGACCATTCTTTCTTTATAGGCTTATTCAGCTCATTTAACTGTGTGACCTTGAACTAATCATTTATCTGGGCAGTGCAGAAAGTCTCTTAGCTTGAGTTTTTCCAACGCAGATGATGATACAGCCTCATGGGGGTTGTAAGGATTACAGGGGTTGTGTATGAACAGCCATAGCAGGTAGTAGAAGAGGCATCCTATAAGAGGTAGTGATTATGATTGTTATTGTATTATTTTCCATCTACACATATGCATTCTATCTTCTAGTCATACTGAAGAAATGTTTGCTCCTCTCTAAACACATGGGACTTGGTACCCAGTCTTGCAACTGCCTGAAATTTTCTTTCCCTCCTCTCTTTGATGATCTCCTTTAAGGCCCAGCATAAGTGTCACCCTCTCTGAGGGAACTCCGTAAATTTCTCTGGAGTCATATCTTCATCAGTGATTCCAGCTAGCAGTAGGTAGCTTGATGTTTAAGAGCATAAGGTCTGGAGATAGAGTGTTGAGCTTCAAGAGCCCCACCTCTTCATAGGTATGTGATGTGGAACAAGTCCCTTTATGTGGAAAATGAGAAAATTATAGCACCTGTCTCATAGGATCATCATGAGGCTTAAATGAGAGAAATTATGTAAAGAGCTTAGCATGGGGTTGGGAGCATAGTAAGTGTTCAATAAATCTTTATATTATGTTAGCACTATGAATGTACCTATTATATCATTGACTACTTGCTATTATTGTGCTTATTGATAAGTAGTCTTTATTCCCACCAGACAACAAACTCCTTCAAGATGGAAATAGTGTCTATTTCTTCTTTTGATTTTTGCACCTACTTTAACGCCTGGAATATAGTAGACCATTTGATGTTGCATGGGTAGATAGATGAGTGGGTGGGTGGATGGATAGTTAAATGGATGGTTGGAGATTGTTGCCTGGTTCAATGGATAGACCAAGGGGCTGGGTCATCTTTGCCAACTGGGATACACTGATTGTCACATCAGGAGAAGGAGGGCATTTAGGGTACAGAAATAAGCTCCCAAACTCTTTAGTTTGAGCCAGGGATGACAAAGGAGATAAACAAAGCAAAACAAACAAACAAAAAACAAGATGGCTGGTGGCTCCACACTGGATAAAAGGTTGACTTGAATTGTCCCAAGATACCTTTCACTTCCTAACATTTGCCCTCACCTTTCCCCACCTCCAATCGTAAAAATACCAAAGTCTCATTCAGAGACACACTTGTCCACACAGAGCGGCCCGATTTGCCATCTGAGCGTCAGAAACACCTCAGACAAATCTTTCCTCAGGCAAGGAAATAGACAAATCAGTGTTTGGGCTTAGGATTCTCTTCCTGATTCTTCTTAGGGAGGAGGCTTGAGGATCCTACAGTTTTACAAATAAGACTAAAGCTTGCTGTGGTGGGAGATCACTGGTTTGGGGTCCTGATGCTTGATTTATATCCTTGAGGACTCTACATGTTTTCTTAGTCATTAAACCCTGTTTACCAGACCAAGTCTAAAATCTTGGTGGAGTCTGGATCCCTGGTATTTAGATTCAATGAGATGAATGCCTCAGAAATCACTCAGGTGAGAATCATCTCATTACAGTCTCATATGCACGCTATGGCATTAATGACTCTCTCTTTGTCAGATGCTAAGTGCAAAAAAAAAAAAAAAAAAAAAGAACTAACCCAAAAACATTCCTCTGAATATGTTTTTTATCTTCAAAAAGACCATCTTTCCCACCAACCAAGGCTTTTACTTATCTTTTTCTAGAGTGATTGCAGAGAAAATCAACTGTAAGAACTTTGCCACTGAACAATTAACTAATCATGTATCCACTTCCAATTGGGCTTATTTACTGAGCTTCAGCACTTAGGTGGGACACTTGGAGAAAGTGGGAACAGACTTTGTGCTAAGCTCAAAATAGACCCTTGTTTAACCCTTGTAAGAAAAACAGAGAAGAAGAAGGAGGAGCAGGGGAAGGAAGCAGAGGAGGAGAAAAGAAGATAAAGGAGGAGGAAAGAAGATTCTTTTTCTCTAAGATCTCACACTTCAACCAGGTTGGCAAGCCTAATGCCTCAGTATGACCTAAGAATTGAAGGCAGTTAGTAAAGCGTTGTTGTGCCAGGTGACCCCAGAGGAGAGGTCTATGTAAGCATTGAAAAATGAGATGCCAGGATTGGACAAAGGGACTGGGAGAGGTTCTTTAGGAAGAAGAAATTTATCCTTTCTTAAACGTCTCTTTTAATGGTGAAGACATATAGAGGTCTGGCAACCTGTCCCAAGCCATTCAGCCACAGGGGGAGAGCAGTGACCAGGACACCAGGGCAGCTATGCTAAGTCCAGTGCATCTCCCACAAGGCAGCAGTGACTTGTGTCTTCCTCCCTCACTCTGTCCCTCCTTCTCTTCCTTCTGCCTTCCTCCTTTCTTTCTTTATCCCTTCCATTAGTTGTTCAAGAAATATTCTGATTAGCAGAGTTGTCAAGTCCTCTCTGTACAGACTAACACTGTTTAAGGCATGGAGGAGGTGTTGGTATGCTTGGTGGGTCAGAGCTTAGACTTTGGAGAGCTCTAGGCTTCAATTCAAATTGTTGTTCACAGGTACCAGCAATTAGCTATGTGTCCAGGCCTAGTTATTTAACTCCATTAATCTGAGGGATTCTCCTCCATACGGTGGGATAATTATAATACATACTTTGAAGGATTTTGTGAAGAACAAAATGAAGTAATTCATATAAAGCAAAAAAAGAGTCACTAATATTATTAGTTTTGCTATCAGAAAATACCCAACAAAACAAAACTGGCTCAACATATCTTTATCTTTTATATTTCGGAGAACATACTGGGATCATCCTGAGAAGCTTCAGTTATCACTGTTGGAAAGAAGTTCAGAGGGACTGGGAAATCAAAATTTCTGCCCTTAAAAAAAACACAATGGCACTGAAAATCAAGCTTTAACTTGCTACAAAATGCTGAGTAGAAGAGAATGAAAGAAAAGCAAAAGCAGAGAGGCTGAATCACATGCTCAGGTGCCTTAGCAAGGACAGAATGATGTCTAAGGCCTGGAAGAATCTGTGACTTCAAAGGTTCTGCAGTGCCCACGCTGCAGAAGTGGTGCTTTGAGAGAAGGCCTCTGTCTGGGACATGAGATGAGGCATCTCCAAATGAAGTTTTCAGGCCCAGCCCCCATCTCTCCTCATCTTTTGCTGGTGACAGAGATGCATCATGGACATCAGAAATCTTGATTCTCTAGGACTTCTTCTTCTTTTTTTTTTTTTTTTTTTTTTTTTTTTTGACAGAGTCTCACTCTGTCACCCAGGCTAGAGTGCAGTGGCACAATCTCAGCTCACCTCCGCCTCCTGGGTTCAAGCACTTCTCCTCAGCCTCCCGGGTAGCTGGGATTACAAGTGAATGCCACCACGGCTGGCTAACTGTTCTATTTTTTTTTTTTTTTAGTAGAGATGGGGCTTCACCATGTTGGTCAGGCTGGTCTTGAACTCCTGACCTCGTGATCCACCCCCTCGGCTTCCCATAGAGCTGGGATTACAGGCATGAGCCACCACACCCGGCCCTTAGGATTTCTTCTTAAATGTCTTTCTGTAAGGCCCAGAATCTTTCTCTGCTCTACAAAGTCATTCCACATTAATATCAAAATCGAAGAGAACCTTGCCACTCTAAGACCTCAGGATCCTTCTTTCTGTGCCCTGACAACCTCCAATCTTATTTTAAAACTAGGGGAGAATTTGGCACTTTGCTTTACAGTTTTGAACCTTCCTGCTCTTCTAATGGGCTCTTTCTTTTCCTCACACAGACAGGGCTGCTCTTGCCTTGCTCATGGGGAAAGACCAAATCGCTTTCTTTGTTTTCTCCCCCGGGGCAAACAGCATCCTGCCCCGTCCACCTGTTCTCTCCCTGTGGCCCCTAAGGTCTCGGAGTTTGGTGTCTTGTATACTTTGCCTTAGAGAACAAAAGACACACTTTGTTGAAATGTCATATGTCAGCCGCGTCCTTCGATTCTATTAAAACCCTTTCTTTCTTTCCTCTTTCTTTCTTTTTTTTCTTTTTGAAAACATTATGGGGGAAAAAGGAGAGAAAGAGATCGAGGAGAGCAGCCCACAAAAAAAAAAAAAAAAAAAAAAAAAAAAAACGCAGCAAACCCAAGCCCCACTTTGGGGAGTTGAAACATCTGCACTTTCTCAGCAGTTTGAAAGGAAACAAAAAATTGCCAAGTGGTATAAAATTTGAAGAAAAATTACCCAAAGGAGGAATGGACGTTAACCACGCTTCAATTCCCCACTATGGGTTGACATTTGAAGTACTTTCTTCTCTCCTCTTTCTTTCTGATTCACAGTGTGTCTAAAGAGGTGAATTGGGCACACAAAACCCAACCTCCTCTTGCCAGGGTGGGTATGAAATATGAAAGCTAGACGATTGTCTGGGCTCAGTGCATTGGAATAACATTGGTTAAATTATGGATAGTTTTTGAATAGTGTCACTTTTTTTTTCTCTGCAGATGGTTGTTCACACAAGGAGCCGGGTCTGCATAATTGTATCACTAATCAGCAGTAAGGCAATTAGTTGTGTAAGTGTGCTATAATCATTCTAACAGAAGAGATGACGAAAAGACAAAAAAAAGGAGGGGGGGGACCAAAATGTCTTTTCTGAATCCATCAACTGACAGCCATAATTAGATATATATAATTGAAAATTCCACAGTAGGGGGGCCAGCTTGTACAAATGAATTTTCTCTGCTGCCCTTACGCATTTTTGTCTGTGGCTGAGCATCCCCCTTAGGAAAAGGCAGAAAACTCGTCATTCCAAAAGAGTGCATACTGTACTGGGTATTCTTTCAGGCCAATGATGTCAGAATAACAATTTTTTTTTTTTTTTTTGGTGTGGGGGTAGGCATGGGCTGGGGGGGGACTTGGAGGTTAGTCTGCTGTGAAGACCAGGGCTTCGCGTAAGCTGATATGAAATGCCTTGCTGTGTCGTCGTTGCTGTTATTTTGAACCCATCCTTCAGTGGCCTCATGGCCTTCTTTTGGCTCATAAAAGGACATTCCAGGCAGGGCCAACTTATCCACCGGGCACAGGAGGCAGGGTGTCTTAGGGACTACCATACCTTAAGGGACCCACTAGAATGTTACAGTTTTAATTTCTTTTATTTTTATTATTATTATTTTTTGAGATGAAGTCTCACTCTTGTACCCCAGGCTGGAGTACAATGGTGCAATCTCTGCTCACTGCAACCTCCGCCTCCCGGCTTCAAGCAATTCTCCTGCCTCAGCCTCCCAAGTAGCTGGGATTACAGGTGCCTGCCAACATGCCCGGCTAATTTTTGTGTTTTTAGTAGAGACGGGGTTTCACCAGGTTGGCCAGGCTGGTCTCGAATTCCTGACCTCAGGTGATCTGCCCGCCTTGGCCTCCCAAAGTGCTGGGATTACAGGCATGAGCCACTGAGCCTAGCTTAATTTCTTTTAAAAGTCAAAATAAAATAACTATAATAAAAATAAATCTAGCCTGCATTATAGTCACCTTTATACCAATGCAGTTATAAAATATAATTTTTCATATATTTTTTACAGATGATAGGGCCCAGGAGAACAAAACTGCTATGGCACATTAAAGTTCTAATGGGGCCTCGATTCTGGGCTAAGGTGTAGTCCTCTATGGAAGTGAGAAAAAGTGGGGTTTGAGAGATCTCCCTCACAACAAAATATTTTATCCTCAGTTTTTATAGGAAAGAGGGGACTTTATTTAACCAATGCCTGATGATCAAAACCTATAATTACATTTGGGTTAAAAATTCTTAAGTGCCTATGAGTTTGTGGAAACTGTAGAAAAGCTTAGCACCGAATTAATCAGACTATCGTTCTCCCATCAGACTAGAGATCTTCTTTTTAAATTGGGAGTGCATTCTCCCAACCTCTCTCTCTCTCCCTTTGAATCCACCAACTCTTCTATAATTTAATTGGACAAATCTTAACTGTGATTTTTTTCCCCTCCCAAAGAGGTGGCACATTGCGGCCAAAGCTTGTTAATTAAGTTCTTAAAATGCCCCCAGCTGTGCAATAAGTTTTCAAAGCAACACAACTGCAAATTTATTTATTTTTTTTTTAACATTTGGTGGCTAGTTTTCAATCATGTATTCTTCCCCCCTCCTTTTTTTTCAAGATGAGAAAAACAGGAATAATCTCTGGGAGAATTCCCATGCATTGTGGAATCTTGGACAGACAGTCAAACTGGAGGTGCCATTAAGTGGTGTCTAATTGGAGCCTGTTGAAGGAGGGGAGTCACAAGGGACGATTCTCTGGGCTCACAGGCAGCTTGGGCATGCATATGCCTGTGAAGAAATAATTCAGAGAAGTACCCAGGAAAGTGAGCTCCCTACTAGGGCCTGAGGGCAGGGCTTCTCCCTACAGGCAGGTGGGGCTTTAGGGATAGTGGACGGAGCCAGGTTCCGCAGAGAGAGCCCAGCAGACAGGATGGACACCCAAGGTGCTTCCAGTGTCCCCTTGCCCCTAAATGTAGCCCATGTTCCTTGTCTTTACCACCTCAGCTTAACTGCTAAAGAGATGGGATTGAAATGGAAGGAAAAACGGAGACGTGAATTTGCAGTTATCTTCACCCTCTGCAAAGCACCATCTATGATGCTACCTCTTCGCTGCTACATTGAAGATGCTACAAAGGATCATTTTATTTAGGATCAATTTTAAAAGTTACAAGGATGTCATTAATTCATATTTCAGTTTTCCATATTTCAATTCTCTTTTCAAGCACCTTATCATTCCCCTTGAAATGGAGTGTGGACACGTGTTTTGTGTAAGCCAACGGTGTGTCTGTAAACATGATACATTTCAAGCGGCAGTTTTAAAGAGCCAATGCATAATTTGCCACATTCTGTAATCCTCAGCAGACATGGTTCTGTTCATATGAAGGCTTCTCTATCCTGGGTCCATGTGTTTTCACCATGCACAGAACTTCCCAGCAGGGTCTACCTCCAACGCTATGCTGGACATGCAGCTTGAAGAAACAATAACCTTTTCCAAGTGAGACCAACGAGCTTTGAGGGTTGTTTGTTACTGCAGGGTAATTGTAGCCTGACTGATACAATTACTTAGAGTCTGTACTCAAAGGTGACTTGGGGGCCAGATAAGGCCTACAGAAATGTCTTGTTTGGCCTACCACGTGTTTTCTAAAAAAAAAAAAACAAAAACAAAATAAAGCAAACAAAAAACACAAAAAACTAGTTGCACACATAAAAATCTGGCAACACCAGACTTGCACTCTTCCTGTGTAGCCCCAGTCACCTGGAGCTCAGGGTAGCAGCCTCCAGCACTCTCCTCTGACACTAGGAGGCCTACATGATCTGCAGTCCAAGAATTTTCCACAGCTGGAGAACGAGAGTGTGAGGCGTCTCTTCTCTTCACTTCTGGATGTCATGGAAAAGGCAATGGCCAGGATTCTTTGGCTTCATATCCCAAGGGGTGCTGCATGGGGTACTTGCCGAAGTAACAGACTGTAGGTGTGAGTAGGTGCTGCAGATCTGAGATCTGGGTTTCTGGCACTCTGTTTGCATATCCATGGTATGGCAGTGTCCGCTGAGTGGGACATAGCTTTGAGGGAGTTAGAACCATTGGAATGGTCCCTTGCCAATTTCACACTTATCCCACTCAGTCATGGCAAAGAGAAGACACTACTGGCACTGGTAGGTGTGGCGCACTAATGACTAACCTCCCCTCTTGGCCCCCTCCTTGCTCTCCTTCAAATACCACTTACCTTTTTCCCCATGTGCATAGAAAGACTTGTAGCTGTTTATCTCTAAGCATGCCTTCTCCTGTATCTCTCGCATCCTCAGCAACTTCTCCCCGTGATTCAAGATCTATTTGTTGCTTTGCTCTCATTCTCATGGCTTCAAAAAAAAAAAAAGCACCTTCCTGGGCTTCATTGCCTGCTAGTCCCCAGAACCTCAGATGGAACAGTAAGTCAGGGGGAAGACATAGATGCTTGTCAAAACCTGAGTTAAAAATAAGTCACTGAGGCTGGGCACAGTGGCTCACACCTGTAATCCCAGCACTTTGGGAGGCTGAGGCAAGTGGATCACCTAAGGTCAGGAGTTCAAGACCAGCCTGGCCAATATGGTGAAACCCCATCTTTACTAAAAATACAAAAATTAGCTGGGTATGGTGGCAGGCACCTGTAGTCCCAGTTACTCGGAAGGCTGAGACAGAAGAATCGCTTGAACCCGGGAGGCAGAGGTTGCAATGAGCCGAGATCACGCCACTGCACTCCATCCTGGGCAACCGAGCGAGACTCCATCTCAAAAAAAAAAAGTCACTGAAACTTGGATGGAGCTGGACATCATTATTCTGAGTGAAGTCACTCAGGACTGAAAAACTAAATATCCTATGTTCTTGCTTCTAAGTGAGAGTTAAGCTATGAAGACACAAAGGCATAAGAGTGATATAATAAATTTTGGGGACAAAGGGGGAAGATTGAGAGGAGTGTGAAAGATAAAAGACTACACATTTGGTACAGTATGTGTTGCTCGGGTAATAGGTGCACCAAAATCTCAGAAATTACCACTAAAGAACTTATCCATGTAACAAAAACCCACTTGTATCCCCCAAAACTATTGAAATTAGAAATAATAATTTTGTTTTTGAGACAGAGTCTCACTCTGTCACCCAGCCTGGAGTGCGGTGGTGTGATCTCAGCTCACTGCAATCTCTGCCTCTCAGGTTCAGGCAATTCTCCTGCCTTAGCCTCCTGAGCAGCTGGGATTACAGGCATGTCACCATGCCCAACTAATTTTTGTATTTTTATTAGAGACAGGGTTTCACTATCTTGGCTAGGCTGGTCTCGAACTCCTGACCTTAAGCGATCCACTTGCCTCTGCCTTCCAAAATGCTGGGATTACAGGCGTGAGTCACTGCACCAAACCAATAATACTTTAAAAAAGAAAAAAAAAATTGCAAAGGAAAATAAAGTTCAAACTTTACATACTTAAATTTTGTTTTGTTTTGTTTTTTAAAGTTGCTGAGACAGAGTCTATCCACCATGGGATGAGGCCACAGAAAACGTGTCCTGAGCTGCCCCACGCCCGGCACCTGGCTGCTAATATCTTTCCTGCCTTTGTTTTACTCCCTGGGCAGCTTTCTCTCCTTTCTGAGTGCTGCCAGCACAAAGGGTCTTCCTCTCTCAGCATCCTCATCTGTTTCCAAGATGTGGCACAAGCTTTGAGCAAAATCGTAAAACAGAACAAGATTTTCTTCTCCAAAGTCCCTAGCTGGGCCATCTCCTTCACCTCATTGCAATGCTCCTTACCCCTGGTTCCTGAGTTTTTTCTTCTCGACACCCCAGCTGACACTAAAGCTTGCTCTCAGTATAAGTTTACCTCATTTAGGCAAATTGTGTCCCCATATGACCTCTCTCAGAGCTGCTGGCCTTTTAAGCCCTCCTAAAGGTTCTATCCCTGTTAAAGCTTATTTACCATTACACTCAGGACACAGACTTATTTTCACAACAGAGCTCCTTCCCAGGAACTGGAAGTGACACCTGGTCAGTGGAAGCTGATTTCACCTTTGGAGAATGGCTTCCTTATTTTCTGGGATGCTGGCTCCCTTTCATCTCCCTGGGATGACCCCTTCCCCCACAACCCAAGCATGCGTGCTCCTGAGCTCTTGGACCTGGTCCTGCTTTTGAGATGATTCTCTGTCTCTTCCCTTTGGCTGTCTTCTTCCAAGCCATCTTGCAAACTGATACACAGATACATAGAACCATCTTGCAGACTGCCCCGCTAAGCAATTCCAGGACTGACTCCCTAAGACTGGCAGCCTGGGAGAGTGGTTAAGAGCACAGGCTCTGAGGCCAAAGTGCAGAATTTGTATCCTGGTTCTGCTACTTCTTAACTGTGTGACCTTGGGCAAGGGACTTAAGCTCCAGATGTCTGTTTTTTTCACTTGTAAAATGGGGAGGGATAATAACGGTACAGGCCTCTGAGTTAATACATGTAAAACACTTCAAACATTACCTGGCATCTTCAGGGAGCTCAGTAAACATTAGCTACTCATCTAGCTCAGCCTAAATAAGAGCTCAGGGTCTCTGCTCCCTTTGTTGCTTTTGCCCCTTTTCTCAAGCCAATTTCCTAGATTTCTTGCAGAGCCTCCCTCTGACTGCGTCCTGGTCATCCTGGGAAGTCTCCTCTCTGACTTGGGGTTTGCCCTGAGCCACAGTCACTTTGCATGGCTTTTCCTCCCAACCTCCTCACCCCTGCAATATAGCCCTCCTCAGGTTGGCAACCTCTTCTCTTCACCTCTGCCTCCCCAACATGCCTTGCAAATAGATCTGCTGACCACAGCTGCTCAAGAAAGAGTTTCTTTAGCTTCATAATGTTGGCTCTTGCTCTGTCCTAGGATGGAGGTGGTTTTAGAATCCTTTTACCTCCAAGACCCTATTAGTACAGCCTTCTGCTGCTTCATATTTATTTGACACTCTTTCATTTGGTCTCCCACCCAAATCATAATAATAAGTGAGCCATGAATTGGGGTTGTCCACCGTCTTGCAAGGCCGGTCAGTCACTTTTTGGTTTAGAGAACCATCAGAATAGGCCGGGCATGGTGGCTCATGCCTGTAATTCCAGCACTTTGGGATGCCAAGGCAGCCAGATTATTTGAGGTCAGGAGCTGGAGACCAGCCTGGCCAACATGGTGAAACCCCATCTCTACCCAAAATACAAAAATTAGCTGGGCGTGGTGGTATGCACCTGTAATCCCAGCTGCTGGGGAGGCTGAGGCAGGAGAATCACTTGAACCTGGGAGGTGGAGGTTGCAGTGAGCAGAGATCGCACCACTGCACTCCAGTTTGGGCAACAGAGTGAGACTCCGTTTCAAAAAAAAAAGAGAACCACTAGAATTAAGCCTATACCAGCCTGCTGGAGGCGGGAGCTTCCATCTGCAAATGTTGAAATGTACGTCTTCTCACCCTAAATCCCAGTCTCCAAGCTGTTCTATGCCATGCCAGCTACCCAGAAAAGTCCTCGGCTGTGGGTTGTTTGTGTTATTTTTTTAGCTGTCATTAAGCCACATGCATTCCTGCTTGTGTAATCATCCGAGAACTATATGAGTTAGCCTGGGAATTGCCACCAACATGCTGCTTGTACTTACTAGCTTTATAACTGATGACCAGGCCGCAGGATAATGACAGCTTTGCTGCCCCACAGTCACTCAATTTAATGTAACTGATTTCTGAAGAAGCAAATGCATCTGCTAACTTTGTCTATATGAGTCAGTGGTATGGAGGCAGAAATCGGCTAAATTATAGGATTAAAAGAACCAAGCAAATTCTAAACATCCCATCCTGGGCCTCTTTGGTCATAGGTCAAACCTTGGTCCTGGAAAGTAGAATTTGATCTGCACAATGCTTTTCAAAAAAATTAGATTTGAACACCTTTAAGAAACTCCTATATCCTCTAGTTTGCTACAATCTCCACTGTTCCCTTTTGTTTTACGTTTGGTTTGCTTCATTCATTTATGTTGACCTGCTTGGTCCCTGAAGCCATTGGGTTTACAGCTAAAAAGCTGAGTGCTTCCTCTAAAAATATGAAAACTAATTACAGAGACACAGAACCATGGAGTTTAGATCTGAAAGGGAAAAGGGAGTGTAATTAAAAAAAATAATTGTCGCCCCACATTTCCAAGTGGAGACTGTGAGGCCAAGTAACATGAAACCATCTGTGACCCATGAGTATCTGTTGACATGGTCTTTGTCATCTTGTTTTCTCAAAAGAGATAACTTCTCTGGATTTTTTTTTTCTTTTTTGAGATGGAGTCTCACTCTGTTGCCCAGGCCTGGAGTGCAATGGCACAGTCTTGGCTCACTGCAGTCTTTGCCTCCCAGGTTCAAGCGATTCTCCCCGCTCAGCCTCCCGAGTAGCTGGAATTACAGGCACCTGCCATCATGCTTGGCTAATTTTTATGTTTTTGTAGAGAAGGGGTTTCACCATGTTGGCCAGGCTAGTCTCAAACTCCTGACCTCAGATGATCCACCCTCCTCGGAATTCTTTTGAGAAACATAAAAGCTATAGAACTATAATAATCATGGTAGCATCATTTGTTAAGAATGTCAGATCCTGATACACAGAACTCACGTGCCAGCTGTCATCTGCCATGGCCTCGGCCTTGTCCCTGGCCAAACCTGAAGAACTTCTCCTTCATCTGGAAGGGCCCACTCCTACCAAAGCATTGTAGCATTGTAGATTTTACTGAAGATCTTGCAATGGAGACAGAAAAAGGGATTGATGTCATGGTAGACCCAGTCTTTCTCTTAGGAATCTTCCCCAGATGTATATTCTCCTCCTAGTATCACTCCTGTGCCCACTACTGACCAGGTCTCTCCCCTGAGCCTTCTTTTTATCAGCCTCTCCAACCCCACACTTCCACGTGCCTCCCCTGGGTTTTTCTGTCCTCTTTTCTTATGTTAAGCGACATAGCTTCTGTCTCTTTCTATCCAGTTTCTATCTCTTTCTGCCACTTAATACTATTTTCAAGTGTGAGGATGGAAATTTTGCTTGTGCTCAGCAAGTAAAAAATTCTTCAGTTCTCATGACCTATCTCTATAAATATGACAATGGAGGATTATAAAGAATAGCAACAAAACAGTTTTGTTCCTCTAAACACACATGGTCTCTAATCCTCACTACAAATTTACAGTGAGGTAGGTATTTTTTGTACCTCATAGAAAAAAAAAAGAAGAACAGAGATCAGGGAGGTCAAGTCACTTGCCCTGGGTCACACAGCTTGTAAGTGCTGCAGATAGAACTTACTCAGGCCTGACCCAAACTCCTTCTTTGCCATGTGGGGGCATTGGATGGCAGGTAGTGGTAGGGCTGAGTTAATTGATCTGCTGGCATCAATTCTAGATGATTCTTCCCTTTAATCTCTATTGGGATCTAATAACTCAGAGGTGGCAATTTTGGTTAAACACCCTCTTTTTTTTGAGACAGTCTTGCTCTGTCACCCAGGCTAGAGTGTACAGTGCAGTGGCATGATCTCAGCTCACTGCAACCTCTGCCTCCCAGGTTCAAGTGATTCTCCTGCCTCAGCCTCCCAAACAGCTGGGATTACAGGTGCCTGCCACTGCGCCCGGCTAATTTTTGTATTTTTAGTAGAGACAGCGTTTCACCATCTTGTCCGGGATGGTCTCGAACTCCTGACCTCTTGATCCAGCTGCCTCGGCCTCCCAAAGTGCTGGGATTATAAGCGTGAGCCACTGCCCCCAGCCCCTTAAACACCGTCTTTTTAAAGAGAATTCATCTTCAGGATGCTTTTTGATGCTTAGAAAGAAACTCCTAATGAGGATACTTCTCCAACTTTTCTTTCTCCTCCTCATCTGAGCCTTATTATAATTCAAGTCTATACATTGCAAGTGACAGTGGTCTCTTTTCTTTACTTCTTTAATTAGTACTGTCATTTTTAATCCACTGGAAAGAAGAATGGGAGATTGAATATCCCAACAGACATGTTATTCTGAAACTCCAATGGTGACAAATTCAAAAACTCATAATAAAGATTTGTTTTCCTATGCTATCCTATTAGCTCAGAGTAGAGAGACTTAGGAATCTTTTCCCCTTTTGGGGGCTAATTCAGAGCCATTTGTGGTTATCACACATAAGATGTTTTAAAACCAAGTTGTCAGGTTGTTAAATGTCTTCGCCATAGAGTGTTCCAGTAATTCAATCCCTCTGAGTTGCTCTGGGTGTCTTAAATGTTTTGATTGCAAATACAGGAGGGAAACTGCTGTCCTGAAGTCTCCTCTTAAATCTTCTTATGGATTAATTTGCTGTGTGGCCTGAAATAGGTCAAAAGGTTTTGGCTCAGGAGTAGAATTCTAGAAATAATCACCCTATAGACACTCTAAATCAATCATAATTAATGCACTTGCCAGGTCCTGTCAGCTGATTGCTGCTAGAGGGTGAAATAAAGAGACCCTTTCTAATACAATTTGAAAAGAGATCAAATCTGTCATTTCATCTAATAATTGAGCCAAATGAGAAAAGAGAAGGGTCAAAGTTCACTGGATGACCTTATGTAAACCCAATAATGCATAATTCATTTCCTTTTTATGGAATTTATAAGCTGCTGTAAATGGACGGGACAGAATCATCTGCCCTCCCTGGCTTCTCCCAAACTCTTCTTGCTTCTCCTAAAATGCCTTGTAGAGCTGCCCAAACTTTTCAGTGGCATATTCTGGCTGCATAATCCCCAAACCTTCAATATGGGCCGGCATTTAATTCATTCTCCCAAGCGTGTGAAGTTAATAACTGAATAAATCACTGGCAGCTCTCTCTGAATGATATAAAACCTGTAATTTATTTATTGAGTGTTACAAATACAGTTACAACATGTTTTCATGCAAAATGCTTTCCCTCTTTTTAATATTATCCAGAGAAAGAATCTGGGTTTTGAGTTCTGGAAATGGAGTTTGGAAGACAGCATGTTTGTGGATTGTCCGTTCTTTCCTGGTGTAGCGATGTTAGGAAACTGGGTCTCTTCCCAGCTTTTGCACCATTTGGAATGAGGCGAGGTGGGACAGAAGGAAAGTGTATTTCAGAAAAGCTTCTAGCCACTGCCGGGGCTCCCCCAAGCAGCTGTACTCAAGTTTACCAAAGCTCTGAACTGCGTGTGAACAAAACTCTTCTCTTAAATGCACAGTCAGAGTTCTCGTCTCAAGACCTCTTGATAGGCCGGGTGCGGAGGCTCACGCCTGTAATCCCAGCACTTTGGGAAGCCAAGGCATGCGAATCACTTGAGGTCAGGAGTTCGAGACGAGCCTGGCCAACATGGTGAAACCCCCTTTCTGCTAAAAATACGAAAAATTAGCCAGGTGTGGTGGTGTGCACCTATAATCCCAGCTACTTGCCAGGCTGAGGCGAGGGAATCACTGGAACCCAGGAGGCAGAGGTTGTAGTGAGCCCAGATCACACCACTGCACTCTGGCCTGGAAGACAGAGCAAGACTCTGTCTCAAAACAAACAAACAAACAACAACAACAACAACAAAAACTTGATAGCCGCCAGCCAATTACTTTTTTTAAAAAAACAAAACAAAAAAAGTTCATTTCATCAGATGGCACCATTAAAGTAGCTATGCATTTGATTTTTATGGGTGATGTATGAAGGGATCGTATACTTCTCTCTAATGAAGTCAGCCCAAGTTGCCTTCAAAACTTCTGGCCGCTATTGCATATTCTTTTCACAGTTGCCACATCAGACTGTTTAACTGAATCCCTTCAGACTGGATGGAGAGAATCCCAGGGACCCAGCCACTCAGCGTGCTACATGGCACTCACGACATTTACAAAACGTTTCATTTCTCTTTTTTATCTGTTGCTCAAGTCTTCCAAAACACCGTTTATTTCTTTGCTGCTTTTGTATTGCATATTCCTTTGTACCACTATGAGGATAAGCTTTCTAAAATATGGAAGCGATCTTGTCAGTTCCTGCTGTTGGAAACTTCCGTGTACTGTGAAAGGACAAGTCTAAATTGGCTCCGTCATTCCAGAGAATGCTTTGTTTGACATTATGTAACAAAATTGAAATTTTACTTATTCTTTGACTCTCAAAGTTCCACTTTTCATAATTTGCCCTAAATAAATTATGAAAAACTGATAAATATAAAGATACATATATACATATATACATATATATGATGTGTATTGTAATTTTAGAAACAACCTAAAGTCTCATCATTAGGAGATTGTTAAGTAAATTATGATATTTCTAAATTAAAGGAATACCCTGCAGGCATTAAAAATGATGTCTTCGAACACCTGGAAATAAATTCCAGACATGTCTTTAAGTAAAAATGCATGTCATAATACAGCCTGAGAAGTGTGATCCTATTTCGTTTTTAGAATATCTTTCTTAATAAGCAGAGAAGAAAAACATGAGTACTTTGTAGTTTATCATAAACCAATGTCACAACGTTGGCAAGAATGGGAAAATCACACACACTAAGAAGAAACCTGGCTTATAACTGGAGTAGCATTCCAATCAGTGGGGTGGATGATGGGCTCAAAAAATAAATGATGTTAGGATATTTGACAATCCATAAAGAATCCATGAAGAAAAAAGCTATAGAAAAGTCCAGATTTCAAATTTTAAAACCTTAGCCTGAAAAGTATATTTATTCTGTATATATTATGTGTATATGTGCATATGCACACACACATTCAGATAAAATACTTATACATACAGATTGATTTGCCAACACTGTAATTAAAATTTTTAATATGGTATAAAACATCACAAGCAAAGTTAAAAGACAAGCTGAAGACAAAGATAATATATTTTCAATAAATATCACACCGATAGATGATATATGAAATATTAAGATAAAAGAAACAGCTCAATAGACAAATCATGAAAGACGTTCTGGCAATTCACAGAAGAGAAAATTCAAAAGGCCCATGAACTCATGAAAAGAAATTCAGCAACCTTAGTAATAAAGGAAATGCACATTTTTTAAAATAGCAGTTTGTGAAGTCTGCCAGTGTCAAGTGCTGGGAAATATATGCAGAAATGGGAACTCTTAAACATTGCTGATGGAATTTGCTTCACATTAGACAGCAATCTGGAAACAGCCATCGAAGTTAAGTATGTACCACAGCGCAACAGTTCCATTTGTTGTTGTACATGTTAAAGAGATTCATTAGGTATACAGCACAAGGAGACAAGAAAGACGATGTTCTTAGTTGGGGAGAGCAAAAAATGAACAATCTACAAGCCCATGGGTAGTGTACTAGATACATAGCAGTGGTATTTATATTATAAAGACACAATTGCTGGGGCAGACCCTTCAGGTTCAAATCCAGGTCCTACCATTTGCTAACAGTACAATCAAGGACAATTATCAAACTGCTCTGTGCTTTACTTTTCTCATCTGTAAAATGGGAACAATAATAGCATAGGATGAATGTATCTTAATGAAGAACAAAAGGTTAATGTGTAAAGCATTTAGAACAGTCTGTGGTACATAGTATCACATGTGATTTACTATTGTTATTATAATAGAATAATCAAAGTAAAAATAAAAATCCTAGGTTTTCATGGAACCACATTGTTAAATATCAGAACTTAGTGTTGAGAAGAAAAAGCAAGTTGTAAAATGATATGTATTACATGGTACCATATGAAAACATCTATGCCATCTTTAAAAAAGTGCATAAAGCAATATTATTTGTTGCTATGATAATACTGATGAAAGAGAAGTATCAGAATATTCACAGATAAATTTAATCTGTGCCCAGTTCTGGAGAGAAATGGGCTAAATCAGGAAAGGGTGCTGCTTTAAGTATATCTACGTTGTTTTATTTTCTTTAAAAAAGAGAGATCTGACGAAGAAAAAAAAAACTATCAGTGATTATAAAATTTTGGTGGTGAATATACAGGAGTCTGTTCTGTTTTTTTCCAAACTTTGTTTAAAGTTGAATGTTTTTATTTTGAAATAATTCTAGAGCCACATTCAGTTTGAAGAAATAATACAGAGATATCCCATGTTCTCTTTTAAAATTGGCTTCATTCACCCAACATATTGCTCTAGAAACGTATGCAGCTTGCTGCATCTATAAATAGTACATTTTTATTGTTGAGTAGAGCTGCATGGTATGGATGTACCACATTTGTTTCACCATTCACCCGTTGAAAGATATTTAGGTTGCTTTCAGTTTGGAGATATTATAAACAAAGCTGCTATAAACATTTGCATACAGATGTGTGTAAACAGAAGTGTTAATCTTAGATGAATGCACAGGAGTGCAATTGCTAGACCCTATGGTGATTGCATGTTTCGTTCTTAAGGAAACTAACAAACTGTTTTTCAGATTGGCTGTGCCATTTCACATCCCCACCAGCAATATATGAATGGCCTAGTTTCTCTGTACCCTCGCCAGCATTTGGTGTTGTCATCTTTTTAATTTTAGCATTCTGAGAGATGTGTAGTGATATCTCATTGTAATTTTTCTAATGGCTGATGATGTTGAACATCCCCAGATCCCAAAGGCTATAGCCTATTTTTTTTTTTTTTAAGTGGTGGCCGGGCGCGGTGGCTCACATCTATTATCCCAGCACTTTTGAAGGCCGAGGTGGGCGGATCACATGAGGTCAGTAGTTCGACACCAGCCTGGCCAACATGGCCAAACCCCGTCTCTACTAATAATACAAAAATTAGCCGGACGTGGTGGCGTGCACCTGTAATCCCAGCTACTTGGGAGGCTGAGGCAGGAGAATCACTTGAACCTGGGAGGCAGAAGTTGCAGTGGGCCAAGACCATGCCATTGCACTCCAGCCTGGGCAGAAAGAGCAAAACTCCGTCTCAAAAAAAAAAAAGTTTCATAGTTGTACATCTTACATTTAAGTTTGTGATTCATTGTTTTCATACATTTATTAATTTTAATTGAAATATAATTCACAAACCATAAAATTTACCATTTTTAAGTATGCAATCCAGTGGTTTTTAGTATATTCACGAGATTGTGCCACGTCACTGCTATCTAGGTCCAGAACATTTTTACCGCCCCAAAATGAAACTCCACACCTGTTTGCAGTCACTCCCACTCTCCTCCCTGCAACTCCTGGCAAGCAGTAATTCACTTTCTGTCTCTATGGATTTTCTATTTCTTGACTTTTCAAACAAATAGAATTATATGACATGATATGTGACATTTTGTGTCGACTTCTTTTGCTTAGCATATTTTCAATGTTTATCCACTATAGCATATATCAAGCTTCATTTTTATGGCTGAATAATATTCCGTTGCATGTCTATACCATATTTATGTACCCTTTCATCAGTTGATGGGCATCTGGGTGGGTTCCACATTTTGTTTTTCATAAATAATGCTCCATGATGTTCTGTGAACATCATGTATACATTTTTGTATGAACATATGTTTCCAATCCCCTTGGGTATAGATCAAGAGTTGAATTGCTGGATCGTATGGTTAATTGTTTATTCTTTTGAGGAATCAACAAACTGTTTTTCACAGTGACAGCACCATTTTATACTCTCAGGGTATCAGGGCTTTAATTTTTCCATATTCCTGCCAATGCTTGTTATCTTCTGGTTGTTTTGTTTATTTTATAAGGGGCTATGTTAGGGAATGCAGTGTGGTATCTTGTGGTTTTGGTTAGCATTTCCCTAAGGACAAATGATATTGAGCAACTTTTCGTACTTTTTGGCCATTTGTAAATTACCATTGAAGAAGCGTTTATTCATATCCTTTGTTCATTTAAAAATTTATTTTATTTCTTTTTATTGTTGAGTTGTAAAAGGTCTTTATACATTCTGGATACTAGACCTTTATCAGAGATATGATTGACAGATATTTTCTGACATTGTGTGTATTATCTCTTCACTTTCTTGATTGTGTCCTTTGATGCACAAAAGTTTTAAATTTTGTTGAAGTCTAACATATCTATTTTTTTCTTTGGTTGCTTGTGCTTTTGGTGTCATATCTAAGAAACTATTGCCTAATTTAAGGTTACAAAGATTTAAACCTATGTTTTCATCTTTATTATTTTAGATATTAAATTTAGGTCTTTGATTCCTTTTTGATTTATTTTCTTTTTTGTTTTTCTTTTTGAGATGGACTCTTGCACTGTTGCCCAGGCTGTAATGCAGTGGCATGATCTCCGCTGGCTACAACCTCTGCCTCCTGGGTTCAAGCAATTCTCTTGCCTCAGCCAACGAGTTAGCTGGGATTACAGGTGCCCACCACCACGCCCAGCTAATTTTTTTGTATTTTTAGTAGAAACGGGGTTTCACTATGTTGTCTAGGTTGGTCCTGAACTCCTGACCTCGTGATCCACCGCCTCGGCTTCCCATAGTGCTGGGATTACAGGTGTGAGCCACCATGCCTGGCCAATTTATTTTCTATATATGATGTGAGGTAGTGGTCCAAATTTTTTTTTTCGTGTAGCTACTTAATTGTCTTATTGCCATTTGTTGAAAAGAATATTCTTTCTCCATTGAACGGTTTTGGTAACTTTGTCAAAAATCAATTGACCATAGATGTATGGGCCCATTTCTGGTTCTTGATTCTATCAAATTGATCAATAGGTCTATCCTTATGCCATTACCATACTGTCTTAATTACTGTAAATTAGGAGTAGATTTTGAAATTGTAAATGGTGAGTCTTCCAACTTTGTTATACTTTTTAATTAATTAGTTTATTTTTGAGACAGGGTCTCACTCTATCACCCAGGCTGAGTGCAGTGAGATGATGACAGCTCACTGTACCCTTAACCTCAGGCTCCAGTGATTCTCCCACCTCAGTCTCCTCAGTAGCTGGGACTACAAGCACATGCCACCATGCCTGTTTTTTTTGTTGTTGTTGTTTTGTTTTTTTTAAATTTTCTTGTAGAGACAGAGTCTTGCTATGTTGCCCAGGCTGGTCCTGGATGCAAGCAATCCTCCTGCCTTGGCCTCCCAAAGTGCTGCAATTACAGGCGTGAGCCACCAGGCCTGGCCTGTTTTACTTTTACAGGTTTTTTTAAAATTCCATATGAATATTAAAATTAGCTTATCCATTTCTGGAAAAAAAGAAGTTGGAATTTTGATAGAGAATACATTGAATCTGTATATCAATTTGTAAAGTATTGGCATCTTAATAATTTTAAGTCTTCCAATACATGAACATAAATGTCTTTCCATTTATTTAGGCTTTATATTTCTTTCAGCAATATTTTGTAGTTTTTAGTATATGAGACATATGAGTCTTACACCTCTAAAGTTAAGTTGATTCCTAAGTATTTTATTATTTTTTATGTATTATAAATGGAATTGTTTTTTCCCTTCCCTTCCCCTTCCCCCTCCCTTCCCCTCCCCCTTTCCTTCCCTTCCCTTCCCCTGACTTCCCCTTCCATCCCTTCCCCTCCCCTTACCTCCTCTCATCTCCCCTCCCCTCCCCTCCCCTCCCCTTCCCTTCCCTTCCCTTCCCTTCTTTTTTTTTGACAAGATCTTGCTCTGTCACATGGGCTGGAGTACACTGCCATGATCATCGCTCACTGCAGCCTCAAACTCATGGGCTCACAAGATCCTTCCACCTCAGCCCCTGGAATAGCTGAGACTACAGGCATGCACCATCACATCTGGCAAATTTTTCTATTTTTTGTTGAGACGGGGTCTGACTATGTTGTCTAGGCTAGTCTCGAACTCCTGGTCTCAAGCAATCCTTCCACCTCAGCCTCCCAAAGTGCTGAGATTACAGGTGTGAACCACCGTGACTGGCCTGGAATTGTTTTCTTAGTTTCATTTTCAGATTATTCATTTCTAGTGTATAGAAATACAATTAACTTTATACATTAATCTTGTTTCTTGCAAACTTGTGCAACTCATATATTAGCTCTAATAGATTTTTGGCAAATTCTTTATGGTTTTCTATATATCAAATTATGTCATTTGCAAAGAGAGATGGTTTTACTTCTTCCATTCCAATCTAGATGTCTTTTGTTTCTTTTTTCTTGCCTAATTGCCCTGACTAAAACTTCCAGTACAACGTTGAATAGAAGTGAGAGTAGATTCCCTGTACTGGTGCTGATTTTAGGGGAAAGATTTTATCAGCGTGTATGATTTAACTGTGGGTTTTTCATAGATGGTCTTCATCAGGTTGAGAAAGTTCCTTTTTATTCTTAGTTTTCCAAGTGTTTTCATTCTAAAAGGGTGTTAGATATTATCAAATGCATTTCCTACATCAGTTGAGATAATCATGTGGTCCTCTGTTTATTCTATTAATATAATATATTGTAGTGGTATATATATTGGTATATACATGTAATGTGGTATATATATCTTCATGTATTAAACCAATTTTGCATTCCTGGAATAAAACCTACTTGGTTATAGTGTATAATCCTTTTTGTGTGCTGCTGGATTTGATTTGGTAGTATTTTGTTAAGGATTTTTTACTTATATTTATAAGGGATATTGTATAGTTTTCTTTTATTCTGATGTATTTATTTGGGTTTGGCATCAGGGTAATGCTGGCATCATAGAATGGGTTAGAAAGTGTCCCCTTTTCTTTTATGTTTTAGGAAGACCTTTTGAGGAATTAGTGATAATTCTTCTTTAAACATTTGGCAGAATTTGCCAGTGAAGCCATATGGTCCTGGGCTTTCTTTGTATAACATTTTTTAAATTGCTAACTGAATCTCTTAACTTGTTGGAAGCCTATTGAAATTTTCTATTTCCTCTCGAGTCAATTTTGAAAGTTTGTGCGTTTCTAGGAATATTCATTCATTTCATCTAGGCTCTCTAATTTGTTGGCATATGATTTTTCATAGCATTCTCTTATATTCATTCCTTTGTACTTATGTAAAGTCCATAGTAATGTCTCTTCTTTTATTCCTTTATTCCTGAATTTTACTGATACGAGTGTTTTTTTTTTTTTTTTAGTTGGCCACTGTAGCTAAAAGCTTATCAATTTTGTTGATCTTTTTAGACAACCAACTTGTTTTTGTGAATTTTTTCTATTTTTTCTATTCTCCATTTTATTTATTTCTACTCTAATGTTTATTATTTTCATGTCCTGGCTTTGGATTTAGTTTATTCTTCTTTGTCTAGTGTCTTAAGGTGGAAGATTAGGTTGTTGATTTGAGTGATTCGAGTTTACAATTATAAGTTTTCCTCTAGGAACTACTTTCACTACATTCTATAAGTTTCGATACGTTGTGTTTTCATTTTGTTCATCTGAAAGCATTTTCTAATTAACCTTGTGATTTCCTCTTGGTTATTTAGAAATATGGTGTTTAATTTCCCAAATTTCCTTCTATTATTAATTTCTAATTTAATTTCTTTTTTTTTTTTTTTTTTTTGAGACAGAGTCTCGCTCTGTCACCCAGGCTGGCGGGCAGTGGCAGGATCTCGGCTCACTGCAAGCTCTGCCTCCCAGGTTCACACCATTCTCCTGTCTCAGCCTCCCAAGTAGCTGGGACTATAGGCACCTGCCACCACGCCCAGCTAATTTTTTGTATTTTTAGTAGAGACGGGGTTTCACTGTGTTAGCCAGGATGGTTTTGATCTCCTGACCTTGTGATCTGCCCGCCTCGGCCTCCCAAAGTGCTGGGATTACAGGCATGAGCCACCACGCCTGGCCTTCTAATTTAATTTCATTGGGGCTGTAACACATACTTTGACCTCAACCCTTTTAAACATATTGACACTTGTTTTATGGTCATCCTAACTTATGGTCTAGCCTGGAAAACGTTTTATATGCATTTGAGAAGAATGTGTATTCTGCTGTTGTTGGCTGCAGTCCTCTCTAGATGTCTGTTAGTTCTAGTTGGCTAATAGTGTTGTTCAAATTTTCTATTTCCTTGATGATCTGTCTAGTTCTACTTGTTATTCAAAGTGAGGGATTGAAGGGTCTAACTATTACAGTTGAATTGTGTGTGTCCCTTCAAACCTGTCAGACTTTGCTTTATGTATTTTGAGCCTTTGTTGTTAGGTACATATATGCTTTGTTAATTTTAAAATATTCATTCTACCAATTTCTGCCTTTAAAACTTTACTTATTTTAATTGACATAATAATTGTACATATTTATGGGGCACAGGGTAATGCTTTGATACATGCATACATTGTGTAATAATTAAATCAGGGTATTTAGTATAGCTACCACCTCACACATTTTATCATTCTCTGTGGTGGAAATATTCAAAATCCTCTCTTCTAGCTATTTTGGAATGTATAATACAAAATTGTCAACCATAGCTACCCTCCTGTGTGATAGAACATCAGAGCTTATTCCTCGTCTCTAACTGTAACTTTGTACACATAGACCAATCTCTCCATATTCCCCTTCCTGTTACTCTCCCCAGCATCTGGTAACCACTCTTCTATTCTCTACTTCAGTGAGATCAATTTCTTTAGATTCCACATATAAGTGAGATCACTCAGTATTTGTCTTTCTGTGTCTGGCTTATTTTACTTTACATAATGTCCTCCGGGTTTATCTGTGTTGCCATGAGGGACAGGATTTCCTTCTTTTCATGGCTGAATAGTAGTCCATTGTGTATATATACATTTTCTTTATTTATTCATCAACTGATGGACACTTAGGTTGATTCCATATCTTAGCTATTGTAAATAATGCTGCAATAAATATAAGAATTCATACTCTGACATACTAATTTTATTTCCTTTAGATAAATATTCAGTAGTAGGATTGCTAGATTTTATATTTCTACTTTTAATTTTTTGAGGAAACTTCACACTATCTTCCACAGTGGCTATACCAATTTACATTCCCACCAGCAGTGTGTAAGTATTCCCCTTTCTTCACATCCATGCCAACATTTGTTATTTTTTGTCTTTTTGATAGTGACCATTCTAAATGGGGAAAGGTGATATCTCATTGTAGTTTTGATTTGTATTTGCCCTGATGATTAGTGTTGTTGAGCATTTTCTCATGTACTTGTGGACCGTTTCTCTGTCTTCTTTTGAGAAATATCTATTGAGACCTTTTGGCCATTTTTAAATTGAATTATTTGGTTGTTTTGCTGTTGAATTATTTGAGCTCCTTATATATTCTGAATGTTAGAATATATGTCAGATGCACAGTTTTAGCCTATTCTGTAGGTTGTCTCTTCACTTTATTGATTGTTTCCTTTATTGTGCAGAAGATTTTTAGTTTGATGGAATCCTATTTGTCTATTTTTATTTTTACTGCCTGTTTTTTTTTTTTTTTTTTTTTGAGACAGAGTTTCACTCTTGTTTCACTCTTGTTGCCCAGGCTGGAGTGCAATGGCGTAATCTCAGCTCACCTCCACCTCCACCTCCTGGGTTCAAGTGATTCTCCTGCCTCAGCCTCCCGAGTAGCTGGGATTACAGGCATGCAGTACCACACCTGGTTAATTTTGTATTTTTAGTAGAGGTGGGGTTTCTTCATGTTGGACAGACTGGTCTTGAACTTCCAACCTCAGGTGATTCACCCGCCTTGGCTTCCCAAAGTGTTGGGATTACTGGCGTGAGCCACCACTCCCGGCCTGTGTTTTTAAGGTCTTATCCATATATATATATATATGTGTATATATATATGTATATATATATATGTGTATATATATATGTATATATATATATGTGTATATATATATGTATATATATATTTTAATTATGCTTTAAATTCTAGGGTACATGTACACAATGTGCAGGTTTGATACATAGGTATACATGTGCTATGTTGGTTTGCTGCAACCATCAACTCATCATTTACATTAGGTATTTCTCCTAATGCTATCCCTCCTTCAGCCCTCTGCTCCCTGACAGGCCCCGGTGTGTGATGTTCCCCGCCCTGGGTCCAAGTCTCATTGTTCAATTCCCACCTATGAGTGAGAACATGCGGTGTTTGGTTTTCTGTCCTTGTGATAGTTTGCTGAGAAAGATGGTTTCCAGCTTTATCCATGTCCCTGCAAAGGACATGAACTCATCCTTTTTTATGGCTGCATAGTATTCCATGGTGTATATGTGCCACATTTTCTTAATCCAGTCTATCATTGATGGACATTTGGGTTGGTTCCAAGTCTGCTATTGTGAACAGTGCTGCAATAAACATACATGTGCATGTGTCTTTATAGTAGCATGATTTATAATCTTTTGGGTATATACCCAGTAATGGGATTGCTGGGTCAAATCGTTCTAGTTCTAGATCCTTGATGAATTGCCACACTGTCTTCCACAATGGTTGAACTAATTTACACTCCCATCAACAGTGTAAAAGCCTTCCTATTTCTCCACATCCTCTCCAGCATCTGTTGTTTCCTGACTTTTTAATGATTGCCATTCTAACTGGCATGAGATGGTATCTCATTGTGGTTTTGATTTGCATTGCTCTGATGACCAATGATGATGAGCATTTTTTCATGTGTCTGTTGGCTGCATAGATGTCTTCTTTTGAGAAATGTCTGTTCATATCCTCTGCCCACTTTTTGATGGGGTTGTTTGATTTTTTCTTGTAAATTTGTTTGAGTTCTTTGTAGATTCTGGATATTAGCCCTTTGTCAGATGGGTAGATTGCAAAAATTTTCTCCCATTCTGTAGGTTGCCTGTTCACTCTGATGGTAGTTTCCTTTGCTGTGCAGAAGCTCTTTAGTTTAATTAGATCCCATTTGTCTATTTTGGCTTTTGTTGCCATTGCTTTTGGTGTTTTAGTCATAAAGTCCTTGTCCATGCCTATGTCCTGAATGGTATTGGCTAGGTTTTCTTCTAGGGTTTTTACAGTTTTAGGTCTAACGTTTAAGTCTTTAATCCATCTTGAATTAACTTTTGTATAAGGTGTAAGGAAAGGATCCAGTTTCAGCTTTCTACATATGGCTAGCCAGTTTTCCCAGCACCCTTTACTAAATAGGAAGTCCTTTCCCCATTTCTTGTTTTTGTCAGGTTTGTCAAAGATCAGATGGTTGTAGATGTGTGGTGTTATTTCTGAGGCCTCTGTTCTGTTCCATTGGTCTAGATATCTGTTTTGGTACCAGTACCATGCTGTTTTGGTTACTGTAGCCTTGTAGTATAGTTTGAAGTCAGGTAGTGTGATGCCTCCAGGTTTGTTCTTTTTGCTTAGGATTGTCTTGGCAGTGCAGGCTCTTTTTGGTTCCATATGAACTTTAAAGTAGTTTTTTCCAATTCTGTGAAGAAAGTCACTGGTAGCTTGATGGAGATGGCACTGAATCTACAAATTGCTTTGGACACTATGGCCATTTTCACGATATTGATTCTTCCTATCCATGAGCATGGAATATTCTTCCATTTGTTTGTGTCCTCTTTTATTTCCTTGAGCAGTGGTTTGTAGTTCTCCTTGAAGAGGTCCTTCACATCCCTTGTAAGTTGGATTCCTAGGTATTTTATTCTCTTTGAAGCAATTGTGAATGGGAATTCACTTATGATTTGGCTCTCTGTTTGTCTGTTACTGGTGTATAGGAATGCTTGTGATTTTTGCACATTGATTTTGTATCCTGAGACTTTGCTGAAGTTGCTTATCAGCTTAAGCAGATTTTGGGCTGAGACAAAGGGGTTTTCTAAATATACAATTGTGTCATCTGCAAACAGGGACAATTTGACTTTCTCCTTTCCTAGCTGAATACCCTTTATTTCTTTCTCTTGCCTCATTACTCTGGCCAAAACTTCCAACACTAAGTTGAATAGTTGTGGTGAGAGAGGGCATCCCTGTCTTGTGCCAGTTTTCAAAGGGAATGCTTGCAGTTTTTGCCCATTCAGTATGATACTGGCTGTGGGTTTGTCATAAATAGCTCTTATTATTTTGTGATACGTTCCATCAATACCTAGTTTATTGAGAGTTTTTAGCATGAAGGGTTACTGAATTTTGTTGAAGGTCTTTTCTGCATCTATTGGGATAATCATGTGGTTTTTGTCATTGGTTCTGTTTATGTGCTGGATTACATTTATTGATTTGCTTATGTTGAACCAGCCTTGCATCCCAGGGATGAAGCCCACTTGATCATGGTGGATAAGCTTTTTGATGTGCTGCTGGATTTGGTTTGCCAGTATTTTATTGAGGATTTTTGCATCAATGTTCATCAGGGATATTGGTCTAAAATTTTCTTTTTTTGTTGTGTCTCTGCCAGGCTTTGGTATCAGGATGATGTTGGCCTCATAAAATGGGTTAGGGATGATTCCCTCTTTTTCTATTGATGGGAATAGTTTCAGAAGGAATGGTACCAGATCCTCTTTATAACTGTGGTAGAATTTGGCTGTGAATCCATCTGGTCCTGGACTTTTTTTGGTTGGTAGGCTATTAATTATTGCCTCATTTTCACAGCCTGTTATTTGTCTATTCAGAGATTCATCTTCTTCCTGGTTTAGTCTTGGGAGGGTGTATGTGTCCAGGAACTTATCCATTTCTTCTAGATTTTCTAGTTTATTTGTGTGAGGTGTTTCTAGTATTCTCTGATGGTAGATTGTATTTCTGTGGGATCAGCGGTGATAACCCCTTTATCATTTTTTATTGCATCTATTTGATTCTTCTCTCTTTTCCTCTTTATTAGTCTTGTTAGTGGTCTACCAATTTTGTTGATCTTTTCAGAAAAACAGCTCCTGGATTCATTGATTTTTTGAAGGGTTTTTTGTATGTCTATCTCCTTCTGTTCTGCTCTGATCTTAGTTATTTCTTGCCTTCTGCTAGCTTTTGAATTGTTTGCTCTTGCTTCTCTAGTTCTTTTAATTGTGATGCTAGGGTGTCAATTTTAGATCTTTCCTGCTTTCTTTTGTGGGCATTTAGTGCATAAATTTCCATCTACACACTGTTTTAAATATGTCACAGAGATTCTGGTACATTGTTTCTTTGTTCTCATTGGTTTCAAAGAACATCTTTATTTCTGCATTCATTTCGTTGTTTACCCAGGAGTCATTCAGGAGCAAGTTGTTCAGATTCCATGTAGTTGTGCGGTTTTGAGTGAATTTCTTAATCCTGAGGTCTAATTTGATTGCACTGTGATCTGATAGGCAGTTTGTTGTGATTTCTGTTCTTTTACATTTGCTGAGGAGTGCTTTACTTCCAACTATGCGGTCAATTTTAGAATAAGTGTGATGTGCTGAGAAGAATGTATATTCTGTTTATTTGGGCTGGAGTGTTCTGTAGATGTCTGTTAGGTCTGCTTGTTGCAGAGCTGAGTTCAGGTCCTGGATATCCTTGTTAACCTTCTGTCACATTGAGCTGTCTAATACTAACAGTGAGGTGTTAAAGTCTCCCATTATTATTGTGTGGGAGTCTAGGTCTCTTTGTAGGTCTCTAAGGACTTGCTTTACGAATCTGGGTGCTTCTGTATTGGGTGCATATATATTTAGGATAGTTAGCTCTTCTTGTTGAGTTGATCCCTTTACCATTGTGTAATGGCCTTCTTTGTCTCTTTTGATCTTTGTTGGTTTAAAGTCTGTTTTATCCGAGACTAGGATTGCAACCTCTGCTTTTTTTTGCTTTCCATTTGCTTGGTAAATCTTCCTTCATCCCTTTATTTTGAGCCTATGCGTGTCTTTGCATGTGAGATGGGCCTCCTGAATACAGCACACTGATGGGTCTTGACTCTCTATCGAATTTGCCAATCTGTGTCTTTTAATTGGGGCATTTAGCCCATTTACATTTAAGGTTAATATTGTTATGTGTGAATTTGATCCTGTCATTATGATGTTAGCTAGTTATTTTGCCTATTAATTGATTCAGTGTCTTAATAGCATCAATGGTCTTTACAATTTGGCCTGTTTTTGCAGTGGCTGGTACTGCTTGTTTCTTTCCATGTTTAGGGCTTCCTGCAGGAGCTCTTGTAAGGCAGGCCTGGTGGTGACAAAATCTCTGAACATTTGCTTGTCTGTAACATATTTTATTTCTCCTTCACTTATGAAGCTTAGTTTGGCTGGATATGAAATTCTGGGTTGAAAATTCTTTTCTTTAAGAATGTTGAATATTGGCCCCCACTCTCTTCTGGCTTGTAGGGTTTCTGCAGAGAGATCCGCTGTTAGTCTGATGGGCTTCCCTTTGTGGGTCTTATCCAAAAATTATTTGCCCATACCAATGTCATGAAGCACATTTCCAATGTTTCCTTCTAGTAGTTTTACCATTTGGGGTCTTCCATTTAAATCTTTAATCCATTATGAGTTGATTTTTGTGTATGGTGAAAGATAGATGTCTTGCTTTATTCTTCTGCATGTGGATATCTAGTTTTTTCAGCACCATTTATTATCTGACTTTTAATTAGAAACTTTAATCCATTAAAATGTAATTACTGATATGATAGGATTTTCAGGTGCCATTTTGTCATTTGTTTTCTATATGTCTTTCTTTTTTGTTCATCAGTTCCTCCACTGTTGTCTCCATTTGTGTTAAATAGTTTCTAGTGTGCCATTTAAAGTTTCTTGTTTTCTTCACTACATGTTTTTGAATTATTTTCTTGGCAATTGTCCTGAATATTACCATCAATATCTTAATTTATAAAAAAAAATTGATTTGTTTTATTACCAACTAAATTTAAATAGAATATTAAAACTTGCTCATATATGGCTTCATTCCTCTCCTCCTATTTTGCTGTTATTTTCATAAGTTAAATCTTTATATAGTATGTGCCCTTCTTTAGATTTATTGCATTATGAAGTTGTCTTTTGAATCAGGATGAAAACAGAAAATACATTCATACTTTATCTCCATCTGTGTAGTTGCTTTTCTGGTGTTCTGTTTATTGTGGATTCAAGTTACTGTCTGGTGTCCTTGTATTTCAGCCAGAAGGGCTGCTTTTAGTATTTCTTGTGAGGCAGGTCTGCTGGTGACAAATTCTGTGAGTTTTTCTTTATCTGGGAATTCTTAATTTCTCCTTTCTCCATGAAGTTGGACCAGATATAAAAAACCTGGTCAACAGTTTTTTCTTTCAAAAATGTCATCTCAATATTTTCTGGCCTTCATGGTTTCTGCTAAGGAACCAGCTGTTAATCTTATTGGGGGTCTTTTATACATAATAAATTGTTTCTTGCCTGTTTCCAAGATTCTCTCTTTGTCTTTGAATTTTGTAGTTTGATTATAATGAGCCTAGGTGTTGATCTCTTTTAGTATATGCTACTTGGAGTTCACTAAGCTTTTTCAATGAGTAAATTAATGTTTTTCATAAAATGAGGGCAGTTTTGGGGTATTATTTCTTCAAATATTTTCTTTACCCCTTTCTCTCTCTGTTTTCCCATTAAGACTTCCATTATGCATGTTTGTACACTTGATAGTGTACAACAATCAAGTCCCATAAGTCTTTGCTGGACTGTTTATTTTTATTCATTCTTCTTTCTGTTTCTTAGCCTGGATAATCTCAATTTACCTACTTTCAAGTTGACTTATTCTTTTGCATGCTGAAATGCTATTAAGACTTTCCAGTGAATTTTTTATGTTAGTTTTACTTTAGTTTACAAAATTACTATTCAGTCCCCAAATTTCTATTTGATTCCTTATCATTTCAATCTCCTTATTGATCATCTTTATTTGGTAAAACATTATTTACATACTTTCCTTTAGTTTTTTAGACATGACTTCTTTCAGCTTTTCAAACATTTAAAATAGCTGATTTAAAGTCTTTTTCTTGTAAGTCCAGCCTCTGAGCTTTCTCTGGGATGGTTTCTATAGATTGCATATTTCTTTTTCTAGGTAAGGATCATAAGTTCTTGTTTACTTACAGGTTCTATAATTTTTTGTTGAAAAGAACACATTTCCAATTATATAATATGTGACTCTGCAAATCAGACCATCTGTATTCCCCAAGATCTGTTGTTACTTCCTGTTGTAGTTGTTACTGTTTTTTTGTTTTTATTTTTCTGAACTAATTCTGTAAAGTCTGTATCTTTGTAGTATGTGGCCATTGAAATCTCTATTCAATTAGCTTCATGGTCAGCTAATGATTGGACAAAAATTTCCTTAAAGGCCTAGAGCTAATATGTCTCCCAGTCTTTTTTGAGTGACTCTGTGTATATGGTGGGGAATGCCTTTAACACTCAGCCAGGTGATTACAACTCTGCCTTAGCCTTCACTTCCTGCTTGGGCAGAGACTTGAGGTCAGTCAAGTCTCTGAGAGATTAGGACCTACTCTGGTCTTTCATAAGCATGTGCACAGCTGTGCACAGCTCTGGTCATATATGTAGACTTCTAGCTTCTCAGAAATATGTCAAAGACCCTAAAAGTATTTCACTTTTCAGATTTTCCTGTCAAGCTCTTTTGTTAGTTTATTGTTTGCCCCAACTGTTATCCATCACTTGAGGCAGCTGTGATGTTAAGACATTTGACAAATGCCCCCAGAAAGAGGTGTTTAGCATTGGGCAAATTTGAGTAAGCCCCACCAAAACACCAGCCTTTCCAGTTGGGTATTTTAGGAAGCCTTTAAACAGATGAAACAAAACATTTTTAGGGAATATGGTAGCTCTCTTTCCTCTGATGCTGGGATTCAATGCTTTTATTTTTCTAGGCTAACAAAGAGCTGGAGAGTGGTTAATGGGACTAATATAAGTTAAAATGCCACAAAGCTCACTGTTCTTATTAAGATTTAGCAATTTTTCTTGCCTAAACATCTCTTGGGTTGCCGCAAGCCTTTGATTAATTTCCAGAGTTCTGAAAAAGTTGATTCTGACCACTTTTTTTTTCTTAGCTTTTTCATTGCTCTTCTATAAAGGGACAAACTTTTGGTGGCTCTAATGCCACCATTTTTGCTGGCATCACTCTTTATGATTTATTTTTTTGTATAAATTATAAGCCTTAGATCAATATTCTTTTGATTTTTCTTGTTTTTGTTTGTTTGTTTGTTTATGGGTGTCCACTGGTCTAGCAGCATTTATTGAAAAAGTATTCTAGTTTATTTGCACTTACATATAAATTTTAGAATAATCTAGTTTATATCTACACAAAGTATTATTGACATTTTGATAAAAATTAGGTTAAACCTGTTCATCCATTTGGGGAGTATTGACATTTTTATGTTGAGTCTTTCAACCCATATACATGATATGTCTTGCCATTTGTTTAGAACTTCTTTTACTTTTTTCATCTGTGTTTTACAGTTTTCAGCATTAAAGTCCTGTACATATTTTGTCAGATTTATAATTAATCATTTAAATTATTCTCAAGTAATTGTAAATGGTATTGTATGTTTAGTTTTGGTGACTATCTTTTTATTATTAGCATACAGAAATATAATTGAGTTTTGTAAGTGGATCTTGTATCCTGCAACTTTGCCAAATTTACTTATTACCTCTTTTCCTGCCTTATTGTATGGGCTAGAACTACCAGCACTATGTTAAATAAGACAGGGGAGAGTGAAAATCTTTGACTTTTTCCCAATCAGAGAGGAAAGTATTTAGTCATTCACAGTTAAGTATAATATTAAGTATAGATTTTTTGCACATTATCAATTGATGTAATTTCCTCTATTTCTAATTTTATAAAAGTGATTTTTAAAATCAGAAATGAGTGTTGAATTTAGTCAAATACTTTTTACACATTGACTGATATAATCATATAAATTTACTTCTTTCACTTCTTAATGTGATGGATTACACTGATTGATTTTTAAAAATTGAGCTAGCCAGCCTTTCTTCCTTGGAATAATCCCCAATGACCATGGGGTATAATTCTTTTATATATTGCTAAATTCTAATTGCTAATATTCTCTTAAGGATTTTTGCATCTACATTTATGAGAGATATTGCTGTGTAGTTTTTGGTTTTGTACTGTCTTGGTCTAATTTGGATATCAGGGTAATACTAGCTTCATAAAATGGATACAGCAGTGTTTACTCCTTTTCTATTTTTATTTTTATTTTTGGCAGTGATTGGGTAGAAATAGTGTTAGTTCTCCTTTAAATATTTCCTAGAATTTTCCAATGTAACCATCTGGAACAAGGTACTTCGATTGGGGGGTGGGTTTTGGGGGAGAAGAGTTGGGGGAGGGGCAGCTTTAAAATGATCAACTCAATTTCCTAATAGTTATAGTTTTATTCAAATTTCTATTTCATATTAGATGATACAATACTTTGTACTTTTGTGGAATTGCTCCATTTTTATCTAAGTTGTCAAATTTATGTGGCTAGAGATGTTTCTAGTATTACCTTACTATTCTCTTGAAGTCTACAGAGTCTATATGATATTCCTTATTTAATTTCGGATATTGGTAATTTGTGTTGGTCTTGTTGGAGGATTGTCAATTTTACTGATCTTTTCCAAGAACCATCTGTAAGTTGTAAGGATTTCCAATGTTGTTTTTCTGTTTCTAATCTCATTGATTTCTGCTATTATTTTTATTATTTCTTTCATTATCATACTTTGGATATACTTTGCAGTTCTTTTTCTAGGTTATTAAAGTGGGAACTTAGGTTATTTGAGAATTTCACTCTTTTCTAATATAGATAATTCATGCTGTAAACTTTTCTCTCACCACTGCTTTAACTGTTTTCTACAAATTATGATGTCATATTTTCATCCTTACTCAGTTTGACAATTTTTTTTATTTCCCATGAGAATTCCTATTTGATTCGTGGATTATTTAAAAGAGAAGTGTGTCTTTTAGTCTTCAAGTGTTTGAAGATTTTAACTTCATCTTCCTGTGATTGATTTCCGGTTTGATTCCACTGTGGTTGGAAAACATGGTCTCTATATAATTTCTATTTTTAAAAAGTGTTTTGGGTTTTTTTTATAGTCTAGAATATTATCCACCTTAGTATACATTATTTATTTATTTATTTTGAAATGAAATCTTGATCTGTCTCTCAGGCAGGAGTGCAGTGGCATGATCTCAGCTCACTGCAACCTCAGCCTCCTGGGTCCAAGCAATTCTCCTGCCTTGGCCTGCCGAGTAGCTGAGATTACGGGCATGTGTCACCACATCTGGCTAATTTTTATATTTTTAGTAGAGATGAGGTTTTACCGTGTTGGCCAGGCTGGTCTCAAACTCCTGACCTCAAATGATCCACCTGCCTTGGCCTCCCAAAGTGCTGGGATTACAAGTGAGAGCCACCACACCCAGCCCACATTTTAGTATATATTTCATAAACATTTGAAAAGAATGTGTAATGTATATTCTGCTATTGCTGAGTAGAGTATTCTATAAATGCATATTGATTGTGCTATTGAGTTCTTTCTTTGCTGACATTCTACATAGTTATCTATTAATTTTTGATAGAGTGATGATGAAGCTTTACACCATTTCTATTTCTATGGCTATTTCTCCTTTTAGTTCTATTAAATATGTTTCACGTATTTTGTAACTCTGTTATTTTGTAACTCATTTAGGATTGCTACATCTTCTTGGTGAATTGACCCTTTTATCATTATATGGTGTAATTCTCCGCCTCTGATAATCTTAATCTTTTTTGCTCTGAAGTCTAATTTATATGACATTAGTATAGCTACTTCTGCTCTATTTTGTTTTAATATTTACATGATGTATTTTCCCACTATTTTGTTTTTAATATACTTATAGCATTATCAAGGAAGTGAGTTTTTGTAGACAAGATAGAGTTTCTGGCATCCAGGAAGAATGAGGTACATAGACAAGTGAAGGGTGAAGAAGATGAAGAGGAGCTTTATTTAGTGTTAGAACAGCTCAGAGGAGACCTGCAGTGGGTAGCTCCTCTCTGTAGGCAGGTCGTCCTGTCAAGTGTTCAGCTCTCAGCAGAGAGGAGGCCCTGGAGAGGGTAGCTCCTCTCTGCAGGCTGGTCATCCTGTCATCTCTCTGTCCTCTGTCCTCTGCCCTGCTCTGGCTGAACCTGGGGCTTTTATGGACCTCAGAGGGGAGGAAGTGCATACAGATTGATCCACAGGTGACAACGGGCAGGCAGCAGGAGGCACTACAACTCCCTATTCTGGTCTGTGGACTGGCAGTCAAGCCCCCAGCCTTCAGCCTCTCCCTGGCCTGAAGGTGAGGCCTTACCCTGGACTATTGTTTTCCACCCAGGGATCTAGCTGACTCCTGCTGCCATTCATGGCCCCTGGCGCACATTGCCAACCCTGCTCCAAGACTGGAGCTGGCACAGGGAAAGGAGAGAGGCCAGACAACAGGAGCAGACACCTCTGAGCCTACAGGGATTGGGAAACCCTTCCTGGGCCCTGAGGACACAGGCTGCAGAGATGCCCAGGCCTTGCTCCTGGGAGGGCTGCTGCAGCAGCACTCGGGGAGCTTCTGCTCTGCAAACTCGGAAGGGGCAGGGCTTCCACTTGTCCCCAGCTCCTGTATACTCTGTGGAATGGGAGGCCCAGGTCTGCAGCCGTGGGTTGGGCACCCAGGAGGGCAGATCCCGCCCACTACCGGTTCCCCCCAAGAGCACAGAGAAGCTCGGATTCACAGCCACAGTTTGGGTGGCTACAGCTGCAGTTTGGGTCTGCAGCCTGTGGTTTGGGCAGCTGCAGCAGTACCCTAGGAGCTCCTGCCCCAACTCAGAAGGGATGGGGCTTCTACTGGCTCCATGGAGTGTGCAGCCCCAGCCGAGCCTCCCTGCTGCATCCATCATGTGCTGCCATCACTTTGGCTAGAAACAGCAACTTGTTATTATTGTCGTTTTCATCTATATCCAGTGACCATTCCAGGGTGCTGTCTTCTTCAGCTTCAGGTCTGGGGTATATGAGGCAAAAAGAAAGCCCAGGGAACTTGCCACCACGTTGTTCTGTGGGTCCTAAAGTCTCTAGCTTATCTGCCTTCTTCTCTTCAACTTTTACAGTCTTTGTATGTTGGTTTCATATGTAATGCCCAAGGATGTTTTAGCTGTAATTAGCAAAGAATAGTGAAATATTCATCTGCTCCATCTTCTCTACAGGAGAAACTTTCCAAACTTACAAACATATATTTCAAATATTTCATAATTAAAATAAGTACTAAAAAGTGAACAAGAACTTTGGGGAATTGGGGGTTAATACTAGGTGGAGGGGGGAAGCAGTGAGTTTGATGGAGACAGGGAGGAACGCCCAGCAACAGTGACAGGAAGGCACATGGAAGAGAGAACTGGTGAAACATTTTCCAGTAATGGAAACTGACAAGGTGAGAACTGCTTACAAGCAGAGCCAGGTTTTGAAGACTTTGGGGATACATGAAGAATGTTCTTGAACTGATCACTTCTATAGCAGAAACATGGGCGTCGCTTTGACCCTCAGGGCCTACTTTAACCTCTGTTCTCACCCTTTTGGAGTAACATAAAATGACAGTAATAGTTGAATCCATCGTATTATTTGAGAGTGACCCTCTGACCTAGAGGTCAAGCTTTTTGCTTACCCGTCTGATTAGAACATTCCATAATTTTTGAAGGAACTCATCTCCGGGCCCTTTCCATTAATTAGTCCAGCACTAGCAGATCCTTGAAGAGGAAAAACCAGTGTCGAAGGCTCTCAAATCCCTCTTTGGCGATTAGGAAGTGAGATAAGGAAGGGAAGCTTTTAACAACATGAGAGTCGTCCTGCAAGCTCCAGAGAAGCGGTTCTTTGCAATCTGAGAGGAGCCCAGCCACATGAGAAAAGCAAACAAACAAAAATACCTCTGTGATGCTTGGATTTTATAAAGTGCTGATATCTGATGGTTAATCTGCCTGGCCCTGCCAGAGAGGACAGTGTTAAATTGCCTTCTATTCTTGGGAAACTTAACTTGTCATTGTTAAGCCTGCCTGCATGAGAGCCTTTGAAACAAAATCTGGATGTATAGAAAAGTTGTCTAGGTTCAGGTTAGGTGAACTCTGCAGCAGTGGAAGTGGCCTGAGGTTAAGTGAAGCGTCCCCAAGCCAAGTGAGCTCTAGAGAAATCTGCTAGCTGGAAGGCACAGTCAGAAGACCCTTCAAAGTCTACAGAGGGAAACTAGGGGCATCTTTCGGACCTAAGGCCCTTCTACCTTCCATAGACTCCGGGGAGGTGGTGTGAGACAATGGTGATGCGCATAGCCTTTGAATACATTCACACTTCAGCCAGCTGGTGGTACATGAGAGAATGGCTCCATCTCTTCAGCTTCAGTTTCCACATCCATAAAATGGAAACAATTATGGGACCTGCTATCTCATTGACTGAGAGAATTCTTGCATTATACATGGGGAGTGTTCAATGAACAATAGTTGCTATTATTTTAAAAATCACTGGTCTAATAGAATGTTTACAGGGAGCCAAAAGAAACTCATAGAATTGAGACTAACCATTTCATTTTAGAGAAGGGGCAGCTGAGACTCAAAGATGTTGCCTATGATGCCCCCACACACCCCTCAAGGTCATATGGCTAGTTGGAGGCAGAGCTACCAAAAGAACACCATTCTCCTAAACTCTGTGGTCTCCTTCCCTGTTTTTTTCAATTGCCACATCAAATCGAGGTTATAGTTTGAACCTGATAAACATATTATCTGACTTTACAAGAAGTTTCTACTTTAATTTTTTTTTTTGAGACAGGGTCTTGCCCTGTCACCCAAACTGGCACAATCATAGCTCCCTGCAGCCTCAACATGCTCAGGTGATCCTACCTCAGCCTACCAAGTAGCTGGGACTACAGGCATGTGCCATCACACCCAGGAAATTTTTAAAATCTCTTTCTTTTTTCTTTTCTTTTTTTGAGACAGAGTCTTGCTCTATCACCCAGGCTGGAGTGCAGTGGCATGATCTCAGCTCACTGCAACCTCTGCTTCCCGGGTTCAAGCAATTCTCCTGCCTCAGCCTCCTGAGTAGCCAGGATTACAGGTGCCCACCATCACACCCGCCTAATTTTTGCATTTTTAGTAGAGGTTTCGCCATGTGGGCCAGGCTGGTCTCGAACTCCTGGGCTCAAGAAACCTTCCCTCCTTGGCCTTCCAAAGTCCTGGGATTGCAGGAGTGAGCCACCACACCCAGCTAAGATTGTTCTGTGTATGTTTTTTAACATGTGTCTCAAGAAAGTTGCACCAAATGAGAAACCAACAAAAAACTGAAAACGAAAATAATAACACTAAATGAAAACAACCGTCAAAAGAAGAGATCTAATTGCAAATACCAGAACCCATGTCTCATACAGAAGATCCAGCGTCTTGTCATAATCACATCGTGCATAATATCAGAGTCTTCCTTCTCTGTCTCGTGAGGTGAGTGATCCCACGTGCATTCTAATGCATGTTTTATTTCTCCATTGATTTTAATTAAAAGGATATTGTCAAGGTTGCTAGGCATAAATATTGACTGCTTTTGACACTACAGTTGTCCCAGAGGGTCAGGCTTGCTTTTTCAAGCTTCTTGAATCTCTTTCAGTTCCTTGGAGTCTCTTTTTGGTATGTTGGAAATTTCAAAAAAAATGGAACTATTAGGGCATGCCTGATAGTTTTTTTTTTTTTTTTTTTTTTTTTTTAATGCAGGTTGAAAAAGAAAAGAAAGGCCTGGTAATTTGGAATAATCATACACAAGTTAAATCTTGGGTCTTGAGTTAGCAAGAATGGTTGCATGAGTGGTAAAAATTACTGAAAATTACTTCCTATTCAATCAGTTTGGTCAGTGTATATGCTGATATATCTCCAAAATATCATATAGACATCATTAGTGCTTTTAACAAACCAAAGAGATATGTTCTTTTAAAAGAGAATTTTACTAAAAGAGATTCCTAGTGTCCCAACCCCAAACCCTTCACCCAGGCCTGAGTTCCTTTGTAATTTCTAAATGATCACAGCTCCCTTGCCTAAGTAGGCTGTCAATTCAGCACTGATGAACATTTCTATCCGGGAACTGGAAGGGCTTGAGATGGTGCTGGCATTTCAGGGTTAATTCTAGCAGAGTCTAAAGCAGCAGGGGTTTAAAGAGGCCCAACAATATATCAGGAAGAGGTGGACTGCCGAGAATAAGTGGTGTAAAATGCATTATGAACATTCTCAGCAAAGAGAAATTGTCTTTTTCTTGTTGATAGTAGAAAATCAATACAGTTGTTTTCTGTTCAGTTTTCAAGGGCACAAGTTGCTGCTACTTCAGGCTTGAGAAGTTCATAGGGTGGTTAACGAAATGTCAGCAGTGATTGAGCAGTTCAAGCAAAATTGACATCCCTCTGCCATAAGTCTACCCTAAGTGAACTGGCAGCCACGGGGGATGGCAGAGCATCCCAGGGCCACAGGGAGCAGGTGGGTTAACGCGTCAAGCTAAAAGAATAATTGCTGGCCCCACACAACAGGTGGAAAGACAATTCACGTTGGTATTCTCCTTGGTTTGGGTAGCTGGCGTGAGGAAAGAAGAAAGACTCTGATCAGTAGAAGGGCTGCCCAGAAGCCGATAGAACTCCAGTTACCCTAGGACTGTGTGCAATCTCTTTTCCTCATCCCATCTGGCAGCATGGGGATTCTTTTCTTTCTTGGCACTGTCTGGCTTGTCATATATATTATTTTCCCTTCTCTCCAGATGCCCTTCCTTCCCTACTTTTTCTACTTTCCATCTCTAAGCCACCTTTTCTAAGTAGCTGAAGGTCATTACTCAGCATCCACGGTGGTTAAGAGGCAATCTCTGGAGATCCAAAGCCCTTTAAATGGTTTGGGTCTGTGTTCCCATCCAATTCTCATCCCAAATAATAATCCCCATGTGTCAGAGGAGAGGCCGGATGGGAGACCATTGGATCACTGGGGCTAATTTCCCTTTTGCTGTTCTCATGATAGTGAGTTCTCATGATATCTGATGGGTTTAAATTGTGGCCCTCCCCTCCTTGCTCTCTCTCTCTCCTACTGGCTGCCTTGTGAGAAGGTGCTTACTTCACCTTCACCTTCTGCCATGACTGTAAGTTTCCTGAGGCCTCCCAAGCCATGTGGAACTGTGAGTCAATTAAACCTGTTTTCTTTATAAATTACCCAGTCTCAGGTAGTTATTTATAGCAATGTGAAAATAGGACAGTACAATCCTGAATTGATCATTTAGTAAAAATGTTTCTTGAGCCACTCCCCCAGCCCCAAGCCTCAGTTTCTTCAACTGTAAAATGGGTGATAATTTTCCTCACTTTATGAGAATAAGGTGCTCACTCAGTCCTGCAAGTACAGGGTTGATGGCTGAGAGTGAGCACTTCCTTAAATTTTGTGCCCAAGACACCTCACTCATCTCACTTTCATAGTAACCTTGTTGCAATAACATTGTAAGTTAACCTGTTGATCTCCTTAAAATGTTTTGCACATTGAGTGATTATGACCTTTCATTTGTATAAATGTTCACAATTTTGCCAAAACACATTCCCAGACAATCTTCTGACTGTTTTGGGCTTTATCACTTGCTTCCTTTTCCCCTCCACTCTGACTACTGGCAGATAAAACAGTCTTTCTTCTACACCATGCACTTTAGCAGTTAGCGCAGAAACAGTCACACAGGAGGCACTCACAGAATAGACTTGGGCTAAAAGAAAAAGGTAATGAATAGTCTTTGTTTCACCAGATTACCAAAGGACTATGTAAATATTTCAATCTCTTACTCCTACCCAGTTCTATAGACAATGGGTCAACAGAACTTTTATGAACAGATGAAGAAACTATGTCTACAGTACCTCTGTGAAGCAGTGTTAAGTCCCAACATGGTCAGGGATATTTCCTTTTTCTTCGAATACGATGACTGGGTCTTGATTCAAAGGCACTGTTTGGGAGCAGCATGTCTGCATGGGAACAAGCACATATACATACTCACATGTATGTTTGTACACAGAAGCACGCATCGGTTTCTACGCATGTGATATAGTTAAATGATGGTCAAGACAGTGATTTAAATTTGCCTGAGCTCCAGGGTCTCTGCATGACACACAATCCAGGATGGAAGGCTTAGTCTCATGAAAGACCAATAGAAATAAAATACAATGAGATACAGAAATGCAAAATCATCCAAATACGGCTGCTTCCTCCTTCCTTAAATGTTTTCCTATGCATGTGAATCTCTCTCCTACCGGGTACCAGCCACCCCCTCACCATGGCATTTTAGAAAGGCGAAATAGATAAAAAAGGCTAGTCTCAAAAGAAAATGAGGACATCCTCTTAAAAAATGACCTAAAGCAGAATCCTTATTGCTAAAGCTCTTCTGATGTTTCATTTTTTTTTTTTAAAGCCAAGGCATTGTAATTTAGTCAGTTAGGAAAATCCCTGAGCAGTTTCCTTAACTTTTCTGTGGCTAAGAAGCATTTCCTTTTTTTTTTTTTTCTTGTTGGGTGTGGAAAGTTAGAGGGTATATCTTTGTCTTTTCTCCATACCCAATTTTCCAAGACTAAGAAATGGGACATCAAAGGGCTCATTGAAATAGATAAAATGCTCCGTCAAATAGCTCTAATAAAACAACATCTTGATGATTCTTGAGAAAATGGATCAGAGCATATGGACTCAATTTCCCTTGGAAAAATCTATTGGGAAAAAGAAAACCAAGTGGCGTGGGTGAAGTGTTTTCAGTATTTTATTCTTTCCAATTCTGAAATGTAGCTCTAATTCTCTGTCAATTAAGGAAGCCCATTGGGATTTGATACCCACTCTGGATCTACGTTATATTTTGACTTCCAATGAGTCTAGAAAAATAAATTGAGGAAGTACAAAAGGATGACAGCTTAGCAATAATATATCTTTAAAACCCTCACTGCATTTTTATCTAAACACAAAAATTTGGTGTGGGGAGGGAGGACGGGGAGAGGGGAGAAGGATTGCAGAAAGAACTTGGAGTTTGCAGTTTGTAACCTTTTGTTCTAGGCCTTCCATCTTCAAATGTCATCAGCTCTGAAATGATCACTAATCTTCACTATATCTCTTGCAATTGTTGACCATTCTTTTGTTTGGTGTCAATTAGATAGGAAAGAATTTTCAATAATTCAATAGTTCTGTATTAAAGGGCAGCTCAACTGCACATAACTTATCTCCTTGGTTATCAATTGTTTTTATGGAACAGCCCAGGGAAGATCACTTGGCTAACTCACCATCCATCCATCAGGGCTCAGATTCATCTGAGTAAATGTAGAGTTATGATTTAATTTCCAAAAGGTTGGGTTCAAATACAACAGAATGAGACTTGTTTATAGAATGATGGCTTGTTTTTCTCAGTTACTAATTGTGAGCTTAATTTTTAATGGAAGAGCATTGCTAGCATAATTAACACCCAATTTACATGTGCATCCATAGAACCAATTAATTAAATTTTATTGATGCCTAGTTGCTCTTTAAAATGCTTTCCAAATGCCTCCAAATTGATTTTAAACTGTTGATAGTGGAAGTCAGTTTACACTTTTCTTGGGTTTATGAAATACTAACCTCTTCATTCATTAAAATATGTTTTATCTACTAGACACATTCCATAATTTGCTAAGGATATTTTGCATGGAGTGCATAGTGTGGGCTGATGGCACTGCCAGTTTGAACAGTGTTTAAAACAAATGCTATAGTACTTGGGGACTACAGTTAGATGGCCCCAAGGATCTGAAAATGAAGAAAGAGTACCCTCTGAAAACAGAGCAGAGATAGGCAAAGTCAACTGAAAAAGACAAGAAAATCTCCCAGAACATCCAGGGGAGACTTAACGTGGAGATTTTCGTGCATCTAAAGAAAAAGTGTTTTACCCCTAAAAGGCTGATCAGCAATGAAAGCTTTGAAGAGGAGGGCTCTAGAATGTAATTCAATGTTGCAGAGACATACACACACTTTGGGAGATAAACTTGACTTTATCTTTTTGACTTTTTGATTCCTGGGATGACAATCATTACTGCAAATTAAAATCTCTGGCAGTCTCAATCCAATGCCAATAGATATTAACTTCACAGAAGTCCTGTTCTTCTTTGTCAAAAAACATGTGTATAAATTTTTGGGGTACAAGGGCAACTTTGTTGCATGGATAAATTGCATAGTGGCGAAGTCAGGGCTTTTAGGGTATGCATCACCCAAATAACATACATTGTACCCATTAAGTATTTCTCATCATCCACTGCCTCCCACCCTCTCATCCTTCCAAGTCTCCACTGTCTATCATAAGTCCTCCTCTTCTTTTCACCAAGAAGTCCTCTGAATATAATATGGCTTCCATGTGGAGACATAAATATGTTAACAAAGAAGAAATGAGCTGCCCCTAAAGAGGACTTCAAGTGTTTTGAATCCCTGTGATGGTGACTTTGTATGGTCAATGAATCAAAACACATTTGGATCACATTAAGCTCCACTAGATGGAAAGAATGACCAAGCATCTTTGGCAGCTCTTCCTTTTTATGAACTCTCCAAAAACAAAGCTCCAAATATTGCTCAGATATGATTGTTGTCCTCGTGTCTATTACCTTTATCAAGGGAGCTTACTGTCTTGCCTGGGCTATTTCAGTAACCTCTTAATGGTTGGACTCACCTCCAGCCTGGATGCCTTCAGTCTGCTCTCTGTACTGTGGGTGGCATGATTATGTGAATGGCCACCCCTGCCCCCTCAACATGCACACACACACACACACACACACACAGCTCCCACACCACTATACATGATTAATCCTTCAATGTCTTCTAATGCTCTCAAGCTCAAGGCAAACTTGCTTAACATGTCAACACTGCCCTATATGGGCAGGCCACTACCTATCCACCTATTCCTAGCATGTCACATGTACACTCCTGTCTCTGCTCCAGCCACTCCGGTCTTCAATTCCTTGTGCAAACAATCCCCTCTATTGCTATAGGGCCTGTCAAAGTATCATTTTATAAAGGTGATGAACAAGGCTTTTATGCAAATACAAAGTAAACAGGTACAAAGATTTATTTAACTCATTAAAGAGGAAACCAGGAGTGTTTGAGAACTGTGTGTTTATCAGCACAGGAAAAAAAGTTAGAATAAGATTGCTAGTTTAGGTAAGAAAGTGGTTAATGGATTAGGACTACAGCACTATGAAATCATAACCTTTATTTTCTTTTTTTTTACCAGCAAAAATCATTTGCATCTCTTGCAGACAAAAATAACTTTAAATTAATCATGACTTCCCAGGGTCTGGGCCTTAGTCAATAGTAAAGAAAATGGCAAAGGTGGGTTCTCCTAGAACAGGGATTGGTGAACTATGGCCCACAGGCCAAATGAAGCTTGTGGACCACTTTTGTACAACTTGAGAGCAAAGGATGTTTTTTTTTTTTTCTTTTTTACATTTTTAAAGGATTGTGAAGACAATCCTGCCAAACAGGCCATAGCTTACTCCTGTTAACCCAGCACTTTGGGAAGCCTCAGTAGAAGGATCACTTGAACCTGGGAGTTCCAGACCAGCTTGGGAAACATAGTGAGACCTTGTCTCTAAAAAAAATAAAAATAAATTAGCCGGGCATGGTGGTGCGCGCCTTGTAGTCCCAGCTACTTGGGAAGCTGAGGTGGGAGGATGGCTTAGGCTGGGGAGGTCAAGGCTATGGTAAGCCGTGATTGCGCTGCTGGACTCTAGCCTGGGTGATAGTGAGACCTTGTCTCAAAACAAACAAACAATCACCCCAAACAAATAAGAATACTTCACAGAAATACATATGGCTCTGTTTTAAAATAAAGTTTGAAATATTTACTCTCTGGGCCTTTACATAAAAAATTTGCTGGCCCTGAGCTGGAAAATTAAATAATCCTCAGATGAGCCTTTTAACCAGCACTCCATTGTGACTTTGAAAAGACAAGCATCTATCCTTTTGCCTTACTTCCAAGGTTTTGGGCATTTTTTAAAAATAGCCTTTGCAGTTATAACCTTTCTGTGTAGAATGTCTTTCCCTCCCTCTTCCCCAAGTTTACTCCTTTTGCAGATGTCAGCTCCAAGGCCATTTCCTCAAAGTTTTCCCTGACTTCGAGACTGAGCCGTATTGCTCTATCTCTAGGCTCTCTTGGCATCGTGAACCTTCCTGTAGCAGCATGCGTCATTGTTACAGCTCTGTTTGGGGGATTATTTGATTAATATCTGTCCCCCCACTAGTATGCTGTCTCCATGAAGATAATGACAATGTCTGTTTTATTTTCCATTTTCTGCTGTGTCTGTAGTATCAAGATAGTGTCTGGCTGTCAGTAGGCAGATAATAAATATATGTTAAATACATGAACAAATGTATGACATTATTACGGTTCAAATTAGTGTTCTGGTGTGTAACTCAACTGTGTGTGTGTGTGTCAGTGGTCTTGAATCAGTTTCTCACTTTTAGGAACCCTTAGACATTGATACGTATGATTATTTGGGCTTTTTAAATACAAAATTAATGCAAGAGATGTCATAAAATAATCAAAAGGTACCCAGTGAATCCTTCCTCAGTCTCAGCCAACTTTTCTCAGGCTTAGATGATTAGTAGTTTTCTCCTAAAAACTACTGATTGCCATAAATGGGTGAAGACATGGACTGGGATTGTATCAAGGGAGCTTTCATGGTATAATCAATGCTAACACCTTGTAAAAGAGGAGCAACACCCCATATTAAGCTGTGACCATGGAATATTATCCAATACACCAAGGAACACTGGAATTAAAATAAAAATAGCACATGTTAATATGGAGACTTTCATGAGTTTCTCAACAATATGTGTAAGTTTGTATTTGTATGTGTTTTCTGGTCTCCCTGTGAGTAAAGCTGATGATTGTAAAAATGGCATCACTTCACTGTAAGATTATTTAGAATTTAGTGTAAAGCTACTGGAATGTAAATTGCTTTCCTTTGGCTTAGCACTAGGTATAGATCTGAACTTAATAAATATTTGGGAACTCAAGAGTTTCACTTGAATTTATTTTCAAGAGGTCAAAGACCAGTGAAATTTGGTAAGTTCATGGGATTTGGAGGTGAAAGCCTCCTGAGAAATTCTGTGGCTTATATGGTTAGCTCTCTTTGGAAAACAGAGAGAGATGGCATCACCAGAAACTTCTGCTGGAAGTAAAGGAATTGGGATGTTGAATCTAGACCCATAAGCCCCTTGAAAATATCCTTGAGGTATGAGTTTAGTTGCTTTGCTGAGTCACCATCAAAAGGCCCAGTAGTTTGCATGACTCAGAGGCATTAACTCCAAAACGTTAAGACTAAAGTGAAAACCTAATGGAAAATCACACAATTTGTGGCATGATCAATCTGGGTTTTCTTCCTGCTACTTATACTACAATATTGGACAAGATACTTATTCACTAAGCTTTGGTTTTATTATTTGTAAAGTTGATGTGAAAATATCATAATCATGTATCATTGCTAATATTTTTGAGGAAATCATATGTAAGACATCTAGCAAAGTGCCTGGCCCTTAGCGGGTGTTCAATGAGAATAACTACCTTTTGTTTGGCTCTTATTATGTGTTTAACCTTGCACCACTTACTTTACTTAAAATAAAACATAAATTGAAATATCAGGGAGAATAGTTATTTGACAAATAAGAAAATTAAATCAATGGGGTCTGATGGACAGCATAATGGCAGAATTGAAATGTAAACACATGTTTTCAAAGTCATTCCTTTTCTGCTGCATCTTATAGCCCCTTAGAAAATGTCAGTTTTCTTCTTTTCACCCTTCAGCTTAAGGAGAGTGTGTTCTGGGATCTCAGCCCCAGAGCCCACAGACTTACTAGTCAGTTTCTAGCTAATTTCTAACAAGTTCCCGAGGACCACAGTTGAAGAACCTTTGCCCTATGGTATTGTGGAGCAAGAAATGGAAGAAACCTGGGCCCCTGAATGACCACATGGAGCAGAGCTACCCATGATATAGAGATCCATTCTCCTGAGGACTTTTATGCAAGAGCATAATCTTCGGTCTCCTTTAAGCTACTGAATTTGGGGGTCTTTGCTCATGTTTTTTTTTTTCCAGTCTTTCATCCCAATTCTGTCTCAGATTTAAGACCAAGTTAAGTCCCACCTTTCCCTGTTGCTTCACTACACTGGGATTTTCTCTTTGTTGAACTTCTATCATACTTAGAGTCTATCACAAATCATACCAATTTGTTCTCCAATTGTTCCAAAAACGTTAATGCCATCTCTTTCCTTCAATATACTTTTCTATGTCTTTCATTCTGTTCAGCACAATTCTGAACATATGGTAGATGCTCAGTAAATAGCTATCAATTAATATTTTAGTTAACTGAGAATCCACATATACACTATAAACAAATAATCCTCTTTTAATTAAAAAAATGCATGTATTAAAACTGCCTCAAAACACACTCTGCTTCCTTTAGTGACTCAGAGGGCAAGAAATTAAGTAGTATTGTTTTTATTTTATAAGGCATCTCTCATGCATTGCATTTACAATCCACAGACTGGTGACGAGAACTGACCACAGAGTATATACATGCAATGTGCCAATGTGCCTCTTCAGAAGACAAGTAGGTTTGAAGTTAACAAAGAGATACAATCCTTATTAGCATGGGCATATCTCCACTAATATTTATCATGTATGGTTAAATGGTAAAGCCGCTACACATAGATCTTTTGTTTAACTATACTTAACTTCAAAGCCTTAAATTGTTGGAGATGGAAAAAGAAATCTCAACCTCTTATTTGAATTGTCCCTGATTTTAATCACAGAACATCGGCATTAACATAATAGAAGTTCCAGTTACTAAACTATCATCTTCCTCCCACGAGTGAGTTGTCCTTGGACTTAGGCATCATTCCAAATAAAGGCTAGGGCAAATCCCACATTACTTTTTATCTTTTCATGATAAAGGACACAAATTTTATTTTATAATCAAGTAAAAACTTTATAGCTTAGTTTAATTTCTCTTAAGTGTATCACAAATGATGAGTATTGACAATAAAAAGTAGTCCCTATATTATTTTATGCATATGGTAACTGAAAAAGAGTCAGAATTTTATTCAATATGCAGATTGTTTGCGAGATCCTAAATGAAATGAGGCAATATACTTGAATAAGTGCACAATCACACATTTATAAATACATATTAATTTTTGTATACTTTTTGTTCATGTAGTGTACATGGAAGAGAGTAAAGTTACATTCAATAGAGGATTTGTATCCAGAATAAATAAATAATTCCCACATGTGAATAAGCAAAAATATCCAAACAAAACATAAAATGGGCAAAAGACCTGAATTCTCATTTGTGAATGTTTGATGGGACAAGCATTCAGAAAGGAAGATATAAAATAACCAATAATCATATTGGACAACAGATACATTCAAATTAAAACCATGATAAGGGCTGGGCACGGTGGCTCATGCCTGTAATCCCAGCACTTTGGGAGGCTGAGGCAGGTGGATCACGAGGTCAGGAGTTCGAAAGGAGTCTGGCCAACATAGCGAAACCCTGTCTCTACTAACAATACAAAAATTATCCATGTATGGTGGTGGGGGCCTGATATCCCAGCTACTCGGGAGGCTGAGGCATAAGAATCACTTGAACCTGGGAGGCAGAGTTTGCAGTGAGCCAAAATCGCACCACTGCACTCCAGACTGGGCAACAGAGCGAGACTCCATCTCAAAAAAACAAAACAAAACAAAACAAGAATACAAAAACCACAATAAGATATCACCACATGGCCACCAGAATGGCTAAAACTAAAAAATAACCCTGACATACCAAGTGTTGACATTGTTGATGGCATATGATGGGAGCCGACGCAGCCAACCTGTGATGCGTGCAATGACAAAGCATGAGACTAATCCTGATGTGCCCAGGACAGAGCTGCAGACTGATAGGAGCTAGTTCCTCAGAGCAATGTTGGCCGTATTTCTGAGGCTCTGAACCAACACAAGCTCTCACTTCTCCCTGGATCTCTTGGTATGGAAAAACATAAATCAGTGGACAGATAGCTAGATAGACTATCTTCTGTTTAAGCTGCTGTTGGGTCAGGTTTTCTATTATTGGCAGCTGGATCAATTCCTCACCTATTCAGAGATGTTACTAATTGAAAATGGAACTGTGTCCTCTAATTCTTTCTTCATTGGCTTTAGATTTCTTCTAAAGGAAGCACCCTTTCTTTCAGTCCCTTGAACATCCCCTAGCTCATTTCTGACTCTCAAACTTAATCTCTGAATGGCAATTTAAATTGTAATCCATACAGTAGAGTACTACTTGGCAATAGAAAGAAGTAAACTTTGATACACACAGTAACTTCGATGGATCAAAAGTAACATAATGGAGTGAAAGAAGCCAGATTACAAATGCACACTGTATGATCCCATGTATACACAATTCTAAAAAATGCAAACCAACCCTTATAGAGGCAAGAGGGAAGGATTACAACAAGGCACGAGGAAATGTTTGGGGGCAATGGATATGGTCCACATGTGTCACATGTGCAAATATATGTTAAAGTTTATTAAATTATACACTTTAAAAAATTGTAATGCATTATAATGCATTTTCTCTCCTTACTAATTTGTACTTATTTGCAGATTTCTTGGACTATCCATATTACCTTACAAAGAAAACTGAGGGAAGTGTAGGAAACAAGGACAAAGAAAAAGGAACAAAAACCTGAGTTCCTACTGGCTAGATGTAACAGCTGTCAACTTTGAGATATCTATATTCTTCCCATCATTTCTGAATGCATACAAGCACATATATAAGCACACGAATGTCTCCCTCACTGAGGTACTCTCAGTACCAAGCATTGTGAGATGTGCTGTGGGAAGAGGTTCTGACAATTATATACTCACAACCCGACTACCAGAGTTCAGATAGATCTTGGCTGTGTTACCTGGGACAAATTTTCTAACTTCTTTGTGTCTCAGTTTCCTCATCCCATATCGATGGGATGAGGAAGCAAAATAATTGTGCCTAGGGTGGTTGTGAGTAGTGAATGAGTTATATATATAAAAAGGTTTTAAAATGCATGGCCTATATAAGTGTGAGGTAGGAGTAATTACTCGGAAGTCAGTATTTGTCAAATGAATTATCCATCGCCATTCTTTTAATAGTAAATCAAAAATAGGTGGATAGACTAAGGGAGAGAATCTGGTCCTCAGAGTTTTAGTGGATGAGCAAGCAGAAATTCCTTCCTTAAATAAAGTCATACGATGCACTAACCAGGCTCTATACCTTTCTCTTACTGCAATGGGTGGCCTGGAGAGGATGAAATGTATGTGTGTGTGTGAGAGAGAGAGAGAGATTTGTGTGTGTGTTTGTGTTATGTGTGTGGTGTCATTATTTTCTTAGACACATGATTTGACCTGGGCTGTGGTCAAAGCCTGATAAATAACAAGCTAGGATTAAATGTAATTGTGTGTCCTAAGTACCTTAAGAGGCAAAGCGCTGATGAGGGAGATGTCACTCTTCTGGCATCCTCTTGCGAGCCAGCCTTTTTCTCCGGAGAATCTGATGATGGTGAGTTCATGGGCAGCACAGAGAACATATTGACCAACCAACCATGAGAAATATATCAAGATTTATCATCTCTTGGAGTAAAAAATTGACCCCAATTTAACCTCTATTAATATTTATTTCTCAGGTCAATAAATCTAGAATTTGTCTTAGTAAAAGTCAATATCAGTTGAATTCTGCCTACACTTCTTAGGGGGCAAAGAAGAAAGGGGAACTGTAATTTGAACATGTTAACAATAAAATAATAAAGCCACACACAAAATTCCCAGGGTGGGGAGAAACCCACAACACTCCTGCCACTTCTGATTTTAAAACAAATAGACATTCCACCCCAAACATAAATTGCCTCGATTCCACAATTCACATCTCTGGTGGAATAAGAGGCCAACCACAGGGAAGAGGCATGGAGCCTATAATGCTCAGACACCAGAGACTTTTCACCCATCCTCTCACTGCACTCAGTCACTGTTTCCTAATCTTAAAAAGAAAAAAAAAAAAATCCGGCAGGTTTGGTGGCTCAGGCCTGTAATCTCAGCACTTTGGGAGGCCAAGGCGGGCGAATCACGAGGTCAGCAGATCGAGACCATCCTGGCTAACACAGTTACAAAAACAAAATTAACTGGGCGTGGTAGTGGGCGCCTGTAGTCTCAGCTATTTGGGAGCCTGAGGTGGGAGAATGGCGTGAACCCGGGAGGCAGAGCTTGCAGTGGGCCAAGATCAGGCCACTGCACTCCAACCTGGACAACAGAGCGAGACTCCGTCTCAAAAACAAAAAACAAAAAACAAAAACCCCAAACTATATATGCCTATCAATGTTGTTTTGTTCATTGTGCTTTTCACTCAAGAATTTCATCTCTTTTAGACCAGGTAGTCATCTTTCTTTTGTATGCATTTTACTGACTCTTACTGAAAAAAAGGTAAAATGATGTGACTATATTATGTTTTAAGGAAAACATAAATTATTCTTCGTGTTGGACCTCATTTATTTTTATTCATTTATTTATTTTTTCAACGTTTATTTTAGGTTCAAGGGAGTACATTCCTTGTTGCTGAGGTTTGGTACACAATGATCCTGTCACCCAGGTAGTGAGCATAGTACTTGATAGGCCATTTTTCAGCCCTTGCCCTCCTCCCACTCTCCCTCTTCAGTAGCCCCTGGTGTCTATTGTGCTCCTCTTTATGTCCATGTCTACTCAATGTTTAGCTTCCACTTGTAAGTGAGAATATGTGGTATTTGGTTTTCTGCTTCTGCATTAATTTGCTTAGGATAATGGCCTCTAGTTGCATCTGTGATGCTGCAAAAGACATGATTCTATTCCATTTTTATGGCTGTGTAGAATTTCATGGTGTATACGTAACACATTTTCTTTATCCAGTTCACTGTTGATGAGCACCTAGGTTTATTCCATGTGTTTGCTGTTGTGAATAGTGCTGTGGTGAACATACAAGTGCATATGTCTTTTTGGTAGAATGATTTCTTTTCCTTTGGGTGTGTATCTACTAATGGGATTGCTGGATTGAATGGTAATTCTGCGAAAAGATAAAACTTGAAAATAACTAAGGGCTAATATGTGAAGCCAGCAAATCTTCCTTCCATCCTTTCTTCACACTGCCGTGTGCCCCATGATGCTTTGTGTGGGAGGGGTATTTAGATGTCAACAACCACATGTTTGATCATTAGCTTTCATATCTCTTGCCAACCTACAAAATCTTCTCTACCTCTCATCCATTACGTGATTCTCATTATTTTCTTTTTCTCCTGGAGAGTAAACTTTAGCCCTCTTGGGACCGTCCTTCTTCCTATGCCTCACAGCATCCTCTATTACCCATGCTTTGCTATCTAATTCCTACCCAGACTATCGACAAGAAACACCATGAAACTCAAACGATGCAATAGTTGAAAAAACATATTGTAAATGTAAGACATCAGACACCTATGAGGGCTTTTAATATTTTTAATTCTCCTGGGTTAATCAACATATTTCAGGACTGGCGTCAAATAGAGTGGTGTACAGCAGGCACTAAAGGTTGGGTTTTCATGACTTCACTACATACTTGAATCAGGTAGCAGATAAATGGAATAGGGAGTGTGTGCTTCTCTTACCACACTTTCTGAATTAGCCACGTCATCTCTTCCATTATTGCATTTTTTTATCAATGTTCTTTATTTCCTTCAGAGAACTTATGATGGCATTCTATTGTTTTAGTTGTTTGTTTACCTATTTATTATTATATGAAAATGCAAGTTTAGAGGTTTGGTCTTGCTATGTTACCCAGGCTGAACTTGTACTCTTGGGCTCAAGTGATTCTTCTGCCTCAGCCTCCAGAGTAGCTGGGAGTACAGGTGCATGCCACCACACCTGGCTCATGTGTTACATTTTCTGCTCAGTAAATATTTATTGAAAGAATGAATAAAAAAAGAGTGAATAAATGAATATATGAATAAATATTTTAAAAATAAAGTAATAGATTGAATTAATAGCTCCAATTCTTCATTTTATCCTCTCTACATGCCCTTTGCTGTGTGACTTTGAGGTTCCTCCACAAAAGGGGAGAGGTATATTTTGCAACCCTTGGCTCTTGGCTTGGCCACGTGACTTACTTTGATCAGTAGCATGAGACAGAAGTGATGATGTGCCAGGTTGAAGCCCAGACCTCAAGAGGCCCCATTGTTTCTGCTTGATCCCTTTCACTTCTACTAATGCCATGAGAAGGGCATGCCTTTGCTCTCAGGAGAGGATGAGAGACTTGTGGTGCAGAGCCGCCTACAACCCATTAGTCTAGATCAGCTGACTCCCAGGCATTCGTGGCTGTTTTAGGCCACTGCGGCATGGGGTTATTACATAGCAATACTGCTGATATAATAAATAAGACAATTAACAATGGTAATCATGCTTATATTAACTTAAACCACCTGTATCTAGGTAATGAGCTTGGTTCCTGGAATGCAGATCAAACACTTCTAGAATTGTGATTTTTGGATATGGGGCTTTCAAGATCACTTCATGAAGGCACAGAATTAGGAAATTCCAGAGGCAAGCATAGAGTCCTTATCGCAGCTCTTCTCTCTTTCCTCCTCCCACCGCTTCCCTACACACATATAGTTGCCTTAGGAATGAATATTATGCTAGCTGGATCCAGAGCTGAGATTTCTGATGGGACCTTGCATTATATATAGCAGAAACCGGAATCTTTCCAATCACTCGACTGAAGGAAAACAAATTGTGCTTTGTTATTTGCATTTGTTTTTGCATTCCCACCATTTATGAGATTGAGCAAAGCTAATCTGACAAACATTTATTCATCTTCTGTAATGAAATTGTAAAGAATGGTGTGAATTTCTTTCTGCAGGCCTCTCAGAACATCATTTTCTAAATGTGTGTGTGTGTGTGTTTTTTAATCACCTAAAATGTTTATCTGCCCTGAAGTTTTAAGACTGAAAACTTGGCATTCCAAATCATCATGAAGAAAACCATAATAAATTTACTATTAATTGGAGAGTCAGGAAAGTAGATTATAGAAATACCCAATCTTTTTTATCAACCTTTTATATTATAACTACCCATTTTTCTTATTATCTGGCATCCAACATTTGGTTTTTGGGCACAAACAATGTTAGCACTTATGCATTTAATTTACTTTCTGGAATCTCCTTTTTGTTTGGTTCTTAGAGCATTTTTAAGAAATATCTCTGGCTTCCATCTAAACTGATAATGCTTTAAAACTTTATAACATTTTAATTTAACTAATGTTGCTATGACAATAGTGATGTTTCTAAAATGATTTTCTGAGTTCAAGAGGTAAAACAGTAAGCATGAAGTCACTTCATGACTGAGAAGTTAGAGAAAAACCCAGACTGATAGTGCCATATGAAACTTTTCTCAGAAAGTGATGTGCATGTAGGGAAAGAGGTTGGAAGGCTTGAAAAACGGGCCCCGAGGCCCTCACCAGAAGCAGATTCCCAATCTTTAACTTTCTTTTTTGGATCAAAATCATGATCCAAAAATAAACCTTTTTTCTTTATAAATTACTCAGCCTTGGGTATTCTAACAACACAAAATGAACCAAGACAGTTACTAAATTTTATTTTCCAACTTTAACATGCTGTGCATATTCAGAAAGAGCTTTGCAGGCAGCTTTATCCAAAGTCCCAAGCTTGGCTTCTATTGCCTCATCATAAGTCACATGCTCATCCCTGAATGAAACCATATGGCCAAGAGGATGAGTTCCTCTGATTGGCCAGTCTCCCATTTCTTGTTGTTTCCTAGAGGCCGGAGAAGATCAGCCCCAACTGAATTATATATAGAAAGGGGACGGGTAGTTCCCCAAAGAGAGATTGCTATTATTATCAGAATTAAGCAAACAAAAACTCTTGCTAATAATGTTTTTTCTATTATCTGGGTCTAAAGAAAAAAAAAGCACTATAGCACTATTTGGGTAGTATTGGCTCTCACAATAGACTTAGTTATTTCTGTATGTCCTCATTCCTCCATGCTATGATTTTAATGTTTGTGTCCCCCCATTATTAATATGTTAAATCCTTACCCTCAAAGTGATGATATTCAGAGGTGTTGCCTTTGGGAGGTAATTAGGTCATGAAGGTGTCACCTTCATAAATGGAATTTATGCTCTTACAAAAGAGACCTGACAGGGATCTCCTGTTACTTCCACTATGTGAAGATGTCACCAGATGGCACTGTCTTTAAGCCAGAAAGTGGGCCCTTACCTGACACCAAATCTGCTTTGCTCTTGGACTTCCCAGCCTCCACAACTGTGAGAAATAAATTTCTGTAATTTATAAACCATCTAGTTTATGTTATTTTGTTATGGCAACTTAAGGGACTGATACATTCCATAGTAGATTAGTGTAACTACGGCCTTATTTTGTCCTTATAGTGGAAAGAGTACCCTTACCTGCTTCTTACTTTGAGTTTGGCCATGGGATTTACTTTGGCCAATGGAACATTGGTAGATATGACAAGCATAGAAGTTTGACATGTGTCAGTATGTTTGGCTTGTGGTCTTAACTCCTGCCACCACCATGAGAAGAGCGTGTCTCAGGTACCTGCCAACTTCGGGAGAGTAGAGAAATGGAGAACATACCTGAATCTAATTTGCCGCCCCGGACCAGGCCCAGCTAGGTTCAGACAAGATCAGCTCAACTCCAATCAAACTACAGATGGATGAATGAGAAATAAAGCTTATTATTAAGTGCCATTGAGACTTTATGGCTCTTTGTTACATCGTAATAGCCAACAAAGATGCCTTCTCACTCACATCTAGCCATGTAGAGGAATGAGGAATTGGAACATACTAGATTGTTTCTGTCTGCTAGTGGCATTTACTGGAAAACCATCCATCTTCCTTCTCCTTTGTCAGTCTGGACACCATCCACGAAGTGAGTAAAACTGATTTCTAATTTGGTTGAGTAATTTCTCACCATTATTCCCCCAAATTAGATTTTACTTCATTGTCTCCTTTTCTATAAACTTCCCCCAGACTCTAAGAGTTTATAATTTGTGTTCTGAAGTATTTGACGTTGAACACGATGCTATAAATAATCCACCGCTCTGAGCATGTTCAATAAGACTTACAACACTATTATTATGACTACACTTAGGCATTTACAAATTTGCCTTGAAATAGAGATTTATCAGGGGTTTCAGCTGCTCAGTGATGGAACAATATTAATGTCTTCACAAGGACAAATGAGTTAATCCAATCTTTCTATATGCTTGGAGACTGGCGATCTCAGTTTGGACAGCTGGGTTTCTAGATACAGTAACTTCTCTGTTACATGGAAAGGCTGGGGGATGGGCTGTTTTCATTTTGTGTGTGTGTGTGTGTGTGTGTGTGTGTTTGTATGTTATAATTGTTATACAGGGCTTGAGGTTGCAGAGAAAAAAGCCACTGAGATAGGCTTTCCATTTAGTCTGAGGTGCAGATATTCGAAGAATATCTGCAGGAAAAGGGGCAGAAGTGTGGACCCTAAAGGAACATCATCAGCTCCGCAGTCTTGTCCACACAAAGCCGTATTTTCCTCAGTGAACTCGTTAGGGAAGGCACCCTAGTAGTTGGAGAGTGGACTTTGGAGTCAACCTCATCTGGGTTTGAATCCCAGCTCCAAGCTTAGAGGGCTTGAGCATTTACAAAAATTATGTAGGCTGGATGCAGTGGCTGGTGCCTGTAATCCCAGCATTTTGGAAACTGAAGTGGGACGATTGCTTGAGACCAAGAAGTTCAAGATCAGCCTGGGCAACATAGCAAGACCCTATCTCTATAAAACTTAAAAAAAAAATCATCCAGGTGAGTTGGTGCATGCCTGTAGTCCTACCTACTGGGAGGCTGATGCAAGAAGTTTGCTGGAGGTGAGAGGTTGGAAGCTGCAGTGACCTATGATTATGCCAATGCACACCAACCTGGGTGACACAGTGGGACCCCATTTCTAAACTAAATAAAGAAAAATAAAGAAATAAAAAATAAAAAAATTATTTGCACATTTATTTTATCCACTGGTTCACTTACGGTTTTGGGTCACATTCCATAAAAGTGGAGACTGAGAGAAGAATTAAAAAGTCCTTTTTTAATTGAGGGAGGGACTGCTCTTAGGAGAAACCTGAGAGGGAGAGAAGAACACCAGATAGGGGAGAGGCAAGAGCTGAGCAAGGATGTGCCAGGTAAGGTCTAAATTTGGCCTGATCAGTGTGGGATGCTGGAGCATGTGTCCCAACACAGGCATCCTTGCATTGTGGCAGCAAAGTGCCAGCCCTTTCTAAAAGTTGTCACATAATAGCAAACAAATGGAATCAACCTAGGTGCTCATCAATGGTGGATTGGATAAAGAAAATGTGACACATATACACCATGGAATACTATGCAGCCATAAAAAGGAATGAAATAACATCCTTTGCAGCAACATGGATGCAGCTAGAGGCTGTTATCCTAAGCAAATTAATGCAGAAACAGAAAACCAAATACCACATGTTTGCACTTGTAAGTAGGGGCTAAACACTGGGTACAAATGGACACCAAGTTAGGACAACAGATACAAGGGATTCTTTTCTTCTTTCTGTTTTTTTTTTTTTTTTTTTGAGATGGAGTCTGGCTCTGTTGCCCAGGCTGGAGGGCAGTGGCACAATCTCGGCTCACTGCAACCTCCACCTCCTGGGTTCAAGTGATTCTCCTGCCTCAGCCTCCCAAGTAGCTGGGACTACAGGCGTGTGCCACCACACCTGGCTAATTTTTTGTATTTTTAGTAGAGACAGGGTTTCACCATGTTAGCCAGGATGGTCTCGATCTCCTGACCTCGTGATCCACCACCTCAGCCTCCCAAAGGGCTGGGATTACAGGCATGAGCCACTGCGCCCGGCTGATACTAGGGATTCGAAAAGGGGGAAGGGGAGGAGGGGAAAAAGGGTTAAAAACTACACATCTGGAACTAGGTTTGCTGCTTGGGCAACAGGATCATTAGAAACCCAAACTTCAGCGACACACAACATACCCATGTAACAAACTTGCACAGGTGCTCCCTGAATCTAAAACAAAAACTTTTAAAAAAAGCAATACAAATTGTGATAAAATATACATAAGATAAAATACCATTTTAACAATTTTAAAGTGTGCAATTGACTAGTATTAGGTACATTCACAATGTTGTGCAACCAGCACCACTATCTAATTTCGGTACTTTTTCTTCACCCTAAAAGGAAACCCTGTATCCATTAGTTTTCACTCCCATTCTCTCCTCCCCTCAGCCCCTGGCAACCACTCATCTGCTTTCTGTCCCTATGGATTTGCATATGTACTCATTTCTTTTTAAGACTGAATAGTATTTCATTGCATGCATATACCACTTTTTTTTTTTTTTTTTTGAGACAGTCTCACTCTGTCTCCCAGGCTGGAGTGCAGTGGTGCGATCTCAGCTCACTGCAGCTTCCACCTCCTGGGTTCAAGTGATTCTCATGCCTCAGCCTCCTGAGTAGCTGGAATTACAGGTGTGCACCACCACACCCGGCTATTTTTGTATTTTTAGTAGAGATAGGGTTTCACCATGTTGACCAGGCTGATCTTGAACTCCTGACCTCAAGTGATCTGCCTTCCTCAGCCTCCAAAGTGTGAGGATTTTAGGTGCGAGCCACAGTGCCCGGGCACATTTTATTTATCTATTCATTAGTTGATGGACATTTGGGTGGTTTCCACATTTTGGCACTCCTGAATAGTTCTTCTATAAATATTTGTGTACAAGGTTTTTGTTTAAATACTTCTTTCAGTTCCCTTGGGTATGTACATAGGAGTGGAATTGCTGAATGATATGATAATTCTACATCTAACTTTTTGAGAAACTACCAAACTGTTTTCCACAGTGGCCGTGCATTTTACCTTCCCGCCAGTAATGAATGTGGGTTCCAATTTCTCCACATCCTCTACAACACTTGTCATTATCTATCTTTTTGATTGTAGCCATCCTAGAGGGTGGGAAGTGGCATCTCATTGTGGGAAACAAGCTTTTTGTACTCATATCAACAGTCATTAGCTACAGACTTCATTAGGGCATTTATTCTTCCATTGAGGTGACCTTTATCAGCCAAAGGCAATTCTCCAAGGAAGGGGTGCAGCTGTGAGCCATGATCAGGCCACACTCACAGCAGCTGATAAATGGGTCTGCCACACTCATTCATTCAAGATACATCTACTTACTCATTCATACAAGAGACATTTAAGGGCATCTTCATGATGCTGTGCACAATATTAGGTACAGAGGATGCAAAGAACAGACTTTTTTTTTTTTTTTTTTTTTTTGAGACAGAGTCTTGCTCTGTCATCCAGGCTGGAGTGCAGTGGCGCAATCTCGGCTCACTGCAACCTCCCTCTCCCAGGTTCAAGAGATTCTCCTGCCTCCGCCTTCCGAGTAGCTGAGACTACAGGCACATGACACCACGTCTGGCTAATTTTTTTTGGATTTTTGGTAGAGACAGGGTTTCACCATATTGACCAAGCTGGTCTCGAACTACTGACCTCATGATCTGTCTGCCTCGGCCTCCCAAAGTGGTGGGATTACAGGCGTGAGCCACCATGCCTGGCCAAAGAACAGACTTTGACTTAAAAGAGCTAACATTCCACTGAACAACCTTGATGAAATTACCCACACAATGGTAGAAACACAACTCTGATAAATATGGGGAAGAAAAGGAACTTGGTGCTATGCATGTAATAAGATCTGACAAACAAACAAATAAAAAGATTTGACCTCAGCAGGATGGTCAGAGGAGTCTTCTGTGAGAAATTAATGATTGAGGTGAATTCTAGAGAATATAAGTATAAGGGAATTAGATACCTAAAGAAGAACCAGGAAGGAGTTCTGGGCTGAAGAACAAATGTGCGCAAGGAATGATGTGTTCTATAATCTGAAAACTTGCTGTGAGGATATGGAGTGGGCAGGTGTTTTTGAATCCACCTGGTAAGGTTGGTAGGGCCCACACCTGCAGGATAACCTAGGAAGCTTATGTTTATTCTAAGCACAATTGGAAGCCATCACAGAAGATTAAGTAGGGTTGGGATGTGGGAGGGATCTGATTTGTGTTTTTTGATAATATTGCTCTTTCTACCCTGCAGAGAGTGGACTGGGATTATATTTGAAAGAGCACATGTGTCATATACAGATTTTTGTGTTCTCTCTGGGATCAGGGCAGTGCATTCTCTCATTGTGGCACATGCTGACTCTCCCTCATGGTGGTTTGTTTCTTCATCAGTTTGTAGGCATTTTCATCATGAGGTCACCTTCAGCAGGGGTTATTATCCATGAGAATCCTAAATGCCTTAGATTGTGGAAGTGTTCCTTCCAATACTGTTTTGGAAGCTTGAAGTCTCTGCATTGTATGGGTAGGAATTTGAGAGGGACACAATAAATAAGAACCGTCTTTCCTACCTGAGTTCAGAACCAATTGACAAAAGCAGAGAAGTCACACAAATCAAGATTGGCTTCATTGCTGTGAAAGTTGAACTGGAATAGCATGGCTTAGAAGCATGAACCAGGAGCAAGAAGCTCCCTAGTACTGCACCTGAAAATTAGGCTCACCCACCTAGTCACAGATGATAGCTAAAAACTGCTGACTCTCACTCTCCCTGTATTGACGAGATCTTTGCTGATAAGCTGCAGGGCCAGGAGCAGGCAAATTATTCTCAACAAGAAAAGATGAAGAGCAAAGGGCTGTAATTGAAGTGCAAAGTGTTCTGGGAAACTTAGAAAGTATTTCTAAGAGGAAATTAGAGAGTATTTCTTTTTCTTTTTGAGACAGGTTCTCACTCTGTAGCCCAGGCTAGCATGCAGTGGCACCAACACCACTCATTGCAGCCTTGACTTCCCCGGGCTCAGGTGATCCTCCCACATCAGCCTCCCGAGTAGCTGGGACTACAGGCATGTGCTACCAAACCCAGTTAATTTTTGTATTTTTTGCAGAGACAGGGTTTTGCCGTGCTACCCAGGCTGGTCTCAAACTCTTGGGATCAAGCAATCTACCCACCTCGGCCTCCCAAAGTGCTGAGATTACAGGTGTGAACCACCATGCTGGCCTAGAGAGCATTTCTTGAAGGAAGTGAGATTTGAACTGGGCCTTGAGTGATACGTTATTTGTTTATTTAAAACATATTAATGGGTTATTTACTCTGTGGTAGGCTACACTAGCTATGATGCCTGTGAATTGACAGAGAGAGAGATGATAGTGTCCTATGCTGGGATTATAGATTAAGCAACAATACAGAGGCATTTCTGATGTAGATACCAGAAAAAGTAGCAGCAAATTACCTGATATGCTTGTCAGTAGCAGGTACAGAAGATGCCTCATCCGTACGACCTTGACACTTACCATTCCTACTAAAGATGTCTTTCTGGTAGTATGCCTCTAGAAATGGGAGCAGCTGAGCCAGAGTCCAGGGCAGACTGGAATTGCTGGGCAGTTACCATCCATGGGAGCATCCCTCAGCCACCGATGAATGGGAGTTGGTGCATACCCCAGCTTCCCTACTTCTTGGGTAGGCCAACTCTGAAACATGTTTTCCCATATGGACACTGACTCCTGCTTGTCTACAGTGGAAACCTCCTCATCTATGCCCCAAGGATTGGCCTTTTCATTCACTTTCCTCTACTGGTGTCTCCTGAGATCACCTCTCAAATCAAATACTACACTCACACCTTCATCTTCAAGATCTTCTGGATATGTATCCTTTTTAAAGTAGAAGTTCATATTTCTATTATTTAGATAATAACACATGAGTTAATTATGTACAAACATAAATAGGAAGTTAAAAAGATATTTCAAATGCATATTCATTAGATCATTCATCCATCAAATGCCATTGACAATTATGGTTGAGAAACGTTGGACATTATTTTAAGGAACAATAAATAACATTGAACTCTGCATGTAGGAAGTGCTCAATGAATACGACTTCCATATGAGTAGGATTCTTGCTAAACTCGGCTTGTCTTTTTCCTTTTTTTTTTTTTTTTCTGAGATGGAGTTTTGGTCTTGTTGCCCAGGATGGAGTGCAATGGCATGATCTCGGCTCACTGCAACCCCTGCCTCCTGGGGTGCAAGTAATTCTCCTGCCTCAGCCTCCTGAGTAACTGGGATTACAGGCATGCACCACCATGCCCAGCTAATTTTGTGTTTTTAGTAGAGATGGGGTTTCTACATGTTGGTCAGGCTTGTCTCAAACTCCTTACCTCAGGTGATCCGCCCACCTTGGCCTCCCAAAGTGCTGAGATTACAAGTGTGAGCCACCGCACCCAGCCTTCTTTTCCCTTTTTAAAAACAGATTTGGGAGTTGCGTGCAAGATGGCCGAATAGGAACAGCTCTAGTCTGCAGCTCCCAGTGAGATCAACGCAGAAGGTGGGCAATATCTGCATTTCCAACTGAGGTACCTGGCTTATCTCACTGGGACTGGATAGACAGTGGGTGCAGCCTATGGAGAGAGAGCAGATGCAGGGTGGGGCATTGCCTCACCTACACCACCAGGGCCCTGGGTTTCAAGCACAAAACTGGGTGGCCGTTTGGGCAGACACCGAGCTAGCTGCAGTTTTTTTTTTTATATACCCCAGTGGTGCCTGGAATGCCAGCGAGACAGGACCATTCACTCCCTGGGAAAGGGGGCTGAAGCCAGGGAAACAAGTGGTCTAGCTCAGCGGATCCCACCCCTACAGAGCCCAGCAAGGCCCTGGCTGGAAATTCTTGCTGCCAGCACAGCAGTCTGAAGTTGACCTGGGATGCTCAAGCTTTGTGGGGGAAGGGCATCTGCCATTACTGAGGCTTGAGTAGGCAGGTTTCCCCTCACAGTGTAAACGAAGCCTCTGGGAAGTTTGGACTGGATGGAGTCCACCACAGCTTGGCAAAGCTGCTGTAGCCAGACTGCCTCTCTAGATTCCTCCTCTCTGGGCAGGGCATCTCTGAAAAAAAGGCAGTAGCCCCAGTCGGGGGCTTATAGATAAAACTCCTGTCTCCCTGGGACAGAACACCTGGGAGAAGGGGCGGCTTGTGGGTGCAGCTTCAGCAGACTTAAACGTTCCTGCCAGCCAGCTCTGAAGAGAGCAGTGGATCTCCTAGCACAGTGCCTGAGCTCTGCTAAGGGACAGACTGCCTCCTCAAGTGGGTCCCTGACCTCCATGCCTCCTGACTGGGAGACACCTCCCAGCAGGGGCTGACAGACACCTCACACAGGAGAGCTCCAGCTGGCATCTGGCAGGTGCCCCTCTGGGACGAAGCTTCCAGAGGAAGGAACAGGCAGCAATCTTTGCTGTTCTGCAGCCTCTGCTGGTGATACCCAGGCAAACAGAGTCTGGAGTGGACTTCCAGCACACTCCAGCAGACCTGCAGAAGAGAGGCCTGACTGTTAGAAGGAAAACTAACAAACAGAAAGGAATAGCATCAACATCAACAAAAAGGATGCCCACACAGAAACCCCATCCGAAGGTCACCAACATCAAAGACCAAAGGTAGGTAAATCCACGAAGATGAGGAAAAACCAGTGCAAAAAAGCTGAAAATTCCAAAAACCAGAATGTGTCTTCTCCTCCAAAGGGCCACAACTCCTTGCCAGCAAGGGAAGAAAACCAGATAGAGAATGAGTTAGATGAATTGACAGAAGTAGGCTTCAGAAGGTGGGTAATAACAAACTCCTCCGAGCTAAAGGAGCGTGTTCTAACCCAATGCAAGGAAGCTAAGGACTTTGAAAAAAGGTTAGAGGAATTGCTAACTAGAATAACCAGTTTAGAGAAGAACATAAATGACCTGAAGGAGCTGAAAAACACAGCACAAGAACTTTGTGAAGCATACACAAGTATCAATAGCCAAACCAATCAAGTGGAAGAAAGGATATCAGAGATTGAAGATCAATTTAATGAGATAAATCATGAAGACAAGATTAGAGCAAAAAGAATGAAAAGGAATGAACAAGGCCTCCAGGAAACATGGGACTATGTGAAAAGACCAAACCTACATTTGATTGGTGTACCTGAAAGTGATGGGGAGAATGGAACCAAGTTGGAAGACACTCTTCAGGATATTATCCAGGAGAACTTCCCCAACCTAGCAAGACAGGCCAATGTTCAAATTCAGGAAATATGAAGAACACCACAAAGATACTCCTCAAGAAAAGCAACCCCAAGACACATAATCATCAGATTCACCAAGGTTGAAATGAAGGAAAAAGTGTTAAAGTTAGCCAGAGAGAAAGGGCAGGTTACCCACAAAGAGAAGCCCATCAGACTAAGAGCAGATCTCTCTGCAGAAACTCAACAAGCCAGAAGAGAGTGGGGGCCAATATTCAACATTCTTAAAGAAAGATTTTTCAACCCAGAATTTCATATCCAGCCAAACTAAGCTTCATAAGTGAAGGAGAAATAAAATCCTTTACAGACAAGCAAATGCTGAAAGATTTTGTCAACACCAGGCCTGCATTACAAGAGTTCCTGAAGGAAGCACTAAATATGGAAAGGAAAAACCAGTATCAGCCACTGCAAAAACATACCAAATTGTAAAGACTATCAACACTATGAAGAAACTGCATCAACTAATGGGCAAAATAACTAGCTAGCATTGTAATGACAAGATCAAATTCACACATAACAATATTAAGTTTAAATGTAAACGGCCTAACTGCCCCAATTAAAAGACACAGACTGGCAAATTGGATAAAGAGTCAAGACCCATTGGTGTGCTGTATTCAGGAGACCTATCTCATGTGCAAAGACACACATAAGCTCAAAATAAAGGAATGGAGTAATATTTACCAAGCAAATGGAAAAAAAAAAAGCAGGGGTTGCAATCCTAGTCTCTGAGTCTCTGATAAAACAGACTTTCAACCAACAAAGATCAAAAAAGACAAAAAAGGGCATTACATAATGGTAAAGGGATCAATGCAACAAGAAGAGCTAACTCTCTTAAATATACATGCACCCAATACAGGAACACCCAGTTTCATAAAGCAAGTTCTTAGAGACCTACAAAGAGACTTAGACTCCCACACAATAATAGTGGGAGACTGTAACACCCCACTGTCAGTATTAGACAGATCAATGATACAGAAAATTAACAAGGATATTTAGGACTTGAACTCAGCTCTGGACCAAGCAGACCTAATAGACATCTACGGAACTCTCCACCCCAAATCAACAGACTATACATTGTTGTAAGCACCACATCACACTTGACCACATAATTGGGAGTAAAACACTCTTCAGCAAATTCAAGAGAATGGAAATCATAACAAACAGTCTCTTAGACCACAGTGCAATCAAATTAGAACCCAGGATTAAAAAACTCACTCAAAACTGCACAACTACATGAAAACTGACCAACCTGCTCCTGAATGACTATTGGGTAAATAGCGAAATTAAGGGAGAAATAAATAAGTTATTTGAAACCAATGAGAACAAAGACACAATGCAGCAGAATCTCTGGGACACAGCTAAAGCAGTGTTTAGAGGGAAATTTACAGTACTAAATGCTCACAGCAGAAAGCAGGAAATATCTAAAATTGACATCCTAACATCACAATTAAAAGAACTAGAGAAGCAAGAGCAAGCAAATTCAAAAGCTAGCAGAAGACGAGAAATAACTTAGATCAGAGCAGAACTGAAGTATATAGAGACACAAAATATCTTTGAAAAATCAATGAATCCAGGAGCTGGTTTTTGAAAAAATTAATAAAATAGATAGACTGCTAGCCAGACTAATAAGTAAAAAAAAGAGAAAAGAATCAAATAGACACAATAAAAATGATAAAGGGGATATCACCACTGATCCCACAGAAATACAAACTACCATCAGAGAATACTATAAATACCTCTACGCAAATAAACTAGGAAATCTAGAAGAAATGGATAAATTCCAGGACACATACACCCACCCAAGACTATGTGGGGAAGAAGTCAAATCCCTGAATAGACCAATAACAAGTTCTGAAATTGAGGCAGTAATTAATAACCTACCAACAAAAACAGCCCAGGATCAGATGGATTCACAGCCGTAGAAAGAGGAGCTGGTACCATTCCTTCTGAAACTATTCCAAACAATAGAAAAAGAGAGATTCCTCTCTAAATCATTCTATGAGGCCAGCATCATCTTGATACCAAAACCTGGCAGAGACACAACAACAACAAAAAAGAAAATTTCAGGCCAATATCCCTGATGAATATCGATGCAAAAATCCTCAATAAAATACTGGCAAACCAAATCCAGCAGCACATCAAAAAGCTTATCCACCACGATCAAGTCGGCTTCAACCCTGGGATGCAAGTCTGGTTCAACATATGCAAATCAATAAATGTAATCCATCACATAAACAGAACCAATGACAAAAACCACATGATTATCTCAATAGATGCAGAAAAGGCCTTTGATAAAATTCAATACCACTTTATGCTAAAAACTCTCAATAAACTAGGTATTGATGGAATGTATCTTAAAATAATAAGAGCTATTTATGACAAACCCACAGCCAATATCATACTGAATGGGTAAAAGATAGAAGCATTCTGTTTGAAAACCAGCACAAGAGAAGGATGCCCTCTCTCACCACTCCTTTTCAACATAGTGTTGGAAGTTCTGACAGGGCAATCAGACAAGAGAAAGAAATAAAGCGTATTCAAATAGGAAGAGAGGAAGTCAAGTTGTCTTTGTTTGCAGATGACATAATTGTATATTTAAAAAACCCCATCATCTCAGCCCAAAATCTCCTTAAGCTGATAAGCAACTTCAATAAAGTCTCAGGATACAAAATCAATGTGCAAAAATCACAAGGATTCCTATACACCAATAAGAGACAAACAGAGAGCCAAATCATTAGTGAATTCCTGTTCACAATTGCTACAAAGAGAATAAAATACCTAAGAATACAACTTACAAAGGGTGTGAAGTACTTCTTGAAGGAGAGCTACAAACCACTTCTCGAAGAAATAAGACAGGACATAGACAAATGCAAAAATATTCCATGCTCATGGATAGGAAGAATCAATATTGTGAAAATGGCCACACTGCCCAAAGTAGTTTATAAAATCAGTGCTATCCCCATCAAGCTACATTGACTTTCTTCACAGAATTAGAAAAAACTAATTTAAATTTCATATGGAACCAAAAAAGACCCTGTATAGCCCAAGAGCACCCTAAGCAAAAAGAACAAAGCTGGAGGCATCATGCTACCTGGCTTCAAACTATACTACAAGGCTACAGTAACCAAAACATCATGATACTTGGTGCCAAAACATATATATAGACCAATGGAACAGAACAGAGTCCTCAGATATAACACCACACATCTACAACCATCTGATCTTTGACAAATCTGACAAAAACAAGCAATGGGGAAAGGATTCCCTATTTAATAAATGGTGTTGGGAAAACTGGCTAGCCATATGCAGAAAACTGAAACTGGACCTCTTCCTTACACCTTGTACAAAAATTAACTCAAGATGGATTAAAGACTTAAATGTAAGACCTAAAACCATAAAAACCCTAGATGAAAACCTAGGCAATACCATTCAGGACATAGGCATGGGCAAAGACTTCATGGCTGAAACAACAAAAGCAATTGCAACAAAAGCCAAAATTGACAAATGGGATCTAATTAAACTAAAGAGCTTCTGTACAGCAAAATAAACTATCATCAGAGTGAACAGGCAACATACAGAATGGGAGAAAATTTTTGCCATCTATCCATCTGACAAAGGGCTAATATCCAGAATCTACAAAGAACTCAAACAAATTTACAAGAAAAAAAACAAGCAATCCTATCAAAAAGTGGGCGAAGGATATGAACAGACACTTCTCAAAAGAAGACATGTATGCGGCCCACAAACATTTGAAAAAAAGCTCATCATCACTGGTCATTAGAGAAATGCAAAGCAAAACCACGATGAGATACCATCTCATGCCAGTTAGAATGGTGATCATTAAAAAGTCGGGAAACAACAGATGCTGGAGAGGATGTGGAGAAATAGGAATGCTTTTACACTGTTGGTGGGAGTGTAAATTAGTTCAGCCATTGTTGAAGGCAATGTGGTGATTCCTCAAGGATCTAGATCCAGACATACCATTTGACCCAGCAATCCCATTACTGTGTATATACACAAAGGATTATAAATCATTCTACTATAAAGACACATGCACATGTGTGTTTATTGCAGCACTGTTCACAATAGCAAGACTTGGAACCAACACAAATGCCCATGAATGATAGACTGGATAAAGAAAATGAGGCACATATACACAATGGAATACTACGCAGCCATAAAAAAGGATGAGTTCATGTCCTTTGCAGGGACATGGATGAAGCTGGAAACCATATTCTCAGGAAACTAACACAGGAATAGAAAACCACACACCCCATGTTTTCACCCATAAGTGGGAGTTGAACAATGAGAACACATGGACACTGGGAGGGGAACATAATACACTGGGGCCTGTCAGGGAGTTGGGGGCTAGGGGAGGGATAGCATTAGGAGAAATACCTAATGTAGATGACGGGTTGATATGTGCAGCAAACCACCATGGCACGTGTATACCTATGTAACAAACCTGCACGTTCTGCACGTGTATCCCAGAACTTAAACTATAATAATAATAATAATAATAATAATAAACAGTTTATCTTTCTTTTCTCTTAATCATTCTAATATGTTCTTAACAGCCAGGTGCAATGTTAGCTCAGCTGCCCTTTAGCTGCCAAATACCTTCCATGTGCTATCAACAAGATGATTACCTTGGGCCCAAAGTGCAATGCTTACCCAATTATAGAAACTGTGTCAACCTGGTGTTGACTACCACTGCCACTGCCATTGTGAGGTTAGGACTTGGGCAATCACCTGGACAATTTAATCAGAAATCATCCAACTTTTGAAGAACAGGTCAGGATTGATAACTTAGTGCAAAGTTCCCTTGGATGATGGTACAATCTTTTCATAGCCTGTTATTCTCCACACATGCACACTCACACATGAACATGCATTCACACACATGCCAACAACAATCATCAGTAGGTATTTTTAAAAATTCAAATTGTAATATACTAAACAATAAGCCATGTTGATATTTCATGTTCCTTTCTAGTCTTTGGCCATAAACAAATGTCACTTTCATGTGATTATAATAAAATTTATAGATTTCATTCGTTTTTTTCTTACATGATTTTGCCAGCATTTTTCTCCATGAGGATTTTCCAAATGCTTTGTAGATGTCAACAATGGAATCCTTCCAGCTGGAATGAGTTTGCACTCTGTGCTGAAATCACAGTCGGGGACTCAAAGAAAGAGCCACTTTTAACCTTTTGTGTTTTCTGCTCTAAGGAATGAACTCCTGGCTGCTCTTTCTTTCAGGAATTAATGTGTTTGGATAATTGTCTCAAGTGGGAGCTCGCCACAGGAAAGCAGGTGTAGGGGCTTGGCTTTTGGCAGAGGCTTAGTTTATTTGTCATTTATTCACTCATGCATTCATTCAACAAACATTCCTTGAATATCTATCCATTACCCAACAGACATGGGTAGCAATGCTATCTGCAGGCAGGTCATGGAGGCTGGATCAGGAGCAGGAAGATGGAAGAAATGAATGACCTCGAGAGCTGAGTGTAAGGATTCACACCTGCCTTCCAAAAACAGAGATACCAGCTGAGCAGAGAAGAATGAAGCGCACGAAGAGAGGCCTGTGGTTCAATCAGACCAACCAACAAGAACTAGAAAGACAGGGCGTCATTGCACAGCAGACATCCCAGATTAAATAAACAGATGTCAACCATGAAGACTGAAGATTTGGGGCCTTGGAGGCAAGGACAGATCCTGAAAAGGACAGCAAAGAATCACATGAGCCCATCTTGAATGTGGCTCCTGGGAAAGCAATGTATTCTAAGCACTTTGAATCCAAGATCTGCTGCCTGAGTCTTGTAGAGAGGCCGTGAACTCAAGCAGGGCTGCCTGCATGTGAATCCCACGTGGAAGCTAGGTGACTTCAGGTAAGTGACTTAACCTTCCAGGACCACATTTTCCAGATCCTGAAACAGTGATGACCTAAAAGTGCTTAGCTCATAGGTTTGTAATGAGGCGTAGGAGAGCTCATACTTGCACAGCGTTCAAAACAGTGCCTGATACAAAGTAAATGCTTATATAAGAGTTTTTAAATAAAATTAATGTACAGTGGAGGAAAGCATTTCATGACAATACTTAATTCTTTTCAGTACCCCTAACCATCCTCATTTTTAGAGATTTACAAATCTATATGACACCATGGTCTTTTTTCTTCCTAATTATTTACATGTGGTTTCAACTATGGCTTCCTTCCCCAACCGTGATGACCACAGCCTCCTACTCCTCTTCCCCCAGCAATGGGTACCTTCACTGTTGTGTCCTGTTGGTTGCAAGCCAAACTGAAGCATTGTCTAGGTGCCGGGCCGGGTACTCAACCTTCACACATATCAGAACCTAACCTTTTGGCCTGCCCTGTGTTCTCAAGCTCTAACATGCAATAATACTTCCCAGCTTCCCTAAAACCCCCAGACCTCTAAGCTGGTTACATACCAGTGTGGTGTTGAGTCGTATACCAATCTGGCAACATGTTGATGTTTCCATGCAGGAATCCTCACAGCCAGGCTTCACAGCTCAGCAAGGGTCCTGTGCCATCCCTGCCTGAAGATCATTTTGCATTTTTTAGCTGGTATCCAGCATGTTGACTAAGAACAAGAGGGATTTCTTTGAAAGAACAATCAGGATGCCCTAGCTCCTGGGGCCTTTTCCCAGCTCCCAAGCCTGGGAGGCATTGCCACGGATGGCCCAGCTCTTTGGTTGAAGGCCTAACTCCAGGAATGGTGCCATCATTTCAGTGGTTAATAACAAACAAAACAGAAAGATAGACTGCATGACTCATGTACACTGCCACCTGCCGAGGCCTGGGAGCAAAGATTTGGCAAGGACTAAGGAAGAGGACACAGAATCTACTTTCTTTCCTCTTCTTTTTCTTTTACAGAAAGACTCTTTGTTTTTGCCATTTTATGCACAAGCTAAACAGATTACAGTCAAGAAAAATGGGGGCAGGCCCAGGTGTCTAGGAGATGGGAGAGAATTTGCATTCCAATTGTGGAACGTATCAAAAGGCGATTCTTTCTGCCTCAATTGGAAGGTGCAGCTCAATTTGGGGGCAATTTCAACAAGACCATACCTTTTATCTCCAATTCAAACTGGGGGCACTCCAAGGATGCCCTGGGGAATCCTGGAAGGAAAGAGCAGCACCTTTATGAAGGCAGATGTTTTCATTTCCTCCCCTCTAGATCCTTGAAGGTTGAAGGTTGAAAAACATGAGGCTCATTTTTTTTTCTGTTTTTGACTTCTAGTATATTCGAAAATGGAGAAATACCATAAGTCAATTGCAAAATAAATGAATTTGAGTATGTTAAATGTTAACTCTTGTCAAAATAACACATTTCGTGTACCCACATTGCAGTGATTGTGTGTGTGACTTCATTTATGGATAACGTCAAAAGTTTGCATTTAAGGAACAGGATGGAAATGAGGCTCCCAGCAGATGGTTCTTGTGCACCGCCCCCAGCCAGATGGTTCTGACAAGATGATTCTCAGAGAGAATGCTTCCTCCCTCCACCACTACATAAATTGCCCCCTGGCCAGGCATGGTGGCTCATGCCTGTAATCCCAGCACTTTGGGAGGTCGAGATGAAAGGATCAGTTGAGGCCAGGACTTCGAGACCAGCCTGGCCAACACGGGAAAACCCCGTCTCTACCAAAAATACAAAAATTAGCTGGGCGTAGTGGCGTGCACCTGTAGTCCCAGCTACTTGGGAGCTGAGGCACAAGAATCGCTTGCTGCAGGAGGTTGCAATGAGCAGCGATCATGCCACTGCACCCCAGCCTGGGTGACAGAGCAAGACCCTGTCTTAAAAATTTAAAATAAATAAAATAAATTGCCCCCCGCCCAGTGAAAGACCCCATCCCTAATTTGTGTGGCTCCCTAAGAAACATTATCTCAACTCCGACTCTTCCTTTTTTATCTCATTAAAATAAAACAAACAAACAAAAAAACAAGAACTATAGACCTCCATGAGAGACCTCACTTAAAAGCAAAATATTCTGTTAGTTTGAAATAAACCAGAGAATCAAAGCCTCCCTATCCTCTCCAATCTCCACCCGCGTTCAGATACCCCTGCCACACACACACTGAAACTCAGCTCCAGCTCTCTGTCCGCATTGCCCCCTTTCTGCCCCCTCCACACAGACTTATTTCATAAAAATGTCAGCTATTAAGTTAGCATTATTTAAGGGGCTTTGGGTTTTAGTTCCTGAATGCAACTTAAGCTGGATCCGTAAAGGCCTGACACGAAGTCCCGGCTGTATAAAACATGATCCACGGAGGTACTAAATAAATAACCTGGCTGTGGGCTTCCAGGCCGCTCTATTTATCACTGCAGTGAGGATAAGGATCTGATTTAGAGTGAACCCTACTGAGGGTCGAACCCGGCACAAGCTGTAATATGATCTGCAGGGGAGGGCTGATAACCCGAAACAATGTGAAGAAACCCTGTCAGATAAATAAAACAAACTGTTTGTCCATTAAATAGCGCTGTCAGGAAGAGAACAGGGAAGCCAAACAGAGCTAAATCCAATTCTTTTATAGCCACACAAAGCCAGGAACACCTGAACTAAGCTGGGGGAAATAAGCTCCCTTAGAAATAGGTTGTGGGGGGTCGTGTCTGGAGGGAGGGGGATCGTGGTCTGATTTATTGAAGTCACTATGGTAGGAAAAAGTTGCTCTTTGATTCAGGGCAAATCCTGCCCCCTTCCTGGGTCTTGGTCTCCCCATTTGTGAAATGTGACCTGTCTTGCGGGTCCTGCCCTCCTCGCTGGATTACGGAGGTGGACCCATGGAAGAATTACAGAAAAAGGATTCTGAAAAAGAAGAGAATGACTATACGAGGCTCAGAAATGCAAGTGCCTACAGAGGCCAAGCTTGAAGCAGAAAACCAGGGCAGCGGGGACTAGAGAACGAGGGACGTATCTCAAGGGGCGGAAGCCACCCGGCACCACCAATGCTGCTGCGCAGACATACAGGCCCCTGCTGCCAACTCTGAATTTTTTCAAAAGGAAATATATGGTTGTTAATGTGAAATCCCAAGAATTCTAGATGTTGGAGGTAGTTATTGTATGAATGTTTTTAGAATACTGTGTGTGTTTCGTTGGAAAACCATGTGAGTAACATGTGACCTATAGTCTGCAACCTGTGGATGGAAGCAAAACCAGGTGGAATATTTTTGTGATGACCACGTTGCTACTGCTGTTGATGCTGGACACAACCCTGGGACACAAAGGCAGCAGAAACAACAGTGCCCTTTCTCAAACCCACTGATAGATCTCCCGTATGTTTGCCTCAGCTCTTTCAAATTTTTGATGTATTTTACTGGATCTATGTGGCATCTCACTGAATACTACACAGAATCTTCAGAGAACAAAGATTCTCATCAACTGTGCATGTTCTAACTGTCCTCTGAGCTTTCCATTCCCAGATAGAGAACACTAGTCCCTTCCCTGGCCAATGCTTCTCAGTGGGAGCATCACTGGCATTTTGGACAGGCACTAAATGTCTACAGCTCCTCTGAGGCCCAGGACAACCGAGCAATTGCCCTCACACTTTAAAAACAACAACAAAACCAAAACCAAAAGCACTCTGATACTTTACCTTTGTGGAAACCAGAGAGTCTCCTACTCTATCCTTGAAGACTGATATAGTTTGGCTGTGTCCCCACCCAAATCTCATCTTGAATTGTAACTCCCATAATTCTCACATGTTGTGGGAGGGACCCAGTGGGAGATAATTGAATCATGGGAGTGGTTTCCCTCATACTGTTCTCGTGGTAGTGAATAAGTCTCATGAGACCTAATGGTTTTATAAGGGGTTTTCCTTTTCACTTGGCTCTCATTCTCTCTTGTCTGCTGCCATGTAAGATGTGCCTTTTGCCTTCTGTCATGATTGTGAGGCCTCCCCAGCCAAATGGAACTGTGAGTCCATTAAAGTCCTTTTTCTTTATAAATTACCCAGTCTTGGGTATGTCTTTATCAGCAGCATGAAAATCGACAAGACCAAGCAGGCTAATTTGGCCCTGTCATGGTCAACATGACCAGCCCAGGTCTCTGGATGGACTTCCTGAGGCAGCCTGGAGTGAGGCCTGGGCTTCTTAGGACAATGAAGACCAAGCCAGCAAACAGAAACAGAAGGTATCCTGGAATACCAGAATGGCTTAGGTTTCCAACAGAGGTTCCGAGTCACCACTGTTACTTGTTGAACAGACCCATGCCCTGGCCTTATCCTGGCAGGCCTGAGGATATGGTCCAGTGTATTTCCTTTTATATAAAGCTTCGCTGGTGAATCTAGACCATGTTTTGAGCCATTGTTTTAATAAAAGCACTAGTGCTTCCTTCATCTAAAGCAGTGGTTCTCAAACTTGCCTGTTCTTCAGAATCACTTGGAAAGCTTTACAAAATATGCTTCCTTAGGAACTATTGTAGAAGACTGATTTAATTTGGATAGTGGATTACATTTTTATGAAACTGTTGTAGGCAGGGGAGTAGATAAGAATCTCTCATGTCTTTGCTATGTATTTGAATAAGTAAGTCTGCTTATCTGCACATTACAGATGGCAAAAGAGAGACCCAGAAATAGAAAATGACCATTATGATCTTAGACCCAAGACTAGAATAAGATTCAAATGTCTAGTCTTATTCTTGAGGTTATTACCATCACCTTTTTCTGCAGAATCTGAAGCTGACTTGCTGCATCCAAGCTGTTTATTGTTGGGCTAAAATTAATTTTTTGAAGTAGTTACAGTGAGATTTTTCTTTTCATTGAATTATATTTTTTCCTTGCAGTTTGTATTATTGAATAATTCACCTCCCCCCATCAGGCAGGAAGCAGTTTCTGTGTTTCCTTGGCTTTGGGATGGTTTGTGGCAGAGCCTCCTGGCTTTAGTTTCCAAAAATCTCATGTTCGTTGAGGACCCCAAGGCATGAGGATAAAGGGATGGCTTCTCAACTAAAAAGCAGTTCCCAGAGACTTAGGAAGGAGTAGATAGAGGCTCAGAATAAAAATTAAGAAGATTAAAAATACAGAAATGTGAAATATTTTTCTTAGTAAGCCTTTAGATCAAAATTCAGATGGATAGCCTTTAGTTCAGGTATAAATAAACTATTGGCCTTTTCAATTTGAGTAATCTCAGAGAAGGAGGTCAGTGTTGTACAAGAAGATAAAATTATATGCAAGGAAATAAAATATTTCTTTTTATTTTAAGGGATTCCTTAAGAAAATAAAATACACTTTAAAATCTTTTTTTTTTTGAGATGGTATCTGGCTCTGCCGCCTAGGCTGGAGTTCAGTGGTGTGATGTTGGCTCAATGCAACCTCCGCCTCTTGGATTCAAAGGATCCTCCCACTTCAGCCTCCTGAGTAGCTGGGATTACAGGAGTGCACCACCATGCCCGGCTAATTTTTTGTGTTTTTAGTGGCAATGGGGTTTCGCCATGTTGGCCAGGCTGATCTCAAACTTCTTACCTCAAGCAATCTGCCAGCCATGGCCTCCCAAAGTGCTGAGATTACTTACAGGCATGAGCCACCACGTCCAGCCTAAATTCTATTCAAGTGAATAAAAACACAACCTAAACAAGCTTTAAAAAAGGAAAATAAATAAAAGTAATATCTTAGTTGGTATGAGTCGAAAACTCAGGGGTACAAATGATGACAGGTACGACCTAATCCAGAGCTTCAAATAACATTGTCAGGAATGGCTTTACTTGTCTCTGTCTCCAACTCTGTATCAACTTCATTCCTCTGGCAAGTCCTTCCATCTTCCATGTGGTGGCCATCAGGCACCTGACCTATTTCCTACAGCTCAGCAATTCAGGTGCTACCAGCACGTCTTCTCATTGGCCTGCCTTGGGATTCGTGCCCATTCCCATAGCCATCATTGTGAACAACATATGTATAGAACATTTCTAAGTGGCCATCCTGGATCCAGGAAGGTGGGGTCAATCTATCTAACCTGCATAGACAGACAGTGGAAATGTGGTGACTCCCAAAAGGGGGAAAAAAATCAGGACTGTGAGAGAAAAAAGGGGGAAATTGATCATGGTCAAGAATGAACAGATGCTCTTTTTTTTTTTTTTTTTTTACAAAGGGAGACAAGAGGGATGTAGGGAAAGAAACCAAGTCTATTTTCTCTTTTCTGTCTCACATTAGCATTCATTAAATAAAAGCAGGAAGTCAAAACAGTGAAACAAACACTGATTGAGAATAAAATCAAGGAAAGGGCCCTTTTTATAATAGTGAGAATTCTGACTTGATATTGTTTTCAAGAAAGCTTTTTTTTTTCTTTTAAGAACCTACAGTAACTCAGCTTGGCTAATAAAGTATTTGTCTAGTACATTATGGAAGTCTTTTGGGAGACTATTGAATCAATTAGAATGATTTGTAATTAGCACACCAACCTAATGACAGGGTGTCTCTAAATTGCTGGAAAAGAGTTTGCTCTCTTAAGAGACTTGTATGATCCTCTTGTAAACTTATTTACATTAATGATATGCTTACTAGCTTTTTAAAATTTTTCCAGAATATAAATTTTGACCAGATCCTGTATCAAATATTACAAATTCTCAATTAAATGGTTTTGAATAATTGGGAAGTTACCATATGAATTAGAAAGATTTCCCCCTCTATATAATTATTCACAAAGGCCTTGGAACAAACTATCACAAGCCAGCATTTTTGAAAATTCTGATTGATATGAAGTTATGTCAGACCCCAAAGTCATATCAAACAGAATAGAGCTAGATACAATAGAACTGTTATTACAAGGTGTCATTGCTTGTAATTCCAGGGATATTGACAATACAGAGGAGTGTAAAATAATGCCTTATGTTTTTCCCCCCACAAAAGTTTGAAAAGAAGCTGGGAATTAGCTGAACTTTAAAAAAGTTTTCCAGATTCAAGTGGGCAGATGTCCATTCATGTGGCACAACGTTATTCTTTCAAATTTCTAGCACCTAATTTTAGAGCAGTGTCAACCCACAGATGTGGCATTTGGTCAACAACATGGGTTCTGAAGTCAGGCAAAACCTGGATTCAGGCCAGTTGCTGTGGCTCACACCTGCAACCTCAACACTTTGGGAGGCTGAGGTAGGAGGACCGCTTGAGCCCAGGAGTTCGAGAACACCCTGGGCTATATTACAAGACTTCATCTCTACAGAAAAATAAAAAAAAAATTACCTGGGTATAGTGATGGATGCCTGTAGTCCTAGCTACTTGGGAGACCAAGGTAGGTGGATGCTTTGAACCCAGGCATTCGAAGTTGCAGTGAGCTGTGATTGCACCACTGCCTGAGTGACAGAGTGAGACTCGGTATCAACAAAAAAAATTTTAAAAACCCCAAACTCCCAAAACAACAGAAAAGCACCTCCAAAAACCCAACCTGGGTTCATATCCTAGCTCCTTCTTTATTATGGATGTGGAATTTCGGGCAAGTTAGTTAAATTTGACCCTTCTCAGTTTCTGACATATCTGTCAGAAAAGTGGACAGGATGGTAATAATCATATGTTTTGTGGAAAAATGGAAATGACAATAATATATTTAGTAGGATTAAATAGAATGCATGTATCTTGTACATAGTAAACCCATATTGGTTGCAGCAAGACCCCTGGGTTAATAGGGATTTGATTCTGAGGAGTTACTCATTTTTATCTTATTCCAGTGAATAATCTGGAAACTACAAAGAGGTCTCCGTAGCAGGCTAGAGCAAAGGTTGAGGAGTGTAGAATATGCAATAGTAGAAGTGTGTTTTCTGTCAAATCATGTTTGCAGCAC